>NC_000001.11:119250804-119553835 GCF_000001405.40 Homo sapiens | reverse complement strand
CTGAGTAGACATGTTCCAGGCATAGTGCTCAATGCTGGGGAGACAGATATGAGAGAGGTAGAGATGCTTACACATTCCAACACCATTTAAGGGTGAAGGTGAAGGCTGATTTTGTTTCCTGCCTGCCCAACCTGCTTGGGGTGAATTATTTTGCCAACTGTATGTATGACTTTAAGGATTTGGCCCCTGGGGCTGCAGGTGGTGAGAGGTGGACAGGGTGAACTTCATGTCAAGGCTTCACATGTTATGCTAGGGCAAGACGGTACATTCAACAAAGGCTCAGTGTTAAGCAGATTCTCTGCCAAGGACTTTGCAACTATAAGTCAGGGTTCCCACCACTGCTGCAAATTAGGCAATGTCCACTGTACCTGGCTTTGTTGGGTGAGGGAAGGAACAGTGTGTAACCTTGGAAAAGCTAATTCACTTTGTCAAGGGGCTGGAAAAGGATCTGGCTAGACAGGCCTCTTGTCAAGGGCAGCATTAGCTAATGTCTGAAATGAGGGTCACCTCAAGGTTTCACCTGAAGTAGCTCTGCCGATTTCTGTGTTGAAGTTAATAGAGTTGGTAGAAATCACAGACATGACTTCATAGCCTGAGATTCACTGGACTGACACAGCCACTGCTGAGTGTTGCTGCAGCCTAGACCAAGCCCTATAGGTATTCTTGATCTTGCTCTCATCTGTGCAGTGGAAAGATGCAGGTATGAGGTGTGGGGAAATCAAACCAAATGACAAACACGAAGGCTCTTGTAAGATTCAGGGGCTTGTGTGAATGTTAGGAAGCAAGGTGGTTACCAGGTGGTTGTGCTCAGTGCTGCAGAGAAGGGGCTGCTGAGGGGTGTCCTAAAGTCTTGTGTCATAGCTCCTGGGAGCCTAGAAGGAGGAGAGAGGCAGTTGCTGTGCATGTGGCCTGTGTCCTCTGGGATTTCCAGCTCCTGGGGCAGGGTGATGAGGAAGTGAGAAGGCATGGCCTCCCTTTCCTGAGAACAGGAAGAAAGAAGGAACTAGTTCTGCCTCTCCTTTGAGGGTGTGCTGTGCGTGGAGTGTGCAGGGCAGAGCTTTGGCATTAACTGGCAGTGGACTTGAGCAAGGCATGACTTTTCTGGGTTTCTGATTCCTCTTCAGTAGGCACTATCTCTATTGGCTCTGCCCACTTTTGTGTCTAGTGATTTTCTAAGAATTTTAAAACCTACTTGGGAAACATCCACATTTTAATGTAAAGACAAAAGTCCTTATTTAAGTCATCACTAAGTTTTGCAGTTCAGTGGTCAGCAGATATCAGGGAGGGAGGGCATCGGCCACACTTTTTGGCCCCACTTCTTGATCCTTGACAACCCTATGAGAGGTATGATGCCCCTTTCCCAGTGAGGTGCCAGGTGCCACTAGAGCCAGGGAAGTGCTGGGAAACCACTTTCTCAAGCGCCTTCAGCTTCACGCAAACAAATAAGCACATGGAGGCTTGTGTTATTATGAAGTTTAGCTGCAGAAGTGTGCAGGTGTCAGAGGATGCAAATCAACTTACTTTTTTACAGCCCAATGTCACTGGCAACAGACCTTAGAAATGAGCCATAACCTTCATTTCTCAGGAAGGTAAACAGACCCAGGAAGGTGAAGAGATTTGCTTAACTTCGATGGCAAAATTGAAATGAGAACTCAAGATTTGCACCCCTCACTCTCATTTGTAGAAATATTCTGTTTCTAAAATGAAAGAATACTTGTTTCTTTTTGCCCTCCTCTCCCCCTTTCCTTAGTCCCTCTCACAGCCAGCTACTTTTATTTCTGTATCATGAAACATCTGCCTGTCTCCGTTCGTGGAGCACCCACGTTCCTCAAGCTGTTGTTCCCATGGGAGGTTGGGCTGTATGGGCCAGACAAATGGCTTAGCTAGCTGACTTCTGGTTAAACCTGCCCTCTGCCCTCTTTCAAATGTCTCCCATCCCAGTTTTTTTAAATCCCTTCATAAATATGTTGGTAGGGCAACCTTCTAGTTCTATGCCTTCACCCCCCTTTTCATCTTAAAGGTAGCAAATCCTAGGTCACTATTACAGATGGTGGTCTAGGTGAACATTGGGAAAGTCATCTTGCTTCCCAGGCCTCGGTTTCCTCATTGGTAAAATGAAATAAGGAAAGGAGCCCACAGTTAAAAGCTGGAGTAAAGGTCTCTAGATCCTTCTTTAACTTCAATTTAATAAAAATTTTAGAGATGAGGTCTTGTCTGGCCTTGAACTCCTGGATTCAAGTGATCCTCCTGCCTCAGTCTCCTAGTAGCTGGGGCTATAGGTGTGCCCCTCCATGCCTGAGGAAGCTTTCTTTAGCTCTAAAATCTGAACTCCACAAGGACATTGATCTGCCCTGGAAGAACCAGGGAGCCTTTTCCATTTACCCACCATAGGTCAGGCAACAGGTGTTTTGCCTGCTGCTGAAAGAAGTTCTCATAATCAAGACTGCCTGCATATTTTACAGGGATCAGTGCAAAATGAAATGTGGGGTCCCATGGCAGCCCCTTAAGCCAAGCACAGGGCCTGGGTGATGGCACAGGCCATGTGCCCATGGAACTGCTCTGCTCAGGGCTACACCAGGGATTTGACAGACTCCAGCTGATGCAGGAAGGAGTTAGGTCTGGGCTCATGAGAAGGGTATTCCTACCTCAGTGGCCAGGGTTCATGCTAGGATGACAATAGTCCCACAGCCCACCTCATGCCCACACCTCTGTCACCAGTATCTGTTTAGGAAGAATGGCTGACTTTGCTAGTGCTGGTTCTTCCATTTCTTGAGGAAAGAGTCCGCTGTTCAATAGGGAGCTTCAGGTTTCCAGAACAGATTACTGACTGTTTTGGAGTCTGCAACTGACCCCAGTGCCCCCTGCTTTTGGGGACAGAGTGGCCAAGCCACTTTCTTCTGTTCATCTAGCCTTCCCCCTTCACTTCCTCATAATGAACCTATTTCATGCCTCAGATCACCGACTCCATTCCCTGCTCATTAGACTTGGGTGGCATCTTGGTCCATGATTAAAAAAAAAAAAAAAAAAAGGAAAAAAAATCCCTCCAAATTGCCACCAGAGTCTCTTGATGTCTCAAGAAGAACATGTAGCCAGAGATGTTGAGTGATCCTCACTTGAGTTGCCTAAGAGTGTGAGATTCTCTTCTGAATTTAATTTTTAAAACAAATTTTCTTTTTCTTATAGTATAAAAATGCTCTGGGCCTTGTGCCATTTCAGGTTTTGGATTTAATTCCCAGTCCCTTTATAACCTTGGCAGCTGGGCTTCACTTTCATCAGCCTTTCCATTTCCCTGCTTGTAGGCCTCTCACAACCCCACTCACTCTTCATATCACACAAATGAGTTCATTCTCAGCTCCATACACTCCGTGCGCCTTCTCTTTCTCCTGGATCTCTTTATGATGATCTAGCTTCTTCAGGTTCATGGACACCTTGAAAAGTCATCTGTGAATTCTTTCTTACTTTGTCATTCAAAGCATTCTGCTCCCTGACTGTCTATCCCTTCCTCTCTCCATTCTAACAGATGAGTTTACTTGTGTTTCATCCTTCCATCCATCCATCCCTCCATCAGCCCATGTGTCTATTTTGTGTCAGTCACTGGGGACAGAGAGATGACATGGTGAGTTACTGTCCTCAAGACACGGCAGTGTAGGGGTGCGGAACAGGATATATAAATGAAAAATCAGTGAGAGTGCAACTCGATATGCACAAGACACAGAGGCTGTAAAATGAGACATATTGGATAGTAAATAAGGAGCTGGGAAGGATGTGCTGGCAGGAGAGCTGGGCACCCTTTAAGCGGAAGGAACACCATGCACCGGCCTGGGTGGATATAAAAGCATGCTGCATGCAGGAAGCGCTGAGTTTGGAAAATTGTTGAGGCACAAAGTAGGAGAATCTGGGGACAGGGCAGGGATTGGTGAGAATTAGTCTGGAGTGTCAGGCAGGGCCCAGGGCTTCAGAGGCCCTCTATGTTCTGCTAAGGCTCTCAGGCTCGTCCTGACAGTCCTGGGGCTCCCCCTATTGGTTGGTTTTAAGGAAGGGAGTGACATGGTGAGACTAGTTTGGAGAGAACTCTGGCAACACTGCTGAGGATAGGTTTCATGGGTGATTCTCCAAGACAAGGAGGCCTGTTGGGGGTACGAGTAGGAATGATGTTACCAGGGAGGAAGACGACATATTCAAGAGGTGTTGTGGAGGTAAAGTTCGTAGCACTGAATGATAGGTGGGCGGAGTGGGGGGCTGCCATCCAGGTTTCTGGCTTGAGAAAGTGTGTGCTTGGGAATTCTGTGCCCACACCCAGTCCTGTCTAAACTAGCGGCCATTCTGTCTCAGGCCTGCCGCAGTTGCCCCTGTAGTCTGTTTTGTTACCAACACATAAATCAGGCCTTCATTTCTTACCTAAATTCTTCAAGTATCCTCTTCATCTCTTTCAGTCCATCCTACAACATGCTGCCAAGGTAATCTTCCAGGGACAGCTGAACAATGCCCATTGCAGAGTGAATGATGTCCCAGCTTTTAGCATCACCATCAATATTCATTGCTAAAGGAGACATTCGTTTCCTGTAGAGTCCAATTTTTGAGAGAAGATGAGCCATGTTATATGTGAAGTAATTGAATGTCAAGTCTTCTTTAAGGGGGTGTGGGGCACAGAATTCCTACTCTGAGGGCAATGAAGGAAGCAGGCACGGTGTCTCCAGGGATGACCCCAGGTGATCCTGCCTGTGCCCATCATTTTTTTCAGGTGTATCTTCCATGTCTCCCCTGGCCTTGGGCTTTCTGGTCTGGTCTCATTGCTGCTTAAAATGGACCCCTTTCTCACCTGGGTCTTTGCAGACTGCATTGCCTCTGCCTGGAATAATTTCACTCACATTCCTGTCTGTTGAAATCCTACCCATCTTTTGATATCCAGCCAAAATGCAAGGACCCCATGAGTCCCCTGTGGGAATGGATCCTTCAGAAGCATTTTCCTTTCTATGGCACTCTGCATATTTACTATGCACAGCACCTAACATGTCTTGTATTTTATCTCCCCCACTGGACCACTAGATTGGGAGCAGAAATGGAAAATCAGAGCTCTTAATCCTGGGTCCAGCCTGTGAATGTGTTTTGTTAGTTTGCATGTTTTTTCCCCACCAAATTTAATTTATTAAAAAATTATAACCTATGTTAAATATACAGAAAAGGTGACAATACGATATAATAATGTATATTTGGGACTTTTCACCAAGAATGAACAGATTTGCTGCTGACATCTCACCACCTACTTTTTAAGAAATAAAATATTACACATACATTTTGAATACTAGCCCACGCATTCCTCTCTTGGAGCAGGTCTTTGAGCTGTTTTTTAAAATTTAGAGTTAGTTGCTAATATTTAGAAATCAAGAGATTTCACATAAAAGTTGGCCTCTGGCTACTTTCCTGCCAGTTCTCAGCAGGCCATCACGGGTTCCCAGCCCCATCCTGGCCCTCAGAGCCTGGCTCTCAGGTGGTGGAAACTTTTGTCAAGTACCTGAGCTCCTCATCTGCCCTCCATACATGCTTCCCAGCAGACGGGAGGCCTCCTTATGCCCCTCGTCTTCCTCTGCACCACTGCCCATGCTGTGCCCCCTGTCTGGACCCAGGAATTCAAGGCCTCATTTAAGTCCCGCTGGTTCCTGTGGCTTTTCCCAGTGACCAGCTCAGCTCCATTGTCTGTATTCATATACACCTAGCCCTTAAGCCGGTGGCTGAGAACTTACCTGTGTTTTCATTCATTCCCTTGCCAGGTACCCTGCAGAGCCACCTAGATGGAGGAAAGGGACCCAAAAATCCCCACTGGGTCAGGCTTCCTTGCTCTTCCCTCCGAGACTTGCTGCCTCCGTGTGGTGCATGGCGTGAGGTTCAGCGAGGCTTGCTTGGTGCAGGAGCTCTGCCTGCCTGGCACCCACAGTTGTAAGAAGGGATGGCACATTTTGTTGGCCACAACACTCCGAGGCCTTTGTGCTTGTCCAGTTGAGACTGCTGGCCCATCCAATTTCTTCCTCTCTTTCTGTGATCACCCCTCACTGCCCATTGGAGGTATAATCTTTCCCATCACTTCTCTGTGAACATTGCCCTCATTGGTCAATAGGAGTGGGGTTTCACTAGGCTGAAAAACCAGGGGGAAAGGCTCTTGTCCCAGATTCCACCACCCTCCTATCCTTCCCATGCTATTTGTCATAAACATATGGATGGTGGGCATGCCTTACAAGAGCTGGAGAGGTGCTGGCTCTTGCATTTTGTTCAGTGGATGGGGCAAGAGGGGTGTTCCATTTTTCACTTTACCCCACTGCCTAGGGCCATTCCACCCTGATGCTGGTGCTGATCACCTGTCCCTTGGTGCTTTGAGGTTAATCATCTGTAAATTTTCTGTGTAAGAAAGAAGCCATCTTGATGTTGAGTGTGACCCTCATCATGGCTGTGATATACCCAGGTCCAGAGGGAGACAGCTTCCCTTCCCACACTCTGGACCCACAGCAACCTCCTCACCCGCTTCAGTTCAACTCTGTCCCTAATGCCCCTGAAAGTGTTTCTTTTGACCGTTGCTTCTTTGGTTGATTAATGACTATGTCATCACTGAAGTCCCCAAACTTGTCTTTATTGGCCTCCTCTCCTCAGGGAAATTGAGAAGAATGCGAGGGCCAGTGATAAAAGGGGAGATGTAGGGAAGGAGAAGCTAAGGAGTTGGAAGAATAAAGGAAGAAAGGATATGATTTAATGGAAAGATGGATAAAAAAGGAGGGAGAGGCAGTTATATCTGGGGATGTGGGATAGTAGACTTCTACTTTTTGAGCTGAGTAGGAGATAAATTTTCTGGGAAGCTCACCCTTGTTCTCTTTACTTGCCCAGGAACCTATGGTATGGCTTCATTGTGTGATTTGAAAGGTTGAAATGCAGGGTTATGAATAACCAGAATGACCAGCACACATATAGCCATGGGAGGTGTGTTCTACAGACCTTCAAGGAAATTGACACTGAAGCTGGTGGAGGCTAAATGCATTTTTCCTTCTCTCTCCCCTGCTCAGGGCGGTTTGGTAAGGCATGCAAACCTTTTCAGGTGCCCTCAGGGATTCTCTTGGGTTCTAGAGAGTTTCCTGCATGGAATTGGGCAAGAAGGAGGTAACCCATGGGAGTTGGGGCTCTCTCAAGGAATGGCACCCCATGCTCCAGTGCTCTGCTGTACCACTGACAAGACAAATTCAGGCTGAGTGTTTCAGTGGAAAGATAAGGACTTTCAAGGCTGACTCCCTGGTAGCAGGTCTAGTCACTAATCAGTTGGTATGACCGTGAACAAGTTTCCCCCCTGATAAAATGGAAATAGTCATCTCACATCAGAGGTTTCTGATGAGTATTAAATAAGGTAATATATGTCATATGTAGGTCATGTTGTAGTTGCCCGAAACATACTAGAGCTTATTCAGTCTTCATCCGCCCTTCCTGACCCTCCCACTACTCTGCCCACCCCTCAAACCCTGGTTTCATGGTACTCTTCTAAATTGGAGACGGTGATACCTTGAAATGAAGGGAAAGGAGGAAAGTATGTATTAATAGAAACCACACCTCCCTCCAGTTAAGCATTAAAGCATTTATTGCTCTTTTCATTGAACTGTGTGAAGAAATAGGAGATTAAAAAAAAAAAGAAATACTTTCTCATTTAAGAGGGGAAATGGAGCTCTAGTAGTCAAAAGAGACCCTCAAGTTAAAAGAGATCCCAAATTGTTCAGAATTAGCCACTGATATTTGGTAACGGCAAATCACATTGTCTGTCCTTTGGTATATGGTTAGCACAGAAAGCTTCTGGTTGGGCCAGTGACTGCACAGGTTTTGATGACACGAGGAAGACAATAAGTTGGCCATTGTGTGAAAGGGAGGCAGCAGGATCTGGGCTTGTGCCCTTGTCACCTTCTGTATGAAGCCAGGAGGATGAAGCTTGATGATATCTCCTGTAGCGATTGAAGGGGAGTTGACAGGTATAAATTGGCCTGAGCAGGAATCTCACTATTTCCAGCAGGAAGCCAATCCAGCATATCAGGGCTAGAGGAAGGCTCCATCTGGAATCAAGGCAGAGGCCAAATTCTTTGTTCAGGGTGTAACTAAGGTAGTCATAGCTTTGGTAAGACATGTCATCTGAGATATAGTAGAACTGTCCTCGGATGCTTAGGGCCTTCTTGGGGTCCTGCAGGGACCACAAGACCAGAATGTGGGCCCAGGCCACATTGCCAACATAGACTGTGTTGATGTGGATAACTTGCTGACACTTGACAGGATCCCATTGTAATGGGGCCTCATTTGTAGTGGCAGAAAGTATAGGGCTTCCTTCCTCATAGATATACATGAGTCTTAAGGCACAAATGTACAAGATACGCTATTTTTCAGTGTTCACCCATTAGCTGCCAGCACGGCCTCCTCAGCAAGCTTTTTGCTCTATGGGTATGGAGCAGGCCATATGTTTTCCAAAGGCTCTTATTCGTGGCCATTCTGGATGATCTCATTGCAGGAGTTGGGCCTGGATACTTCTATGATGCTGGTGTGGATGAAGCCTGGCATACTAGCTTGGACACAGGTTCCCAACAGAAGTTGGGTACCTGCCCACGAAGAGTATGCTGTCAGTGTCAGGAAATATCCCTATGGGGCCGCAACCACGTGCACAGATCCATGTGCCCCACTCCCCACTCCCAAGTGCAGTGGTTGTAACACACTTGGGTTACAACTGAGTGTTGTATTCTTCTGTGGCTCTGACAGAGATTGGGCCATGCTGCAGCCATAGGAAAAACATAAAAATAAAAATAAATGAACATTTGGGCTCTAGAGAGGAAGAATTTCTAGACTTTTGGGTTTTGTGGACGTGTGTGTGTGTGTGTGTGTGTGTGTACGTGTATACTTTAATTTTGGAAAAGAACCTAGGGTTATCACTTTATATTTTGGCAAGTAAGAATATTGGAAAATTATGATTTTCCATTGATACCATTAAAGACAGATTATTTAAAATCTAAAAAATCAGGAAGCTACACTCTGAGAATATGGACAGTCCCAGTCCTTAGGCACAAAAGGGCAGTGGAAGAATTCACATCACGCACACACATTCACAGTTGTATATTAAGGCAATATATGCTCTTAAATATATACATGCAATTGCTGGTATTTTTCTCATTTTGTTGAGGACTAATAAAACTTTTTCTCATTTTATTGAAGACTAATAAAACTTTGACTAGCAAAACCAAATCCCTGAAGTCACTGAGCAAATAGTATGTTTGGGGAGATTCTGGATACCCACACACTTTTCCTGATTGTGTGTTCTCCAGGCAAGCTGCTTCCAATTCTGGTTGTGACTCTGTTTATCCAGTTATGTAAAGCGGGGGTGGTGGTAATAAATAAACCTTCCTTCTACTTAGTATTCCAAACCCTGCACTGGTGTTTCCTGTGGAACCTGGTGGAGGACTGGGGAGGGAGTGTGCCCTCTGCTGGTAACACCTGCATGGGGAGGACCTTGCAGCCTCCCCTGAGCTGTGTGAAAGCAAAGCTCATGGAGGTATCCAGAGCGTCTTCCCTTGAAGCAGGAAGAAAAATCATGGGCAAAAGATCATTTTTATTTGCTTATTTTTGTACTGTTGGCTCCTTTTAAAGTCTCTGTGCAATTTGAGTTTCTGGAGAGACAGTATCATCTTCAAAAATTAGTCTAGTGGCAGAGAAAATATGGAGTTAGTTTACCTTCAAGGGGTAAATGACCAACGTTGTGAAGTATTCTCTAAGCCTGCCAGTGATAATGGTTTTAGGAAACAGATGCCTCTAACACTTCCCCTGTCATTTCACATCCCCTGTTGCTGGGAGCTGTAGAGAATAAGAATTAAAATGAAAAACTAGTTTTCTTAGCATACTCCTTGCACTGTAGGGGTACTTACAGGTTATGGGCAAGTAGAAACTGACAAGGTTTTTTTTTTTTTTTTTTTTTTTTCTTTTAGATGGTGCTGGAGACCCAAAAGCAATTAGTTGCATTAGAAAAGGCATCAGAGTAGACTGAATGTGGAGGGCCAGGCCAGCAGTGGGGTGCTATGGTCCTGAAGAGACTGGGATCTGGGAATCAGAGGGTGAGACTACATGACAAGATTCTTTAAGCCAATGTGTCTGAATTTAAAGTAGGTTGGAAAGCCACAATTTGCAAAAACCACCCAATATTTAAGGGATGAGGATCGAATGAGGCTGCACTTTGGGCACCTGGCAAGAAATGGCTCTGTAATAGTAGACCCGGTGGTGAGCTGAAGAGATTGTATTCTGGATACAGGGAAAATCTTATGGTTAAGAAAATATTGTGGGAAGGCATGTGCTGGATAATTCTGTCCTGACAGACCTCTGTGAACCAGCTTTGCTAGTTCTCTCAAGAGGACTTCTTCTTTGAGGTGGACAGGAGGGCTCTGAATGTTCTCATCAGCCTGCACACAAGGTTCAAAATGATGACTATGGTGACATCTGGAAGGTATGATTTTTGCGCTGGGAGGCAAGCGGTGGCTTGACATCAAGAGTCTGAAGTTGGAGTTTAGTTTATCTTTTATTGGAGCCACAGTAGAAAGAGCATCCACAGCCTTTGGAGTCACACAAGAGTGAATTTAAAGCCTAACTCACCTACTTACTTACTTACCTGGAGAACCTAGGACAAGTTACTTGTCATCTCTTAGCCCTAGTTTTATCATCTAAAAAACTAAAGTTAGCAGTCTTGAACTCCCTAGTTGGTAGTGATCAGCAAAGACACTTGGCCCAGAGTACAGCAGGTGTTCAGTGGAGAAACTTCTCTTTCCATCCTGTCCTTCTTTCTGATTCTCATTTTCCCACATTGCTCCATCTCCTCCCCAGGATACTGTACCTTTCACATTGGCTTTCATGATAGACTGTCTGTGAGTGACACCGAAGACGTCAATGATAGAGGCAGTGTGGATGATGACCAAGATGTCCTGGCAGGCTCTTTTAAGGCATGACTCATTCAGAATGTCTCCTTCCAACACTGTTAGCTTGGTCTTGTTTTGGAGCTTTGCATGAACATGGGTCAGGTCATTGCAATGATTTCTGGATCTGGCTAGGAAGTTTTCTGATAAAGGTGATGTTTCATAAGTGCTCAAGGATGTTAGAGTGGGGGTGTTAGAGTGGAGGGTGTACATTCCATAAAAGGAACAAGTAAACAAAGACAGAGAAATCAGCATGTGTTGTGGTTGATTGGGAAAGAACAAATATTTGTTTGTACCTCACCTCATTCCAGGAAAGTAATCTGAACAGTGAGTTGTCAGGTGTCTTAGAATGTAAGCATTGCTAGAGCCATGGGAATCTCACCAAATTTCTTAAGGGGAGTAGGGTGATTGTGGAGAGTTGGGTATAAGAGGAAAATATTTTAATTTAATTCTATATGTAACCAGGAATAATGATTTTGGGTCTCTAACATCATGTCAAATAAAACCTATTATTTTTGTTTAAAAGAAGTACAAAAACAGACTGGCCATGGTGGCTCACCCCTGTAATTCCAGCCAGCACTTCGGGAGGTTGAGGTGGGTGGATCACTTGAGCCCAGGAAGTTGAAACCAGTCTGGACACCGTGGTGAAACCCTGTCTCTACTAAAAATATAAAAAGTACCCAGGCTATAGTGCCTATAGTCTCAGCTACTTGCGAGGCTGAGGCAGGAGGATGGATGGAGCCCAGGAGGTGAAGGTAGCAGTGAGCCAAGATTATGTCTCTGCACTCCAGCCTGGGTAGCAGAGCAAAACGCTGTTTCAAGAAAAAAAAGAAAGAAAGAAAGAAAAAAAAAACCGTAAAAGGGAAACAGAAGCAGAGTTGTGATGCAGGAAGTTAACCTTGGCTTGAGGATATAAAACGGACTGGTATAGGGGATATGAGAAAGCCAGGTGATCAAGAGATTAATCGGAATGTCTGTGCCAACATTTAGATGAGGACTGGAACCAGGGTCAAACAGTGGAAGCAGAGGAGGGGAGAGATACACCAGGTTTGAATTTCAGACCTTACCTTTAAGGTCCTGGTACCTATTGGAGCTGGGCTGAGAGGAAAAGGAGAAGATAAAATCACCCCTACAGTTTCCTGCTTGGGCAACTGGGAGGAGAGTGGAGCCATGACTCAGGAATTGTACATAAAATGATGAAATGATGAATTATGAATGAATGAATTTCATTGAAATGATGAATTTCGTTGAAAACTCTTATCAAAATAGCATCAAAAGCAGACAGCGATGCTGACAATGAGTTAGCCACTGATGAACTGACATTCCAACTGTCTAGCCAGGGGCAGTGGTTACAACATCAATGTCTTCAGGCTTCTCTGAAATCCACAGGTAGTTATGCTGCCAGTAAAGTTATCACCTGGAATTAACCCACAAAATGAGCACCATGCTACATGGAGCTCGGATAAATACTCTACTCTCATTTGTGCTTTATAATTTGCATACGGCTCACAGCTTGCTTATTTCCTTGTATCTCTATCTCAAGAGGTAGGTATTCTGAGTCCCACTTTATTGGTGAGGAAACTGAGGCTAAGAGGTTAAGGAGAGATCTAAGGCCAGGCTTCTAGTGAAGGCTCAAACCTGCCCATCCCACGTGCCATTTTTGTACCCTGTACCCCAGGTGCAGGACTGGCTGTTTAGAATCAGCTTTTCTGAGAAAGGGTAAGAATAAGCCAGTTTAACTGAAACTGGCAACAAAGGCTAAAGAACAGTGAGAGTAAAATTCAGAGTGAAAAATTCAAGGCTGGAGAAATTCCTTCTTGGGGTACAAGCAGGACCGTTTGCTCTCCTGATGCCTCTGCCATGTTTTGTCTACTGCCAGACCCTTCCCTTTGTCAGGCAACTCTAAGAAGGTCCTGCAGTGGGGGGAGGTAGGAAAGAGGCTGTTGGGGAGGAGGTGGCTAACAGCCTGAGAGTGGAATTTTCTCTGGTTGTTTTTCCACCTCTGCCCTTCCTACTCCCTTCCTCTGCTTCTTCTTTGCTGCCAACTTCAGACAGACTGGCTCAAAGGAATTGCTATGTCAAAGCAGAAGAACTCCAAAGCAGAGAGAAAAGGACTCTTCCCCCAATGAGTTTTCAGGGATCTAGAGGGACCAAGAAAGGGGACTTTTGTTGATGAAGCCATAGCTCCCTCCTTCTCCAAGGCACTGTGGACTTGGCAAGTGTTTTATGTAGACTAAATGCAGTTGCTTTTATGGCATGACTTGAGCTAGAGGGAGGTCTAGAGAAGCTGCTAGACAACTACAGCTTAAGAGCACAGAAGCTGCACTACACTGTCTGGGTTCAAATCCAGCTTTGCCATAATCTAACTGTGGTACCTTGGACAAGTTGATTAACCTCTCTGTCTCGTCATCTATAAGAAATAAGACTAATAATATTACCAATCTCATAGGGTTGTTATGGGAAGTAAATGAGTCAGCACATGCAAAACCTTTAGCACAGTGCCTGGCACAGAAAGAACACTGAAAGGATTCTCTGTTTTTATCTTCATACAGGCCCTGCCCATCCATTATGCCCCCTGCATTTTCACCATAGCGGAACTGTTCCTCTAGGCTGAGCATTGCTTTTTTCCTGATATCAGATGTTAGATTGCAAATATTGCTGAGACACAAGGATTACAAACATTTAATATTGGTCGTGCATTAATATTTGTTTATCAAAGACACCATTAAAACAGAGAGTGGAGGAAATCTGACATTTGAAGAGGTCAGAGAAGAGTGAAAGGAAGACTAGATTGTTGGGTGTGGTCCCGGAGTGCTGTCAATGGGGGGCTTCTCTGTGCACAGGGCAGGACCCTCTGGGCAGCCAGAGCCCACATGTAGACACACAGTCCCCCCAATCATTTGGGTTGGGGAAGATGACAGGGAATTGGTTTGGGACACACATGGAGGCAAAGGAAGAGACTGAAGACCCACCTTGCCAAGCATCAGCTCAAGGGCCAAGTGATGAAGCCTCTGGATGAAGCTCTGGTCTGAGCTCTGCTACACATTAATCAGATGTTCTTGGCAAGTCACTCTGTTTCTGCACCTTGATGGGTTCATAGTTCAGTTGGATGTTACCCCTCTTCTTTTTTTTTTTTTTTTGAGATGGAGTCTTGCTCTGTCATACAGGCTGGAGTGCAGTGGCATGATCTCAGCCCACTGCAACCTCCACTTCCTGGGTTCAAGTGATTCTCCTGCCTCAGCCTCCCGAGTAGCTGGGATTATAGGGGCACGCCACCATGCTGGCTAATTTTTGTATTTTTAGTAGAGATGGGGTTTCACTATGTTGGCCAGGCTGGTCTCAAACGTCTGACCTCGTGATCTGCCCGCCTTGGCTTCCCAAAATGCTGGGATTAGAGGCATGAGCCACCGCACCTGGCCTGTGACCCCTCTTCTAACTCCCTCATGGGTCTATTCATACAAGGAGTTGCTACTTCAAATTCTGCAGTCAACTTATTGTGGTGATAACAGACAAATGGTTAAAAAAAAGTCATATATGTGAAATCTAAATGAGGCATGTCTGGCCTCATACTGCCTCTTACTCTGGCTCTGCTCTGTGCTGTGCACTAGTGCGCACTCTCTCCCTCTCACTGATGCTCTCTCTCTCTCTCTCACTCTGTCTTTCTCATTCTCTCTTTGTGATTCTCTCTCCCCTCATTTCTCTCTGTCACACACAAATGCACACACACACTGACACACTCATCTTTTTTTTTCCATTTCCTTTTATTTTACCTTCACTAAAGATGCTAAGGATGCTACAAAACGAAACAAAGCCCGGGGCAGTCTAGAGAGACAGGGACTCACTGGTGAGGTCTCCAGATAAATAGTGTTTTCTGTGAATGTTGCACAGCAATTGGCAAGACAAAAAGCTTCAGAACATAAATGAGTTGTAGACAAGAAAGAGAATTGATGTGGGATTTTTTAGATGAGAAGAAAAAATGCATGGAGGCTGAGGTGGCTACCTCTCAAGTTCTGTGTCAGGGCCAGAATCCAGTCTCCGGACATCCCATCCAGTATCTTTCCCACTATGCCATTTTATACTATTTAATATTTCTTTTTTGATTACTGTGGATGTGGTATTGGCTTTGATTTGACTACAACTTTCCATAACTTGCTAGACAAGTTCCACCTCCCAACATGCATGGAGGGTTTAAGATGGAGCCAAACACCTATAACTCAAGTTTACTTATGGAAAATTCCTTCCTCAATTCTGGTCTGAAGGCCTTTTCCAAAGCCCTGATCTCCTTCAGCTCCTTCTCCTTCACCAAGAGATGGATGATTCTCTGATCCAGAAACATTCCTGCTCCTGTCACAAGGAAGTTCCAGCCCATCATGGCTAATCCAAAGTAGCAGGAAACCCTCGCCAGGGAGCAGAAGATGCTGGGGAACAGATCTGATTCTAAGGTGACCCAGGAGAGGGCTAAGAAGAGTGGTCAAATGGTTATATACTCACACAGATCCCTTATTTTCCTCCACCCTCTTTTTTTGCAAAAATTCTGTGTCCCCACCACTGCCAGTGGTAGTTGAAAAAAAAAAATGAAAAAGCTCTAGCCATTTGTTAGATCGTTAAAAGGTGGACCGAGTAATCAGGGTGCTGGTCACCTCATCCCCTGTGGCAGGTCTGAAGCTTTATGCACTGTGGCTTCTGGCCCAGCTCGTATCAATTTGTACTCTGGCCACATACTCATTGCTGTCTCCTCCTGCAGGATCCCTTATCTCAGGAGAATAGTGACCTTTAGGTTATATCTAGTTCTTCCCAGGAACAGTAGGAGAAATCCAATCTTAAGGCTGCAGTGTGATAGAGTCTTGGGTTTAGTCTTAACATGATACTGGCCAGTTGATACCAGCTGTCTGGGATCTGCAACCTGTGATCTTAAACTAGAGTGGGAGAAATCTCCCAGTGAAATGTGAATTTTGTCCTTGTGCAATAAATACATCTGGAGGGAAATCTACGTTAGCCCATTATCTCCTCTGTCAGAGTATCATTTGAAATGTTGCTGCTATCTTGCAGAGTTTAGAAATTTGCAAGGGTGACAGCTCCAATCACTAAGTTTTATGGGGGTGACTTTCTTTCGAACTCAATATATCCAAAACTTCAATCGCCATTTTCCCCTGGAGACTTCTGTGTTCCTAGATGAAGAACATCATTGAAGGAAAGCTATCTAGTGATAACCACTTAATGATATGACCTGTACCACAAGAATAGGGATTTTTAGTTGTATGCCACAATTACTTTTATCATAGATGTTTGAACTTATCTTATATTTTTGCCTGCAAAACAATTCTCAGCAAATTCCTGGAGATGCTGTAAGTGCTTTTGAAGCCTATGCCCCAGAACTGCCCACATATCTCCATCGTAAGCTCCCCAAGACACTTTCCTCTATTTTAAAAAATCGAGATGTAATTTATAAATATTACAATGCCCAGATCTCCAGTGTTCAGTGTCAGTGAACCTTGACAGTCATATATGCCCATTTAAGTACCACCCAAAAGAAGATATAGATCATTTCCTTCACTCCAGAAAGATTTTTCTGCCTGTTCTCTGTTATCTCTCTGCCCTTCCCCCAATCCACCTCATAGGTATTGTGCATGGAGTATAGAAAAATTGACCATTGGTTGTCTCTATTGTTTGTTCATTTTTCTATTTCATGATTTTCATTATTTTTTAATTGACTTACATTTATTGACTTTGGGTTTATTTCACTCTTCTTTTTCAGGATTCTTATGATAAAATCATAGATAATTAACTTTACTCCTTTGCTCATTTCCAGTATAGACAATTAAAGTTGTAAATTTCTCTTTAAACACTATGTTAGCTGTATCTAACATTTTAATGCTGGTTTATCATCATTCAGTTAATGATGTTTAAAATATTTTCTTGTGATTTCTTCTTTGACCCAAGTGTTAATCAGAAGCATGCTGCTTGTTTTCTAAAAGTTGGGGATTTTCTAGATATCTTATTGTTATGCCTTTATAATCAAATACTATTGTGGCCAGAGCATATACTCTGTATGATTTTGATCTTTGGATATATATTGAGACTTGTTTTATGGTGCAGCATATGGTCTATGTTGGTGAACATGCCATAAGCACTTAACAAGAATGCTTTCTGCAATTGTTGGAAGTAATACTCCAGAAATGATTTGGTTTGAAACCCCACTCTAGGTCTTGCCCTCCTCCCATGTTGTAGACATTCACCTTCTACTTGGGATCTGACTATCAACGCTTCAAACGCACTTGCCTAGGAAAGATTAGCCCTGTGACCCAGGATGCAGCAGCTTGTTCTCTGAAGCTAAGAGAACTAGCTGCAGGCCCTGGATCTTGCTGAGACGTGTGGAGCACTACCTGAAACCACTCAGGTGCATCATGTGCCTTTACGTGCTATAACAGATGCTGGAGTGCACCTTAACAATCCCCATCGCCTTCAGGAGAGGGTCACTCATTCCCTTAGCAGTTGAGAGTTCTGGAGGCTGGTAGATTTCAGCCAGTGTCTCTTGGAGTCTCTGAGTGAAACTAATAAATGTAAGCACTAAAGAAAGCAAGAAATAAAACAAAGAGCAAGACTGATTAGGGGTCAATAAGGCCACACTGCTAACATTCTTTTGTTTTTAAACAGCTTTACTGAGGTATAATTGACATATCATAACATTCACCTATTTTAAGTGTACAGTTTAATTATTTTTAGTAAAATTTTAGACTTGTTTGACCATCATCACAATCTTGTTTTGGAACATTTCTATAATTCCTAAGAAATCCCTCATGCTCATCAATACCACCCCTTATTCCCACTCCCCAGCTCCAGACAACCCCTAATTGACTTACTGACACTACAGATTTGTCTTTTCTGGATATCATAAAAATAGAGTCATACAACATGTGGTTTTTTGTATCTGTCTTCTTTCACTTAGATTAATGTGCTTTTGTGGTTCACCTGTGTTGTAGCACGTATCAATATTTTATTTTTTTAGGTGCTAAATTCTATTAAATTGTATGGATCACTCCCATTTGTTTATTGTTTCATCAGCTGATAGATATTTGATGTGTTTCTACTTTATGGACTATTATGGATAAAGCTGCTACTAATATTCACATTCATGTGTTGTGTGGACATAGGTTTTTTTCCTTTGGAGTAGACAACAAGGAATGAAAGTGCTAGGTAATATGGTAAATGTATCTTCAACGTTTTAAGAAACTGCCAAACTGCTTTCCAACATGGCTGCATGTCCCATCAACAATGCATGAGTATTTCAATTTTTCCACATCATTGTTATTTCACTTCCTCAATTGTTATTGTCCTTCATTTTTATCATAGCATTCTAGTGGGTAAGAAGTGGTGTGTCATTGTAGTTTTGATTTGCATTTCCCTGCTGACTGATGATACTGACCATCTTTTCATGTGCTTTATTAGCTATTCCTACACCTTTTGGTGCAATGGCTATTCAAATATTTTGCCCAACTTAAAATTGGCTTATTTATCTTTTTGCTATTTAGTTGTCAGTGTATTTTATATTTTGGATACAAATCTTTTATCAAATGTATGACTTGAAATTTTTTTCTCAGTCTCTGGATTATATTTCCATTATCTTATTGATGTCTTTTAAAATGCAAACAGTTTTAGTTTTGATCATGACTCAATATTTCAACTTTTTTCTTCTACCAGGAAACATCGGGATTTTGTCGAACTCAAGTTCATGAGTATGTTAATCTATGTTTTCTCCTAAGAGGTGTATAATTTGGCCTTTAAATTTAGGCCTATAATCCATTTTGAGGAAATTATTGCTTATGTGTTAGTTAACGGCCAAAATCATAGGGTCAATTGATTTTCACAAAAGTAATTCATTGGAGCAAAAGGATAGTCTTTTAAACAAGTAATACTGAGACAACTGAATTGTCCACATGATGCTCGGGGAAGGTCAGCATGCTATGTCAAGTGATGCCCATCTGAGTCACCACCTATTGGTACCAGATTTCGCAAAGAATTTCTCAATATGATAATTATGGGTTAAATAATATGCTGTAGATTTCTGCTTCTCCCGTTCGACAGACAGCCACATTTTCTTGTGCAGCGCCAGTGGCATTCCCAAGGCACCACAGTGAAGGTGAAGCCTGGAGTCAATTGGTTTGGCTATATTGGGTGCCTGGCCTCCAGGGCTGCTTTTAACTCTGTTAAAGTGGATACTGTTGCCATCAATGACCCCATCATTGACCTCGACTACGTGGTCTACATGTTCCAGTATGATTCCATCCATGGCAAATTCCATGACACCGTCAAAGCTGAAAACGGGAAGCTTGTCATGAATACAAATTTAACCACCATTTTCCAAAAGCTAGATCCCACCAAAATCAAATAGGGTGATGCTGGCCTTGAGTACATCATAGAGTCCACCGACATCTTCACCACCATAGAGAAGGCTGGGGCTCGCTTGCAGGAGGGATCCAAAAGGGTCATTATCTCTGCCCCTCTGCTGACGCCCCCATATCTGAGACGCGCATGAACCATGAGAAGTATGACAACAACCTCAAGATCATCAGCAATGTCACCTGCACCACTAACTGCTTAGCACCCCTGGCCAAGTTCATCCATGACAACTTTGGTGTCATGGAAGGACTTATGGCGACAGTCCACACATCGCTGCCACCCAGAAGACTGTGGATAGCCCCTCCAGGAAACTATGCCATGAGAGTCGCGGGGCTCTCCATAATGCCATTCCTGCATCTCCTGGCACTGTCAAGGCTATGGGAAATGTCATCCCTGAGTTGAACAGGAGGCTTACTGGCATGACGTTTCATGTCCTCACTGCCAACATGTTATTTGTGGACCTGACTTGCCTATGTAAATCCTGCCAAAAATGATGACATCAAGAAAGTGTTGAAGCAGCATCGGAGTTCCCCTTCGAGGGCATCTTGGGCTGCACTGAGAACCAGCTTGTCTCCTCTGACTTTAACTGCGACACCCACTCTTCCACCTTTGATCCTGGGACTGGCATTGCCCTCAATGACCACTTTCTCAAGCTCATTTTCTGGTATGACAATGAATTTGGCTATAGCAAAAGGGTGATCGACCTCATTGCCCACAGGGCCTTCAAAGAGTAAGATCCCTGGACCACCAGCCCCAGCGAGAGCATGAGAGGAAAACAGAGGCCCTCAGCTTCTGGGGAGTCCCTGCCACACTCAGTGCCCCACCACAATGAGAATCTCCCCTCCTCACAGTTTCCATGCAGACCCTCTGAAGAGGGAGAGGCCTAGGGAGCCCCACCTTGTTGTGTACCATCAATAAATTCTTCTGCGTTCAGCCAAAAAAAAAAAAATGCTGTATTAGGAAAACTCACAAAGATTACTAATCAGCAAAAGAATAGATTGCATGATTTCCCCATCCTCCTGTCTTACACTGATGCATAAATGGTCAGGAAATTACTGGGCTCACAATATGAGTCTGTGTTTCAGTGTAGGAAGACTAGTTTCCCTTACTATAATTTTTTATCATGTTAGCATGAGGACACAGCTTTATCAATGGAGGAACACACAGGCTTTTGGTGTGAAACAGTCTAGATTTAGGTGCCAGCTGTTCACAACATTATCTGGGAAAATCAACTGCCCAGAACCTAGAGTTTTTGGGGCTCGTGCAAAGGGTTTTCCTTTTCTTAGGAGAGAAAGCCACCCATTCTATAGAGACATATACTAGGTAGAGTCCCTCATGCTGGGAAAAAGAAAATCCCTCTTCTTGGCCAGCTTATTAAACTTCTGGGTTACTTTAGAATAATTATACCCCTTGTGCTATAGTCCTAGAGAGATCAACTTGGACATGAGTAGCGTAAAGTGATTTTTAAAAGCCCAGGACTAGATGAAATAAGCTAGGGTAAGAATATTCAAGGATAAAAGGAAAAGTTTCTAGACTGAATCCTGGAATAGACATATCGACATTTAGAGGTTGAACAGAGGAGGAGGGGCCAGCTAAAGATACTGAGTAGGAGTCGGTGGCCGGCAGGAGGAAAATTAGGAGCGGATGGCGTTGTAAAAGTCAAGTGAAGAAAGTATTTCAAAAAGAATGTGGTCCACTATGTTGGATGCTTCTGATGCATGAAATGTAACAGGAAGAGAATTGATCATTTGTTTTGGCAACATCATAAGTAATTTGGTAATAGCAATTTCCACAAATAGTTGGGTTGAAAGTTCAACTGGAAAGTCCAACACACGTTTCTTCTGTATGTTGAGGAATAGAAGAAAAATGTGAAGAGAGTGACTATTGAAAACAACACTTGTTCAAGAAGTTGTGCCATGAAGATCTCAGAGTAGAAATGTGTTACAGCCAGTGGAGTGAAGAGTTTGTTTTTGTTGTGTTGTCTTAAACTGCACTACTCCTTTATTGATCCTTAGCACCTTGTACACAGTAGATGTTCAAATATTGTTGAGTGTTTGACTAAATAAAGTGTCTATGTCTCATACATCTTTTTATTACCATAAGAATTTGCACATCTGACATAATAGGAACTTAATACATGTTTATTGAATAAAGAAATGGAAGTATGGGTGAACAATCAAGGACTCTAGAATGTCTTAGTGCTTTCAAAACTTAGTGCTTATGGACTAATACATAAAAGGATATAGAAGAGAACAGTGACCACAAAAATGAAAAAAGTGGAAAGTTTCCCATACTAATGAGAGCCTGGGACTTTTGCCCAGGCCAAAGATGTTTGCCAAGGAGGAGCAATTTTCTTCCCATTCAGAGAATGGATATGAATAGGTTCTCAGGTATTTGAAGTGTACTTGAAGAGCCAGTTGTCAGAAGTAAGAAAGAATGGGCAATTCTCCCCACCATACAGGGAGAACTGGGACCAGAGCTTTTGGTTTATATGAGCTCAACTTTGCTGTCTTTCCCAGAAGGCCTTCAAAGTGAGGAAGGAGTAGGCTTTAGAAAAATCTGATTTCCTTCTTCTACTTATTACTCTGTCTGCCAGTTATCTTGGGTGGGGTGAGGTCACATAGATGGCATTCAACCAGGTGCTCTAGATGCTGACAGTGATGGTATAGTAGCCAGCCTCTAAGGTGAATCCAGTGATCTCTACCTCCTGGTATTCATTCCCTTGTACGTGGGCTAAAACTAGTGAATTGTTTTAACCGGTATAATAGGACAAAAGTGATGAAATATTACATCCATGATTAGATTAGAAAGTATTGTGACTTCCATCTTGCTTTTACACTTCTGCTTTCTCATTGGCTTTGATGAAGCAAGCTGCCATGCTGGAGAGGACAATATAGCAAGGGACTGAAGGCATCCAACAGTCAAGGGGGAACTGAGGTTTTCAGTTTAGTAACCTGCAAGGAACTGAATCTCCCAAGAACTCTGCAAGGGAGCTTGAAATTAGATCTTTCCCCAGTTGAGTTTTCAGAGGAAATCAAACTTTATGCTGATGCAAGAGCTCTTGAAATTCCAATGTTTAAGGAAAAAAAAGGTAGATTGTCATACTTCCAGTGAGGTGCCTTTTTCTGTGGGGATTTCTTTTGCATTACAAAGAACATGAACCCTTCATTGAACCCAGTATGAAAGCCACAAGTAGTTTAGCAAATATTAAAATATCTCAAGTTACTAAGTGTTGGTGAAGATGTGGGGAAACAGGCGTGTTATTTTTGGAAGTGTAAGTTGATGAAAATTTCTAGTGAGTATCTGACAAAATATTTTAAACTTTCACACACTTGACCCAGCAAGTCCACTCTAGAACTTTATTTTAAAGATGAATCAGTTAAGATCAGACCAATAGGTCATACGGGACATCTCCTTGCACATAGAAAGCTCTACATATGAGCTCTAATAATATATTAATTGAGCCCTTTACTATATATCAGGTGCTTTGCATGTATTATCTCATTTAAGTTTTAAAGTGGGCTTTATTTTCTATAATAGTTTTAACTTCACAACAAGATTAAGGGAAACAGCAGATAGTTCTCGTATACTCCCACATCCAAACATACATAACCTCCCCCACTATCAACACCCTCCACCAGGATGGTACATTTATTAAAATGAATTGACCTGCATTGACACATCTTTATCACTCAAAGTCCAAAGTTTACTCTTGGTATTCTACATTCTCTGAGTTTTGACAAATGTATAATGACATATCACCACCATTTTAGTATCATCTGCCCTAAAATCTTTGTCCTCTACCTATTCATTCCTTTGTGCACCCTGACCCTGACAGCCATTGATGTTTTTACTGTCTCCAAGGTTTTGCCTTTTCTAGAATGTCATATAGTTGGAATCACAGTGCATGTACCCCGTTCATTTTGGCTTCTTCCATTTATATACATTTAAGTTTCCTCCATGTCTTTTTATGGCTTGATTGCTTTTTTCTTCTTTATCACTGAATAATATATCATTGTCTGGATGTACCACAGTTTGTTTATGCATTCAATTTTCGAAAGACAATTTGACTTCTTCCAAGTTTTGATAATCATGAATAAAACCCCTATAAAGATCTAACCAGCCAGGCACAATGACTCATGCCTGTAATCCCAGCACTTTGGGAGGCCGAGGTGGGCATATCACCTGAGGTTGGGAGTTCAAAACCAGCCTGACCAACATGAAGAAACCCCGTCTCTAATAAAAACACAACATTAGCCAGGCATGGTGGTGAATGCCTGTAATCCCAGCTACTCGGGAGGCTGAGGCAGGAGAATCACTTGAACCCTGGAGGCAAAGGTTTCAGTGAGCCAAGATCATGCCATTGCATTCCAGCCTGTGCAACAAGAGCGAAACTCTGTCCAAAAAAAAAAAAAAAAAAAAAAGAAAGAAAAAAAAAAAAGAAGATCTAACTTCAAAGTAAGTTTTAAGAAATAAGTTTCCAATTTATTTGTGTAAATTAAATAAAGCATGATTGCTGGATCATATGGTAAGAATATGTTTAGTTTTAAAAAAAACTGCCAAACTGCCTTACAAAGTGTCTGTACCATTTTGCATCCCCACCAGCAATGGATGAGCATTCTTGATGCTCCACATTCTTGCTAGCATTTGATGTTGTCAGTGTTGTGGATTTTCACCATTCTAATGGATGTGCAGTGGTATCTTATTTTCATTTTAGTTTGCAATTCTCTAATGACATATGATGTTGAATATCTTTTTACATGGTTTTTTGCATTCTATACATCTTCTTTGGCAAGGTGTCTGTTCAGGTCTTTTGCCTATGTTTGTATCAGATTGCATTACAAATGTAAGAATTTCTAGGAGTTAAGAGATTCCTTCTGAGATTTTATATGCACCTCTTCAGTTTACTGTGGACATTCATTTTTCCCTGTTTCTGAGCAGTGGAGAAAAGTATTTTGGCATTATCTTAATATTCTTGCCATTTCCCTTGGAATTTTGGATCTTGTCCTCTGAGTACAGACACATCTTAAAAAATTACACACATGTGTGTCCAGGAGCACAGTTATCACCAGGTGGATGTATTCAAAGAGAGCTTCTACTACATTCTCTTATAAAGTAAGCTAACATCATTGTCTGCATTGTCTGTATACCAGATTGCTTTAATACTATATGCTCATGTGATTTGTTTCACTCTTACCACAAACCAATCTCTGTTGAATCCCACAAGTCCTCAGCTGGTGATTTCAGGGTTGAAGAGATGACCTTAAGCAGTCCGTTATGCCTGCTTTGAAGTCCCTGTAATAAAAAGAAACTTTGGTAAATTTTGCAACATGATTACTAGCCAGCATGAAAGCATGAAAAAAAAATGATTTATGAGACTGTGATTGGGTGTTTGGAGAGGTGGATGTCATCCTGCTTATGTTTTCTCTGATTTCAAGTCTTATCTTCAAGGCTTTACTTATTTATTTATTTAACCACAAAGAACAATTTAGTACTGAGATGTTCTTATCTTTTTCTGATGTGAGGAGAATCATGAGACCATGGCTATGAATTGAACACAAATAAAAAGAGAGTGAGAAAAGTTGTATGTGAGAAAGAGTTCTATGATCTAGATGTGAACTTCCAAAGAGTAAATATCTAGAAAGGGCACCAAGTCCCACTGTCTGCGAGGCAGATTCCTGATGGGGACAAGGGTATGAGGGTTGGGGAACAGGCCAGAGGACAGCAAAGTCTGCCTAGGTTTGATCATATGCTGTAGGACATGGCTGGTGGGAGAGCTCTCTAATGAGTCTGCCCAATGTCTGAGGTCATGTTCTTGGAGACTCCTGAGTAAGAGGAGATTTCCTAGACTTAAGTCTCTGCCATTTATTTAGCTCTGTAGTACTTTATTGAGAAAGCCTCCATCTATCTACTAAAGCTATCCAATATGACCAAAATAAAGATATATCCTTTCTTATTTACTCTTGAAGAACTGAAGTAGTCAATTTTAATTTGTTTCTATGGTTCCTGAATCCCTGATCTGAAAACTCTCTGCTACTTTTCTTGAAGGTCATTGCATTGCACAGAATAAATATTAGTCAATGGGCCATAAAATCCCGTAACATTCTAGGTCTTGACAATGAATATTTTACTCTTTCCTTCACTCCTGTGTTTTTTCTTGTCTCTGGCCTTGGCTCTGTGACTTGAAGTAAAAAATATTCCCAAAGTCCCTTGCAGCAGTGCATGAGTTAGGCTATACCAAGATTACCCTTGTCCCGTATTCCTTCTTGATCTTGTGAAATTGTATGGTCTTAATATATCTCTTCCAGATCCATAGGTTGAATTTTAATTGCCAATGTGATAGGATTTAAACTGGTTCCTTTAGGAAATGATTAATATATGATGACAGGGTCCTCATGAATGGGACTGTGACCTTATAAGAGGGCTTGAAAGAACTAGGTGGCTCCTTCCATTCTCCCACCATGTGAAGACACAGTGTCCATCTCTTGCAGAGAATGCAGCAACAAGATGCTGTCTTGGAAGGAGATGCTGGGCTCTCACCACACATGGAACATAACAGGACCTTCATTACTGACTTCCCAGCCTCTAGAACATGAGAAATAAGTTCCAATTGTTTGTAAGTTATCCGACCTCATACATTTTGTTATACTAGCACAAACAGACTAAATCATGAAGCTTCCATTTTTTTCCAAGTCACATGTTGCCACACAAATCAGGGTAATGGAGGTCATCTTCAAGGATCATGGTCATCTAGGCATCCTGTCCCACAATGGCACTGTTACTGCTGCAACAGCCAGACAGTCACCCATAGACATGTTCTTTCTTAGTATGTCCCTGAACTTTCAGCACAAGCACTCCATCTTTGCTGCCAGATTAAAGACCCTCCACTCTGTGTCCTGAAATTATCAGTCCACCAAAGCAGCAGCCAATTTGAGACCTGAATAAAAAGTGAAGGACTAACAGTGGAATCATGGTCAATTTCCCTTTTCTTTTTATCAACCCATTTACAATGACATCTAATTTAGACTTCTGAGCTTCTTTTAAATGACCACAATTCTCCAAAGTACCTACTATTTTTCCAAGTATTCTAATGACACCTGCTTTTTTTTCCCTTTCCTCTGATTTTCCTCTGCTGCACTGTTTAATAGATAGAGAGTATGGGAATCTGGCAACATGGCTGAATAAGAACAGCTCCAATCTGCAGCTCCCAGTGAGACCAACGCAGAAGGCGGGTGATTTCTGCATTTCCAACTGAGGTACCCGGTTCATCTCATTGGGACTGGTTAGACAGTGGACGCAGCCCATGAGTGAGCAGAAGCAGGGTGGGGTGTCGCCTCACCCAGGAAGCACAAGGGGTCTGGAAACTACCTTCCCTAGCCAAGGGAAGCCATGAGGGACTGTGATATCTGGCCAAGATACCATGCTTTTCCCCCAGATTTTGCAACCTGCAGACCAGGATATTCCCTTTGGTGCCTACACCACCAGGGCCCTGGGTTTCATGCACAAAACTGGGTGGCCATTTGGGCAGACATTGAGCTAGCTGCAGGAGTTATTTTTTGTACCCCAGTGGTGCCTGGAACACCAGCAAGACAGAACCATTTCACTCCTTTGAAAGGGGCTGAAGCCAGGGAGCCAAGTGGTCTTGCTCAGTGTGCCCCACCAGCATGGAGCCCAGCAAGCTAAGATCTACTAGCTTGAAATTTCCACTGCCAGCACAGCATTCTGAAGTCAACCAGGGGAGCTTGAGCTTGGTGGGGAGAGGGGCATCTGCCATTACTGAACCTTGTGTAGGCAGTTTTCCTCTGACAGTGTAAACAAAGCCACTGGGAAGTTTGGACTGGGTGGAACTCACCACAGCACAGCAAAGCTACTATAGCCAGACTGCTTCTCTAGATTCCTCCACTCTTGGCAAGGCATCTCTGAAAGAAAGGCAGCAACCCCAGTCAGAAGGTCATAAATAAAAGTCCCATCTCCCGGAGACAGAGCACTGGGGGATGGGGTGGTTGTGGGCACAGCTTCAGCAGAATTAAACGTTTCTGCCTGCCAGCTCTGAAGAGAGCAGTGGATCTCCCAGAACAGTGCTCGAGCTTTGCTAAGGGACAGACTGCCTCCTCAAGTGGGTCCCTGACCCCCATGCCTCCTGACTGGGAGACATGTCCCAGCATGGGTCAACAGGCAGCTCATACAGGAGAGCTCTGACTGGCATCTGGCAGGTGCCCCTCTGGGATGAAGCTTCCAGAGGAAGGAGAAGGCAGCAATCTTTGCTGTTCTGCAGCCTCCACTGCTGATACCCAGGCAAACAGGGTTTGCAGTAGACCTCCAGCAAACTCCAGCAGACCTGCAGAAGAGAGGCCTGACTGTTAGAAGAAAAACTAACAAACAGAAAGCAATAACATCAACATCATCAAAAAGGACACCCACACAAAAACCCCATCTGAAGGTCATCAGCATCAAAGATCAAAGGTAGATAAATCCACGAAGATGAGGAAAAACCAGTGCAAAAATGCTGAAAGTTCCCAAAACCAGAATGCCTCTTCTCCTCCAAAGGATCACAACTCCTCACCAGCAAGGGAACAAAACTCAACAGAAAAATGAGTTTGACGAGTTGACAGAAGTAGGATTCAGAAGGTGGGTAATAACAAACTCCTCTGAACTAAAGGAGCATGTTCTTTTTTTTATTATTATTATACTTTAAGTTCTAGGGTACATGTGCACAACCTGCAGGTTTGTTACATATGTACACATGTGCCATGATCGTGTGCTGCACCCATTAACTTGTCATTTACATTAGGTATATCTCCTAATGCTATGCCTCCCCCCTCCCCCACCAAACGACAGGCCCCAGTATGTGGTGTTCCCCACCCTGTGTCCAAGTATTCTCATTGTTCAATTCCCACCTATGAGTGAGAACATGTGGTGTTTGGCTTTCTGTCCTTGTGATAGTTTGCTCAGAATGATGGTTTCCAGCTTCATCCATGTCCCTACAAAGGACAAGAACTCATCCATTTTTATGGCTATATAGTATTCCATGGTGTATATGTGCCACATTTTCTTAATCCAGTCTATCATTGATGGACATTTGGGTTGGTTCCAAGTCTTTGCTATTGTGAATAGTGTCTCAATAAACATACGTGTGCATGTGTCTTTATAGCAGCATGATTTACAATCCTTTGGGTATATACCCAGTAATGGGATGGCTGGGTCAAGTGGTATTTCTAGTTCTAGATCCTTGAGGAATAGCCACACTGTCTTCCACAATGGTTGAACTAGTTTACAGTCCCACCAACATTGTAAAAGTGTTCCTATTTCTCCACATCCTCTCCAGCACCTGTTTTTTCCTGACTTTTTAATGATGGCCATTCTGACTGGTGAGAGATGGTATCTCATTGTGGTTTTGATTTGCATTTCTCTGATGGCCAGTGATGATGAACATTTTTTCATGTGTCTGTTGGCTGCATAAATGTCTTCTTTTGAGAAGTGTCTGTTCACATCCTTTGCCCACTTTTTGATGGAATTGTTTGATTCTTTCTTCTAAATTTATTTAGGTTCTTTGTGGATTCTGGATATTAGCCCTTTGTCAGATGAGTAGGTTGCGAAAATTTTCTCCCATTCTGTAGGTTGCCTGTTCACTCTGATGGTAGTTTCTTTTACTGTGCACAAGCTCTTTAGTTTAATTAGATCCCATTTGTCAATTTTGGCTTTTGTAGCCATTGCTTTTGGTGTTTTAGACATGAAGTCCTTGCCCATGCCTATGTCCTGAATGGTACTGCCTAGGTTTTCTCCTAGGGTTTTTATGGTTTTAGGTCTGACATTTAAGTCTTTAATCCATCATGAATTAATTTTTGTATAAGGTGTAAGGAAGGGATCCAGTTTCAGCTTTCTACATATAGGTAGCCAGTTTTCCCAGCATCATTTATTAAATAGGGAATCCTTTCCCCATTTCTTGTTTTTGTCAGGTTTGTCAAAGATCAGATGGTTGTAGATGTGTGGTATTATTTCTGAGGGCTCTGTTCTGTTCCATTGGTCTATATCTCTGTTTTGGTACCAGTATCATGCTGTCTTGGTTACTGTAGCCTTGTAGTGTAGTTTGAAGTCAGGTAGGGTGATGCCTCCAGCTTTGTTATTTTGGCTTAGGATTGACTTGGCATGCAGGCTCTTTTTTGGTTCCATATGAACTTTAAAGTAATTTTTTCCAATTCTGTGAAGAGAGTCATTTGTAGCTTGATGGGGATGGCATTGAATCTATAAATTACCTTGGGCAGTATGGCCATTTTCACGACATTGATTCTTCCTACACATGAGCATGGAATGTTATTCCATTTGTTTGTATCCTCTTTTATTTCATTGAGCAGTGGTTTGTAGTTCTCCTTGAGGAGGTCCTTCACATCCCTTGTAAGTTGGATTCCTAGGTATTTTATTCTCTTTGAAGCAATTGTGAATGGGAGTTCACTCATGATTTGGCTCTCTGTTTGTCTGTTATTGGTGTATAGGAATGCTTGTGATTTTTGCACATTGATTTGGTATCCTGAGACTTTGCTGAAGTTGCTTATCAGCTTAAGGAGATTTTGGGCTGAGACGATGAGGTTTTCTAAATATACAATCATGTCGTCTGCAAACAGGGACAATTTGACTTCCTTTTTTTCTATTTGAATACCCTTTATTTCCTTCTCCTGTTTAATTGCCCTGGCCAGCACTTCCAACACTATGTTGAATAGGAGTGGTGAGAGAGGGCATCCCTGTCTTGTGCCAGTTTTCAAAGGGAATGCTTCCAGTTTTTGCCCATTCAGTATGATATTGGCTGTGGGTTTGTCATAGATATCTCCTATTATTTTGAGATACATCCCATCAATACCTAGTTTATTGAGAGTTTTTAGCATGAAGGGCTGTTGAATTTTGTCAAAGGCCTTTTATGCATATAATGAGATATTCATGTGGTTTTTGTCTTTGGTTCTGTTTATATGCTGGATTATGTTCATTGATTTGCGTATTTTGAACCTGCCTTGCATCCCATGGATGAAGCCCACTTGATCATGGTGGATAAGTTCTTGATGTGCTGCTGGATTCGGTTTGCCAGTATTTTATTGAGGATTTTTGCGTTGATGTTTATCAAGGTTATTGGTGTGAAATTCTCTTTTTTGGTTGTGTCTCTGCCAGGCTTTGGTGTCAGGATGATGCTGGCCTTATGAAACGAGTTAGGGAGGATTCCCTCTTTTTCTATTGATTGGAATAGTTTCAGAAGGAATGGTACCAGCTCCTCTTTGCACCTCTGGTAGAATTCAGCTGTGAATGCATCTGGTCCTGGACTTTTTTTGGTTGGTAGGCTCTTAATTATTGCCTCAATTTCAGAGCCTCTTATTGGTCTATTCAGAGATTCAACTTCTTCCTGGTTTAGTTTTGGGAGGGTGTATGTGTCGAGGAATTTATCCATTTCTTCTAGATTTTCTAGTTTATTTGTGTAGAGGTGTTTATAGTATTCTCTGATGGTAGTTTGTATTTCTGTGGGATTGGTGGTGGTATCCCCTTTATCATTTTTTATTGCGTCTATTTGATTCTTCTCTCTTTTCTTCTTTATTAGTCTTGCTAGCAGTCTATCAATTTTGTTGATCTTTTCAAAAAACCAGCTCCTGGATTCATTGATTTTTTGAAGGGATTTTTGTGTCTCTATCTCTTTCAGTTCTGCTCTGATCTTAGTTATTTCTTGTCTTCTGCTAGCTTTTGAATGTGTTTGCTCTTGCTTCTCTAGTTCTTTTAATTGTGATGTTAGGGTGTCAATTTCGGATCTTTCCTGCTTTCTCTTGTGGGCATTTAGTGCTATAAATTTCCCTCTACACGCTGCTTTGAATGTGTCCCAGAGATTCTGGTATGTTGTGTCTTTGTTCTCGTTGGCTTCAAAAAACATCTTTATTTCTGCCTTCATTTTGTTATGTACCTAGTAGTCCTTCAGGAGCAAGTTGTTCAGTTTCCATGTAGTTGAGCGGTTTTGAGTGAGTTTCTTAATCCTGAGTTCTAGTTTGATTGCACTGTGGTCTGAGAGACAGTTTGTTATAATTTCTGTTGTTTCACATTTGCTGAGGAGTGCTTTACTTCCAAGTATGTGGTCAATTTTGGAATAGGTGTGGTGCGGTGCTGAAAAAAATGTGTAGTCTGTTGATTTGGGGTGGAGAGTTCTGTAGATGTCTATTAGGTCCACTTGATGCAGAGCTGAGTTCAATTCCTGAGTATCCTTGTTAACTTTCTGTCTCATGGACATGTCTAATGTTGACAGTGTGGTGTTAAAGTCTCCCATTATTATCGTATGGGAGTCTAAGTTTCTTTGTAGGTCTCTAAGGACTTGTTTTATGAATCTGGGTGCTCCTGTGTTGCATGCATATTTATTTAGGATAGTTAGCTCTTCTTGTCTAATTGATCCCTTTACCATTATGTAATGGCCTTCTTCGTCTCTTCTGATCTTTGTTGGTTTAAAGTCTGTTTTATCAGAGACTAGGATTGCAACCCCTGGTTTTTTTTGTTTTCCATTTGTTTGGTAGATCTTCCTCCATCCCTTTATTTTGAGTCTATGTGTGTCTCTGCACATGAGATGGGTTTCTTGAATACAGCACATGGATGGGTCATGACTCTTTATCCAATAAACTAGAAAATCTAGAAGAAATGGATAAATTCCTCGACACATACACCCTCCCAAGACTAAACCAGGAAAAAGTCCAATTCCTGAATAGGCCTATAACAAGTTCCGAAACTGAGGCGGTAATTAATAGCCTACCAACAAAAAAGCCCAGGACCAGATGGATTCACAGCTGAATTCTACTGGAGGTACAAAGAGGAGCTGGTACCATTCCTTCTAAAACTATTCCAAACAACAGAAAAAGAGGAACTTCTCCGTAACTAGTTTTCTGAGGCCAGCATCATCCTGATATGAAAACCTGGCAGAGATACAACAACAAAAAAGAAAATTTCAGGCCAAAATCCCTGATGAACATTGATGCGAAAATCATCAATAAAATACTGGCAAACCGAATCCAGCGGCAAATTCAAAAGGTTATGCACCATGATCAAGTTGGCTTTATCCCTGGGATGCAAGGGTGATTCATCATACACGAATCAGTAAATGTAATCCATCACATAAACAGAACCAATGACAAAAAACACATGATTAGCTCAATAGACGCAGAAAAGGCCTTAGACAAAATTCAACACCCCTTCACGCTAAAAACACTTAATAAACTAGGTATTGATGGAACATATCTGAAAATAATAGGAGATATTTATGACAAACCCACAGCCAATATCATACTGAATGGACAAAAGCTGGAAGTATTCCCTTTGAAAACTGGCACAAAACTAGGATGCCCTCTGTTAACACTCTTATTCAACACAGTATTGGAAGTTCTGGCCAGGGTAAGCAGGCAAGAGAAAGGAATAAAGGGCATTCAAATAGGAAGAGAGGAAGTCAAATTGTCTCTGTTTGTAGATGACATAATTATATATTTAGAAAACCCCATCATCTCAGTACAAAAACTCCTTAAGCTGATAAGCAACTTCAGCAAAGTGTCAGGATACAAAATCAATGTGCAAAAATCACAAGCATTCCTATACACCAATAACAGACAAACAGAGAGCCAAATCATGAGTGAACTCCCATTCACAATTGCTACAAAGAGAATAAAATACCTAGGGATCCAACTTACAACAGATGTGAAGGACCTGTTCAATGAGAGCTACAAACCACTGCTCACAGAAATAAGAGAGGGCACAAACAAAAGGAAAAACAGTCCATGCTCATGGATAGAAAGAATCAATATCGTGAAAATAGTGATACTACCCAAAGTAATTTATAGATTCAATGCTATTCCCATCAGGCTACCATTGATTTTCTTCACAGAATTATAAAAAACTGCTTTAAATTTTATATGGAACCAAAAGAGAGCCTGTATAGCCAAGACAATCCTAAGCAAAAAGAACAAAGCTGGAGGCATCGCACTCTCAAAAGAAGACATTTGTGTGGCCAATAAACATATGAAAAAAAGCTCATCATCACTGACCATTAGAGAAATGCAAATCAAAACCACAATGAGAGACCATCTCACTCCAGTTAGAATGGTGATCATTAACAAGTCAGGAAACAACAGATGCTGGAGAGGTTGTGGAGAAACAGGAACACTTTTACATTGTTGGTATGAGTGTACATGAGTTCAATCATTGTGGAAGACAATGTGGTGATTTCCCAAGGATCTAGAACCAGAAATACCATTTGATGCAGCAATCCCATTACTGGGTATATACCTGAAAGATTATAAAGACCCATGCATATGTATGTTTATTGCGGCACTATTTATAATAGCAAAGACTTGGAACCAACCCAAATGCCCATCAATGATAGACTGGATAAAGAAAATGTGGCATATATATACCATGGAATACTATGCAGCCATAAAAAACAATGAGTTCATGTCCTTTGAAGGGACACGGATGAAGCTGAAAACCATCATTCTCAGCAAACTAACACAGGAACAGAAAACCAAACACAGCATGTTGTCACTCATAAGTGGGAAGTGCACAATGAGAACACATGGACACAGGGAGGAGAGCATCACACACCAGGGCCTATCGGGGGGTGGGGGGCAAGGGGAGGGATAGCATTAGGAGAAATACCTAATGTAGATGACGGGTTGATGGGTGCAGTAAACCACCATGGCACGTGTATACCTATGTAACAAACCTGCACATTCTGTACATGTATCCCATAACTTAAAGTATAATAAAAAAAAAATAACATAAAAAATAGAGAGTGTGATTTTTGTTGGGGAATATTTTATAAGTATTGCTCTTCTGTCCAGAGTGCAACATTCCATAGTTATCTCCTAGCGATATAAAGGATGTGAAAAAAACTATAATCCACTGGCTGTTTCAGTCATTACTGAGCTGCTCTTTTAAGATCTTTTGTTCTGAGAAGAATCAAAGGAGCTGCTTTGAGTCAGACACTATGGAAAACAATTTTTTTAAGTCACTGCTGATTTGAAAGTTTGTTGTTCACTTTCCTGAATTCTGTGTTCTGAATTGCAGTTATATGAAAGCAGAGCTGTACAATGGTAGTTTATTTTTCCTTTATAATATGTGGATGGTATACGTCCTATACATATATTTGGTTTAAACAAATAGCCTTAAAAGTTATTACCAGAGTGACTGCCTGTGGGACGGCTTTCTCTTTTGGTGTTTTCTATGCAAATGTTTCCTTGACCCAGCTCTTGGCTCTGGGGGTTAATCTGGGCAAAAGTGGACCTGCACAATGGCATGGGTTCATGCAGGAAAGTGTCCAGTCAAGGAATGATAGAAGACTTTTCAGGTCTGTTGGCTTAGGTAGTGACCCATTCTGCTGGGTTCCATCCTAACTCACTGTTTTCCTCCTCTGACTGCTATAATTCTCCAGATGTGCTGATGTAGTCTGGTCCAGCTTTGCCTCCATGGATTAATTTATTTAATAAATATTTATGGGACTCTCTATGACATTGGGCATGATTCTAGATTCTTGGGAATGTAGCAGGGAGCAAGACGGTTTAAGGTCCCTATGCAGGTACAGATAAACAACAAAATAGACAACTGATAAGTTAGTTGCAGGTTGTGGTAACAGCTAGGAGGGGAGAAACAGGGTGATGTGATGAGTGAAGCAGAGCGTATTCAGGAGAGGATGGTCAGGGATGTCTCACCTCATCCTTAACAGTTCAGCTGAGATCTACATGTCAACAGAGAGCCAATCATGAGATATGAGGAATACCATTTTATGTTAAGGGAATGATAAATGTGAAGATCCAAAGGCAAGAAAGATTTGCTTGTTTATGGAATATAAGGGAGGTCAATCTGGCTCAGGCATCATGAGTGAAAGGGAGAGTGATGAGGAAATGCGTTGGAAGGATGAGCAGATCATGCAGTGCCCAGGAGAGCTGGAGATCAGTTTAGAGCGTATAGTAAATGGATCGGGAAGCCACAGAAAGGTTTTAAATAGGTGGGGCATAGGATTTGAATTTACTTAAAAACATGTCTCAGGCTGTTGTATGGAGAACAGAGTGTGGCAAGTAGCAAAAGATCATGGGGATTCCAGTGCTGACATTATTCATTTAGACATTCTTTTTTTTCTCTAACCTTTTTTCCTTTTTTATTGTTTTCTTATTTTCTGACAGCGTCTTGCTCTGTCACTCAGAGTACTGGAGTGCAGTGGCATGATCCTCAACTTCCCAGGCCAAGTGATTCTACTACCTTAGCCTTGGGAGTGGCTGGGACCACAGGTGCACACCACCAAGCCCTGATTGGCTTTTGATACATTTTTAATTTTGTAAAGATGGAGTCTCCCTATGTTGCCCAGGGTGATCTTGAAATTCTAGGCTCAAGTGATCCTTCTGCCTTGGCCTCCCAGAATTCTGGGATTATAGACATGAGCCTTAGTGCCCAGCTATCTCTAGCTTTGCTGTTAATGCTTATTCCCCTGTCTCCCTGTCACAACCTCAAGTGCCATGCAGATTGCAGTTTTCTGCTGCCAGACTGCAGTGTCAAGGTCATCTCTGCTAACCCAAAGCACATTCCAATGGATTTCAATTGCCAGCTGTTCCCCTGAGATCCAGGCCATCTCTGCTAACCCAAAGCACATTCCAATAGATTTCAATTGCCAGCTGTTCCCCTGAGATCCAGGCCATCTCTGCTAACCCAAAGCACATTCCAATGGATTTCAATTGCCAGCTGTTCCCCTGAGATCCAGGCCACTGTTCTCAGTGCTCTCTATATCCAGCTGGTGCCCTGCCTCATTCCAGCAGCCAGGAATGCTCAGCTTTGGAAGCCAATGAGGTGGGCAGCAAGTTGTTCTGTATCCCATGTTTCCCTCTGTTTAAGAAATTTGAAAAAGGTATAAGTGTACATGCTGTGTTCAAGCTGGCATTCCCATACATATATTTGAAGAATGTTCAACACTAGTAAAAGGACTGACAGAGTTCAGTTCCTGGAGACCAGGGATTCATTGAAAGTAGTTCAATGCATTCTTTTTATTCACTGAAGACACTCCACTGAGATGCTTTTCTGGACCTACTATAGCTGAAGTAGGGAGTGGTTCTGCCTGGGTGTTCTGATACCATCTGTGTATGGCTGGCCTTCCCCGGGCCCCAAGGCTGTGTCTCATTGAGAGCAGAGCCCCTGGGAAGTTCACCCCTCAGCTGAGTGGGCAAGTGCCGGGTATAGTGCTCAACGCTAGGGAGACATATATGAGAGAGGTACAGATGCTTACACATTCCAACACCATTTAAGGGTGAAGGTGAAGGTTGGTTTTGTTCCCTGTCTGCCCAATCTGCTTGTGGTGAATTATTTTGCCAACTATAAGTATGACTTTAGGAATTTTGGGCCAGGGGCTGCAGGGGGTGGGAGGTAGACAGAGGGAATGTCTTCATATGAAGGCTTCGCATGTTATGCTAGGGCAAGATGGCACATTCAGCAAAAGCTCAGGCTGTACTGGCTAGCGCTTTCATTCATTCTTGTGCCAGGTACCTTGCAGAGCCACCCAGCTGGAGAAAAGGAACCCAAAATTCCCTACCAGGTCAGGCTTCCTTGTTCTTCCCTCGGAGCCTTTTCAGCCCCCCATGTGGTGCATCAGGTGAGGTGCAGCAGGGCTTGGTGCAGGAGCTCTGCCCGCCTGGCACCTGCAGGTGTAATAAGGGATGGCACATTTTGTTAGCCACAAGACTCTGAGGCCTTCGTGCTTGTTCAGTTGAGACCATTGGCCAATCCAGTCTTCTATTCTCTTACTTCAAACACCCCTCACTGCCTGTTGGAGATAAATCCTTTTTCTTCCCTTGCCTGTGAAAATTGCCCTGGTGGATTCATAGGTGTGGGGTTTCACTAGGCAGAAAAACAAGGAGGAAGGGCCCTTTTCCAAGATTCCACCACCCTCCTTTCCTTTCACTGCTATTTTGCATTAACATATACATGGTGTGCATGCCTTTCAAGAGCTGAACAGATGCTGGTTCTTGCATTTTGTGCAGTGCCAGGGAAGGATGGGTGTTCCATTTTCCATGTTACCCTACTGCCTGGGGCCACTCCATGCTGATGCTGGTGCTGATCATCTGTCTCTTGGGGTGTTGATGGTGGTGGAAACCTGTTCTTCTGGACCAGAATGTGCTTACCTTTTCCCTTCAGAATGAATACTGAAACTACCTCTTTGCAGTAATCAAATTCAACTGATTAATAATCTGTAAATTCCCCATGTAAGAAGCAAGCCATCTTGAAGTTGGGTGTGACTCCTATCATGGCTGTGATACACCCAGGTCCAGAGGGAGATAATTTTCCCCTCCCCACACTCTGGACCCACAGCAACTTCCTCACCCACTTCAGTTCAACTCTGTCACTGATGCCCCTGAGAGTATTTTTTATTTGACTGTTGCTCCTTTGGTTGGTTAATGACTATGTCATCATCGAAGTCCCCAAGCTTGTCTTGATTAGCCTCCTTTCCTCAGGGAAATTGAGAAGAATGAGAGAGCCAGTGATTTAAGGGGATTTGGAGGGAAGGAAAGAGGCTAAGGAGATGAAAGAATAAAGGAGGAAAAGATATGATCTCAAGAAGAGAAGGAGAATGAAGAGAGAGGCAGTTAAATCTGGGGATGTGGGACAGTAGACTTACTTCTTGGGCTGAATAGAAGGCACATTTTGGGGGAAGTTTAAACTTGTTCCCTTTACTTGCCCAGGAACCCATGGTGTGGCTTCACTGTGTGATTTGAAAGGGTGAAATGCAGGGTTATGTATGATCAGAATGACTAACACACATATAGCCAGGTGTGTTCTAGAGACCTTCAAGGAAATTGGCATTGAAGGTGGAGGCTGGAGGCATTTTTGCTTCACTCACCCCTGCTCAGGGCCATTTGTTAAGGCATTCAAACCCTTCCAGATGCTCCCCAGGGATTCTCCTGGGTTCTAGAGAGTCCCCTGCATGGGACTGGGCAAGAAGGAGGTAACCCAACGGAGATGGGTCTCTTCCACGTATCGGCACTGCATGCTCCAGTGCTCTGCTGTACCACTGACAAGACCAGTTCAGGCTGCGTGATTCCGTGGAAAGATAAGGACTTTCAAGGCCAACTCCCTGGTAGCAGGCATAGCCACTAATCAGTTAGTGTGACTGTGAACAAGTTTCCTCAGTGGTAAAATGGGATTAGTCACCCCCACCAGATAGGTTTCTGATGAGTATTAAATAAGATAATATATGTCATATGTAGGTCATGTTGTACATGCCTGAAAGGTAGTAGAGCTTATTCAGTCTTCATCCGCCCTTCCTGGCCCTCCCACTACTCTGCCCTCTCCCCAACCCAGGTTTTATGCTACTCTTCTAAATTGGAGATGGCAATACCTGGAAAAGAAGGAGAAAGGAGGAAAGTATGTATTAACATAACTCACACCTCCCTCCACATTAAACATTCAAACATTTATTGATCTTTTTATCAAACTATGTGAAGGAATGGAAGATTAAAAAGAAAGGAAATCCTTTCTCATTTAAGAGTAGAAATGGAGCTCTAGTAGTCAAAACGACCCTCAAGTTAAAAGAGTCCCTAAATTGTTCAGAATCAGCTACTGAGATTTGGTAACAGCAAACCACATGGTCTTTCCTCTGGTATATGATTAGGACAGAAACCTTCTTGTTGGGCCAATGACTGCGCAGGTTTTGATGACATGAGGAATACAATAAGTTGGCCATTGTATGAAAGGGAGGCAGCAGGACCTGAGCTTGTGCCCTTGTCACTTTCTGTATGAGGCCAGGAGGGTGGAGCTTGATGACATCTCCTAACAATACCCACATGCACATCTCTGTCATCCTTAAATCACTGAGTCTTGGACTTCAGGGTCTCCTTGTGCCGGTCCACAAGGGAACCAACCCACTCCACCGTTTTCTGCTTGGCTTCCTCCCAGCTGTAGAGTGGCTTATACGCCAGATCTCGCTGAGCCTTCTTATAAGAGAAGGTGAATACGCTATTTGACAATGTGACTATGTGGCGGTTGAAGGGCGGTCGATAGGTGTAAATTGGCCTGAGTAGGAAGCTCACTATTTCCAGCAGGAAGCCAATCCAATACATCAGGGATAAAGGAAAGCTCCATCTGGAATCAAGGCGGAGGCCGAACTCTTTGCTCAGGGTGTAATTAAGGTTATCATAGCTTTGGTGAGGCGTGTCATCTGAGATATAGTAGAACTGTCCTCGGATGCTTGGGGCCTTCTTGGGGTCCTGCAGGGCCCTCAAGGCCAGAATGTGGGCCCAGGCCACATTGCCAACATAGACTGGGTTAACAGTGGAGAACTTTCCAACACTTGACAGGATCCCATTGTTGTTCAGGGCCTCGTTTATACTAGCAGAAAGGAATCGGCTTCCTTCCCCATAGATATACATGGGTCGTAAGGCACAAGTGTACAGGGTGCCGCCGTTTTTCAGATTCCACCCGTTAGCCGCCAGTACAGCCTTCTCAGCAAGCTTTTTGCTGTGTGGGTATGGAGCGGGCCATGTGTTTTCCAGAGGCTCTTCTTCATGGCCATTCTGGATGATTTCCTTGTAGGAGTTGGGCCCGGCTACCTCTATGCTACTGGTGTAGATGAAGACTGGCACACTAGCTTGGACACAGGCCTCTAACAGGAGCTGGGTACCTGTCCATGAAGAGCATATTGTCACTGTCAGGATATATCCCTAAGAGGTGCCAACCACGAACACAGATCTATGTGCCCCACCCCCCACTCCCAAATATGGTGGTTGTAACAGACTCAGGGTACATTCTTCTGTGGTTCTGTCTGAGATTTGGTCGTACTACAGCCATAAGAAAAATACCAAAATGAAGAGAAACTGACATGTGGGTTCTGGAGAGTAAGAATTTCTAGACTTTTGGGTTTCATGGATGTGTGTGTGTGTGTACTTTAATTTTGGAAAGGGACCTAGGGTTATCACTTTTTATTTTGCCAAGTAAGGGTATTGACAAATTATGATTTGTAATCAGTACCATTAAAGTCAGATCATTTAAAATCTAAAAAATCAGGAGGCTATACTCTGTGAATATGGACAGTTCCAGTCCTTAGGCAAAATGGGCAGTTGAAGAATTCACATCACACACACACATACACCATTGTATATAGGCAATATAAACTCTTCAATATATATGAAATTGTTGGTACTTTTCTCATTTTGCTGGGCTCTAATAAAACTTTGTCACAAGGACCATCCTGGAGTCACTGAGCAAGCAGTGGGTTGTGGGGAGATGCTGGAAACCCACACTCTTCCTGATTGTGCATTCCCTGGGAAAGCTGCTTCCAATTCTGGCTGTGACTCTGTTTACCTGGTTATGTAAAGTGGAGGTGATAAACCTTCTTTTAAACCCTGCCCTGGCATTTCCTGTGGAGCCTGGTGGAGGGCTGGGGAGAGAAGTGTGTCCTCTGCTGGTAACACCTGCAGTGGGAGGACCTTGCAGCCTCCCCTGAGCTGTGTAGAAGCAAAGCTCATGGAGGTACCCATAGTGCCTTCCCTTGAAGAAGGAAGGAATTTCCTAGGGAAAGGATCATTTTTATTTACAAATTTTTGTATTCTTAGCCCTTTTAATGTCTCTGTGCAATTTGAGTTTCTGGAAAGACAGCCTCATGTGTTCAAAAATTAATCTTGTGGCAGAGAAAATTTGGAGTTAGTTTACCTTCAAGGGGGAAATGACCAACATTGTGAAGTATTTTCTAAGCTTGGGAGTTATAATGGTTTTAGCAAACAGATGCCTCTAACACTTCCCCTGTCATTTCATATCCCCTCCTTTTGGGAGCTGTTGAAGTAGTAATTAAAACTGGTTACTCTTAGCACCCTCCTTGCACAGCAGGGGTACTTAGAAGTATGGGTAAGTAGAAACTGGAAGTTGTTTTTTTTTTTCTTTTATGGTGCTGGAGACTCAAAAGCAATTGGTTGCTTTGGAAAAAGAGTCAGAGTAGACTAAATGCGGAGGGCCAGGCCGGGGTTTGGGGTGCTATGGTGCTGAAGAGACTGGACTCTGGAGATCAGAGGGTGAGATTTCTGAGAAGATTCCTTAAGGAAATGTGTCTGAATTTAAGGTAGTTGGAAAGCCATACTTTGAAAGGAAACGCCAAGCATTTAAGGGATGAAGATTAAATGAGGGTGCACTTTGGGCACCTGGCTGAAAACGGCTCTGGAATAGTAGGCCCTGTGGTGAGCTGAAGAGACTGTATTCTTGATACTGGAAAAATCTCACTGTTAAAAAAATATTGTGGGAAGGCATGTGCTGGATAATTCTGTCCTGACAGACCTTGTGAACCAGCTTTGCTAGTTCTCTCGAGAGGACTTTTTGTTTGAGGTGGGCAGGAGGGCTCTGAATGTTTTCATCAGCCTACACACAAGGTTCAAAATGGTGACTACAGTGGCACCTGCAAGGTCTGCTTCTGGCCTGGGAGGCAAGGGGTGTCTGGGTATCAAGAGTCTGAAGTCAGAAATTAGTTGACTTTTGATTGGAACCACAGTAGAAAGAGCTTTTGGAGTCACAGTAGAAAGAGCCTTTGGAGTCACACAGGGATGAGTTTAAAGTCTAACTCTCCTACCTGCTTACTTACCTGGGGGACCTTGGACAAGTTACTTGCCCTCTCTCAGTCCTAGTTTTATCATCTAAAAAACTAAAGTTAGCAGTCTTGAACTCTCCTATTCGTAGTGATCAGCAAAGGCACTTGGCCCAGAGCACAGCAGGTGTTCAGTGGAGGGACTTCTCTTCCCTTCCTGCCCTTCTTTGTGATCCTTAATTCCCCACCTTGCTGCATCTCCTCCCCAGCCTACCATACCTTTCACATTGACATTCATGATAGACTCTCTGTGAGTGACACCGAAGACATCAATGATACAGGCGGTGTGGATGATGACCGAGACGTCCTGGCAGGCTCTCTTCAGGAATGGCTCATCCAGAATGTCTCCTTCCAGCACTGTCAGCTTGGTCTTGTTCTGGAGTTCTGTGTGAACACAGGTCAGGTCATTGGAATGATTTCTGTATCTGGCTGAGAAGTTTTCTGATAAAGGTGATGTTACATAGGTGTTCAAGGATGGTTAGAGTAGGGTGTTAGAGTGGAGGGTGTACATTCTACGGAAAGAACAAGTAAAAAAGGCACAGAAATCAGCATGTGTATCAATTTCTTGGAAAGAGCAAACATCTGTTTCTCTCCCATCTCATTTTAGAAAAGTAATCTGAGCAGTGAGCTGTCAGGTATGCCTGGAATATAAGCATTGCTAGAGTCATGGGAAGCCCATCAAATTTTCTAAGGAGAGTAGTGTGATTGTAGAGAGTATGAGGGAAAAGTTTGAAGTTAATTCTGTAAGTAATGAGAAATCATGTATAGAATCATAATTTTGGGACTCCAGCATCATGTTAAAGAAAACCCCTTATTTATATTTGGAATAAAATGACAAAAAGGCCAAGCCCCGTGGCTCATGCCTGTTATTCCAGCACTTTGGGAGGCTGTGATGGATGGATCACTGGAGCGCAGGAGGTTGAGACCAGCTTGGACAACATGGGGAAATCCCATTTCTATTAAAATACATGAAATAGCTGGGCATGGTGGCATGTGCCTGCCTGCAGTCCCAGCTACTCTGCAGACTGAGGTGGGAGGATAAATGGAGGCTGGGGTCTCTGGTTCCTGGCAGTGAGCCAAGATCACACCTCTGCACTCTAGCCTGGGTGGTAGAGCAAGACCACCTTGTCTCAAAAAAAAAAAAAAAAAAAAAAAAAAAAAAAAAAAAAGAAAACCACACAAGCAACAACAAAAAAAGGAACAAAAGCAGGGTTGTGGTGTAGGAAGTTAATCTTGGCTTGAGGATATAAAATGGACTGGTATAGGGGATTTGAGAAAGACTGATGATCAAGTGATTAATCAGAATGTCTGTGCCAAAGTTTCGATGAGGACTGGAAGCAGGGTCCAGCAGTGGAAGCAGAGGAGGGGAGAGATATACCAGGTTTGAATTTCAGACCTTACCTTGAAGGTCCTGGTACCTATTGGATCTGAGCTGATAGGAAAAGGAGAAGATAAAATCACCCCTACAGTTTCCTGCTTGGGCAACTGGGAGGAGAGTGGAGTCATTACTCAGGAATTGTGGGTGGGCTTCAATGATGAATTTCCCTGGAAAACTATTATCAGATATCATCAAAAGCAGGTAGCAATGCTGAAAATGAGTTAACCACCAATGAACTAACATCGCAGCTGTCTAGCTGGAGGCAGTGGTTACAACATCAATGTCTTCAGGTTCCTCTGAAATCCACAGGAAGTGACGCTGCCAGTAAGGTTGTCACCTGGAATTAGCCCACAAAATGAACACCATGCTACATGGAGCTTGGATAAATACTCTACACTTGTTTGTGCTTTATCATCTGTATGCAACTTACAGGATATTTATTTCTTTTTACAGCTATCTCATGAGGTAGGTATTCTGAGTCCCACTTTATCAGTGAGGAAACTGAGTCTCAGAGAGGTTAAGGGACAGATCTAAGGTCACGTTTCTAGTGAAGGCTTAAACACGCCCACCCTGCCTCCAAGCTTGTACCCTGTACACCAGGTGCAGGACTGGCTGTTTAATATCAACTTTTCTGTTGTTTAATATCATTCTTTTCCAAAGAATAAGCCAGTTTAACTGAAATTGGCAACAAAGACCAAAGACCAGTGAGAGCAAAATTCAGAGTGAAAAATTCGAAGCTGGAGAAATTCCTTCCTGGGGTACAAGCAGGACCACTTGCTCTCCTGATGCCTCTGCCATGTTTTGTCTACTCCCAACCTCTTCCCGTTGTCAGGCAACTCCAAGAAGGTCCTGGAGTGGGGGAGTCAGGGAAGAGGCTGCTGGTGGTGATGTGGGTAACAGCCTGAGAGTGGGATGTTCTCTGGTTCTAGTTCCACCTCTGCCCTTCCTGCTGCCTTCCTCTGCTTCTTCTTTGCTGCCACTTCAGACAGACTGGCTCAAAGGAGTGTCAAAGTGGAAGAAGTCCAAAGCTGAGAGAAAAGGACTCTTCCCCAGTGAGTTCCCAGGGATCTAGAGGGACTAGGAAAAGGTACTTTGTTGATGAAGTCATGGCTCCCTTCTTCTCCAAGGCACTGTAGACTTGGCAAGTGTTTTATGTAGACTAAATGGAGTTGCTTTTATGGTGTAAGTTGGGCTAGAGGAAGGCCTAAAGGAGCTGTAAGACAAACTACTGCTTAAGAGCACAGATGCTGCACTAGTCTGTCTGGGTTCAAATCTAGCTTTGCCATATGCTAACTGTGGGACCTTCAAAAAGTTAACTAACCTCTCTGTTTCTATCTCCTCATCTTTAAAAAAGGAGGATAATATTACCGATCTCATAGGGTTGTTATGAGGAGCAAATGAGTTGGCAAACCTTTGGCCAAGTGCCTGGCACAAAAAGAACACTGAATGCTTTCTCTGTTTTTATCTTCATACAGATCCCTGCCTGTCTATTATATGATCTGCATTTTTACCATAGGGGAACAATACCTCTAGGCTGAGCATTGCTTTTTTCTGGCTTCAGATGTTAAATTGCAAATATTGCTGAGACACAGGCAAGGATTATAAGCATTTCATATTTGTTTATCAAAGACAACATTAAAACAGAGGGTGGAAGAAATCGAACATTTCAAGAGGTCAGAGAAGAGCAAAAGTAGAGTGTTGGGTGTGGTCCCTGAGTGCTGTCAAGTGGGGGATTCTCTGTGGGCAGGGCAGGACCCTCTGGGCAGCCAGAGCCCACATGTAGACACACAGTCCCCCAAATCCCCTGGGTTGGGGAGGAGGACAGGGAATTGTTTTGGGGCACACCAAGGAGCAAAGGGAGAGACTGAAGATCCACTTTGCCAAGCATCAGCTCTGGGGCCAGGTGAAATAGCCTATGGATAAAGCTCTGGTCTGAGCTCTGCTACGCATCAATCAGATGGCCTTAGCATGTTGCTTTGTGATTCCGGACCTTGATGCGTTCATTGTCCTGTTGGATGTGATGCCTTTTCTACCTGCCTCTTGGGGCCATTTGTACAAGGAGTTGCCACAGAAAATTCTGCAGTCAATTTCTTTTTGATGATGAGCAACAGAGGTAAATGTTTTGTTTTTTTTTTTTTAAAAAAAAGCCATATATGCAAAATCTAAATGAGGCATGTCTGGCCTTATACTGCCTCTTACTCTGTCTCTGCTCTGTGCTGTGCACTGTGCACACACATTCTCTCACTGATGCTCTCTCTCTCACTATATATTTTTCATTATTTCTCTGTCTTTCTCATTGTCTCTCTCTCTGAGTCTCTCTCCCCGACTCTCTCTCCCCGACTCTCTCTCCCCCTTATTGTTTTCCTCTCTCTCTGTCACACACACCCACTTATACACTCATCTTTACCTTAACTTCCTTTTATTTTGCCCTCACAAAGGATACTAAGGAAGCTGCAAAACAAAACACAGCCTGGCACGTTCTAGAGAGACAATGACCCATTGGTGAGGTCTCCAGGGTAATAGTGTCCTTTATGAATGTTGTACAGCAATTGCCAAGACAAAAGCTTCAGAACATAAAAGAGTTGCAGACAAGACAAAGAACTGATGTGGGATTTTCTAGATGAGAAGAAAAGAGGCCTGGAGGCTGAGGTGGCTGCTTCTCAAGTTCTGGGTCAGGGCCAGAATCTAGTCTCTGGAAATCCCACCCAGTATCTTTCATACTATGCCATTTTATACTATTTAATATTTATTTCTTGATGACTTTGGATGTGAGATTGGCTTAGATTTGGCTACAAATTTCAATAACTTGCTAGACAAGGTCCATCTCCCCCCACATACATGCAGTGTTTAAGATGGAACCACACACCCATGACCCAAGTTTACTTACTAGAAAATTCCTCTCTCAATTCTGGTCCGAAGGCCTTGTCCAAGACCCTGATCTCCTTCAGCTCCTTCTCCTTCACCAAGAGGCGGATGATCCTCTGTCCCAGAAACCCTCCTGCTCCTGTCACAAGGCAGCTCCAGCCCGTCATGGCCATCCAAAGTAGCAGGAATCACTCACCAGGAAACAGAAGATGCTGGGGAGCAGATCTGATTCTAGGGTGACCCTGGAGAGGGCTAAAAAGAGATGTCAAATGGTTATATACTCACACAGATGCCTCATTTTCCTCCACCCCATTTTTTTTGCAAACATTCTGTGTCCCCACCACTGCAGGAGTAGCTGAAAGAAAATGAAAAATCTCTAACCATTAGTTAGATTGTTAAAAGCTGGACAGAAGAGTGGACGTACTTCTCACCTCATTTCCTGTGGCAAGTCTGAAGCTTTATGCACTGTGGCTTCTGGCCCAACCCTTATCACTTTGATCTCTGGCCATGTACTCATTGCTCTCTCCTCCTATGGGATCCTTATCTCAGAAAAATAGTGACCTTTGGGTTACATCTCTAATTCTTCCCAGGAACAGGAAGAGAAGTCCCATCCTAATGCTGCAGTGTGGCAAAGAGTCTTGGGTTTAGCCTTAACAGGACACTAGTCAGTTGATACCAGCTGTCTGGGATCCACAATCTGTGAACTTAAACTAGACCAGGAGAAATCTGCAAGTGCAATTTGAATTGTGCCCTTGTTCAGTAAATCCATCTGGAGGGAAATCCATGTAAGCCCATTATCTCCTCTCTCAGACTATCATTTGAAATGTTGCTGCTGTCTTACAAAATTTAGAAATTTGCAATGGTGACAGCTCCAATCACTTAGTTTTATGTGAGGTGACTTTCTTTCCTACCCAATATATCTGAAACCTCAATGGTCATTTGCCCCTGGAGAGCCCTGGGTTCCTAGATGAACAACATCATTGAAGGAAAGCTATCTGGTGATAACCACTTAATGATATGGCCTGTATCACAAGAGTGGGGATTTGTGGTTGTATGCCCCAATGACTCTTATCATAGGTGTTCGAACTTATCCATATTTTTGGCTGCAAAACGATTCTCAGCAAATTCTTGAACTGGACATACTGTGAATGCTTCTGAAGCCTATGCCCCAGAACTGCCCAAATATCACCGCCATAAGCTTCCCAAGACACTTTACTCAAAAAAATTGAAATATAATTTACATGCATTAAAATGCCCAGGTCTTCAGTGTTCAGTTCAGTGGAACTTGACAGTTATATATGCCCATGTAAGTAGCACCCCAAAAAAGATATAGACCATTTCCGTCACTCCAGAAAGTTGTTTTCTGCCTGTTCCCTGTTAATTCCCTGACCTTCCCCCAATCTACCTCATAGGCAACTACTTCCTGATTTTTATTCCCACAGTTCTCATTTTATTTCTATATTTCTCTAATTTTTTCTTCTAAGATCTCTGTGGTTCTGGATATATATTTAAATATAAAATTATTTTGAAATGAAGTTTTGTGCAGGGAGTACAGAAAAATTGACCGTTGATTGTCTCTGTTGTTTATTTTTCTATTTCATGATTTTCATTATTTTTATTATTGGCTTACATTTATTAATTTTGTTTTTTTTTTTCACTCGTTTTTCACATTTTTTTTTTTTTTTTTTGAGATGGAGTCTTGCTCTGTCACCCAGGCTGAAGTGCAGGGGCACCATCTCAGCTCACTGCAACCTCTGCCTCCCGGGTTCAAGCAATTCTCCCACCTCAGCCTCCGAAGTAGCTGGGATTACAGGTGCCCGCCACTGCACCGGGCTAATTTTTGTATTTTCAGTAGAGGTGGGGTTTCATCATGTTGACCAGCTGGTATCAAACTCCTGACTTTGTGATCTGCACGCCTCAGCCTCCCAAAGTGCTGGGATTACAGGCGTGAGCCACTGCACCCAGCCCCGTTTTTCAGGATCCTGATAATAAAAGCATAGAAAATTGTTTTTCTTTACTCCTTTCCTATTTCCACTATAGGCATTAAAAGTTGTAAATTTCTCTTTAAGCACTGTGTGAGCTGTACCCAACATTTTGATGTATTGGGTTATCATCATTCAGTTAATAATATTTAAAGTTTTGTCTTGTGGTTTCTTCTCTGACCCAAGTGTTATTCAGAAGTGTGTTGCTTGTTTTCTAAAAGTGAGGATTTTCTAGATATCTCATTGTTATGGATTTCTAATTAAATACTACTGTGGCCAGAGCATATGCACTGTATGATTTTGATTCTTGAATATTTAGTGAGATTTGTTTTATGGTCCAGCATATGGTCTACATTGGTGAACATGCCATAAGCACTTGAAAAGAATGCTTTCTGCAGTTGTTGAAAGTAATACTCTACAAATGATTTAGTTTGACACCCCACTCTGGGTCTTGCCCTCCTCCATGTTGTAGACATTCATCTTCTACTTTGGACCTCACTACCAATGCTTCAAAACCACTTGCCTAGGAAAGGTTGGCCTTGTGCTACAAGATGTAGCAGCTTGTTCTCTGAAACTATCAGAACTATTTACAGGCCCTGGGTCTTGCTGAGACTTGTGGAGTACTATCTGAAACTACCCAGGTGCATCGCATGCCTTTGCCTGCTGTAGCAGTGCTGGAGAGCACCTTAAAGATCCCCCATCGCCTTCAGTGTGGGGCTGGACTTTCTTTCAGCTGTTGAACGTTCTGGAGGCTCGTAGATTTCAGCTCATGTGTCTTGGAGTCTCTGAGTGGAAGCAATAAATATAAGCCCTAAAGAAAGGGAGAAATAAAACAAAGGTCCAGAGTGATTGGGAACCATACTACCAACTTTCTTTTATTTTTAAATAGGTTTACTGAGGTATAATTGACATCACATTTGCTTGTTTTAAGTGTACAGTTCAATTATTTTTAGTAAAATTTTATACTTGTGTGGACCATCACTGTAATCCTGTTTTCCAACATTTCTATCATTCCTAAGAAATCCCTCGTGCTCATCAGTCACCATTCCTTACTCTTACTCACAGCTCAAGGCAACCTTTAATTGACTCACTGACTTTACAGATTTGCCTTTTCTAGACATTATATAAATGGAATCATAGAATATTTGGTCTTTGTATTTCTATTCTTTCACTTAGCTTAATATACTTTTTTTTTTTTTTGAGACAGAGTCTTGCTCTGTTGCCCAGGCTGGAGTGCAGTGGTGCGATGTTGGCTCACTTCAACCTCCACTTCCGGGTTCAAGTGATTCTCCTGCCTCAGCCTCCAGGCACCTGCCACCATGCCTGGGTAATTTTTGTATTTTTAGTAGAGGCGGGATTTCATCATGTTGGCCAGGCTGATCTAAACTTTTGACCCCAAATGATCCACCCACCTTGGCCTCCCAAAGTGCTGGGATTACAGGTGTGAGTCACCACACCTGGCCAGCTTAATGTTCTTTTGTGGTTCATCTATGTTGTAGCACGTATCAATATTTTACTCCTTTTAGGTGCCAAACCCTATTAAATTGTATGGATGGCTCCCATTTGTTTATTCATTCATCAATTGATCGATATTTGATGTGTTTCCACTTTATGGACTATTATGGATAAAGCTGCTATGAATATTCACATTCATGTGTTGTGTGGACATAGGTTTCTGTTTCTTTGGGGTAGACAGCTAGGAGTGAAAGTGCTAGATCATAAGGTAAATGTATATTTAACATTTTAAGGAACTGGCAATCTGTTTTCCAATGTGGCTGCATGTCCCATCAACACTGCAAGAGTAGTTCAATTTTTCACATCATTGTTTTTCACTTCTTTCAATTGTTTATTTATTTATTTATTTTATTATTATTATACTTTAAGTTTTAGGGTACATGTACACAATGTGCAGGTACATGTGACATGTTGATGTGCTACACCCATTAATTCGGCATTTAGCATTAGGTATATCTCCAAATGCTATCCCTCCCCCCTCCCCCCACCCCACAACTGTCCCCGGAGTGTGATGTTCCCCTTCCTGTGTCCATGTGTTCTCATTGTTCAATTCCCACCTATGAGTGAGAACATGCGGTGTTTGGTTTTTTGTCCTTGCAATAGTTTGCTGAGAATGATGGTTTCCAGCTTCATCCACGTCCCTACAAAGGACATGAACTCATCATTTTTTATGGCTGCATAGTATTCCATGGCGTATATGTGCCACATTTTCTTAATCCAGTCTATCATTGTTGGACATTTGGGTTGGTTCCAAGTCTTTGCTATTGTGAATAGTGCCACAATAAACATACGTGTGCATGTGTCTTTATAGCAGCATGATTTATAATCCTTTGGGTATATACCCAGTAATGGGATGGCTGGGTCAAATGGTATTTCCAGTTCTAGATCCCTGAGAAATCACCACACTGACTTCCACAATGGTTGAACTAGTTTACAGTCCCACCAACATTGTAAAAGTGTTCCTATTTCTCCACATCCTCTCCAGCACTTGTTGTTTCCTGACTTTTTAATGATTGCCATTCTAACTGGTGTGAGATGGTGTCTCATTGTGCTTTTGATTTGCATTTCTCTGATGGCCAGTGATGATGAGCATTTTTTCATGTGTTTTTTGGCTGCATAAATGTCTTCTTTTGAGAAGTGTCTGTTCATATCCTTTGCCCACTTTTTTATGGGGTTGTTTGTTTTTTTCTTGTAAATTTGTCTGGGTTCATTGTAGATTCTGGATATTAGCCCTTTGTCAGATGAGGAGGTTGTGAAAATTTTCTCCCATTTTGTAGGTTGCCTGTTCACTCTGATGGTAGTTTCTCCTGCTGTGCAGAAGCTCTTTAGTTTCAGTAGATCCCATTTGTCAATTCTGGCTTTTGTTGCCATTGCTTTTGGTGTTTTAGACATGAAGTCCTTGCCCATGCCTATGTCCTGAATGGTATTGCCTAAGTTTTCTTCTAGGGTTTTTATGGTTTTAGGTCTAACATGTAAGTCTTTAACCCATCTTGAATTAATTTTCATATAAGGTGTAAGGAAGGAATCCAGTTTCAGCTTTCTACACATGGCTAGCCAGTTTTCCCAGCACCATTTATTAAATAGGGAATCCTTTCCCCATTTCTTGTTTTTGTCAGGTTTGTCAAAGATCAGATAGTTGTAGATATGTGGCATTATTTCTGAGGTCTCTGTTCTGTTCCATTGATCTATATCTCTGTTTTGGTACCAGTACCATGCTGTTTTGGTTACTGTAGCCTTTTAGTATAGTTTGAAGTCAGGTAGCGTGTTGCCTCTGGCTGTGTTCTTTTGGCTTAGGATTGACTTGGCGATGCAGGCTCTTTTTTGTTTCCATATGAACTTTAAAGTAGTTTTTTCCAATTCTGTGAAAAAAGTCATTGGTAGCTTGATGGGGATGGCATTGAATCTATAAATTACCTTGGGCAGTATGGCCATTTTCAAGACATTGATTCTTCCTACCCATGAGCATGGAATGTTATTCCATTTGTTTGTATCCTCTTTTATTTCATTGAGCAGTGGTTTGTAGTTCTCCTTGAGGAGGTCCTTCACATCCCTTGTAAGTTGGATTCCTAGGTATTTTATTCTCTTTGAAGAAATTGTGAATGGGAGTTCACTCATGATTTGGCTCTCTGTTTGTCTGTTATTGGTGTTTAGGAATGCTTGTGATTTTTGCACATTGATTTTGTATCCTGAGACTTTGCTGAAGTTGCTTATCAGCTTAAGGAGATTTTGGGCTGAGACGATGGGGTTTTCTAGATATACAATCATGTCACCTGCAAAAAGGGACAATTAGACCTCCTCTTTTTCTATTTGAATACCCTTTATTTCCTTCTCCTGCTTAATTGCCCTGGCCAGCACTTCCAACACTATGTTGAATAGGAGTGGTGAGAGAGGGCATCCCTGTCCTGTGCCAGTTTTCAAAGGGAATGCTTCCAGTTTTTGCCCATTCAGTATGATATTGGCTGTGGGTTTGTCATAGATAACTCTTATTATTTTGAGATACGTCCCATCAATACCTAATTTATTGAGAGTTTTTAGCATGAAGAGTTGTTGAATTTTGTCAAAGGCCTTTTCTGCATCTATTGAGATAATCATGTGGTTTTTGTCTTTGGTTCTTTTTATACGTTGGATTACATTTATTGATTTAGCGTATGTTGAACCAGCCTTGCATCTCAGGGATGAAGCCCACTTGATCATGGTGGGTAAGCTTTTTTATGTGCTGCTGGATTCGGTTTGCCAGTATTTTATTGAGGATTTTTGCATTAATGTTCATCAAGGATATTGGTCTAAAATTCTCTTTTTTGGTTGTGTCTCTTCCCAGCTTTGGTATCAGGATGATGCTGACCTCATAAAATGAGTTAGGGAGGATTCCCTCTTTTTCTATTGATTGGAATAGTTTCAGAAGGAATGGTACCAGCTCCTCCTTCTACCTCTGGTAGAATTTGGCTGTGAATCCATCTGGTCCTGGACTCCTTTTGGTTGGTAAACTATTGATTATTGCCACAATTTCAGAGCCTGTTATTGGTCTATTCAGAGATTCAACTTCTTCCTGGTTTAGTCTTGGGAGGGTGTATGTGTTGAGGAATTTATCCATTTCTTCTAGATTTTCTAGTTTATTTGTGTAGAGGTGTTTATAGTATTCTCTGATGGTAGTTTGTATTTCTGTGGGATTGGTGGTGGTATCCCCTTTATCATTTTTTATTGCGTCTATTTGATTCTTCTCTCTTTTCTTCTTTATTAGTCTTGCTAGTGGTCTATCAATTTTGTTGATCTTTTCAAAAAACCAGCTCCTGGATTCATTAATTTTTTGAAGGGTTTTTTGATGTCTCTATGTCCTTCAGTTCTGCTCTGATTTTAGTTATTTCTTGCCTTCTGCTAGCTTTTGAATGTGTTTGCTCTTGCTTTTCTGGTTCTTTTAATTGTGATGTTAGGGTGTCAATTTCGGATCTTTCCTGCTTTCTCTTGTGGGCATTTAGTGCTATAAATTTCCCTCTACACGCTGCTTTGAATGTGTCCCAGAGATTCTGATATGTTGTGTCTTTGTTCTCGTTGGTTTCAAAAAACATCTTTATTTCTGCCTTCATTTTGTTATGTACCTAGTAGTCCTTCAGGAGCAGATTGTTCAGTTTCCATGTAGTTGAGCGGTTTTGAGTGAGTTTCTTAATCCTGAGTTCTAGTTTGATTGCACTGTGGTCTGAGAGACTATTTGTTATAATTTCTGTTGTTTCACATTTGCTGAGGAGTGCTTTACTTCCAAGTATGTGGTCAATTTTGGAATAGGTGTGGTGCGGTGCTGAAAAAAATGTATATTCTGTTGATTTGGGGTGGAGAGTTCTGTAGATGTCTATTAGGTCCACTTGATGCAGAGCTGAGTTCAATTCCTGGGTATCCTTGTTAAGTTTCTGTCTCGTTGATCTGTCTAATGTTGACAGTGTGGTGTTAAAGTCTCCCATTATTATTGTGTGGGAGTCTAAGTCTCTTTGTAGGTCACTAAGGACTTGCTTTATGAATCTGGGTGTTCCTGTATTGGGTCCATATTTATTTAGGATAGTTCTTCTTGTCTAATTGATCCCTTTACCATTATGTAATGTCCTTCTTTGTCTCTTTTGATCTTTGTTGGTTTAAAGTCGGTTTTATCAGAGACTAGGATTGCTACCCCTGCCTTTTTTTGTTTTCCATTTGCTTGGTAGATCTTCCTCCATCCCTTTATTTTGAGTCTATGTGTGTCTCTGCACATGAGATGGGTTTCCTGAATACAGCACACTGATGGGTCTTGACTCTTTATCCTATTTGCCAGTCTGTGTCTTTTAATTGGAGCATTTAGCCCATTTACATTTAAAGTTAATATTGTTATGTGTGAATATGGTCCTGAGATTATGATGTTAGCTGGTTATTTTGCTCATTAGTTGATGCAGTTTCTTCCTAGCCTTGATAGTCTTTACATTTTGGTATGTTTTTGCAGTGGCTGGTACCAGTTGTTCCTTTCCATGTTTAGTGCTTCCTTCAGGAGCTCTTTTAGGGCAGACCTGGTGGTGACAAAATCTCTCAGCATTTGCTTGTCTGTAAAATATTTTATTTCTCCTTCACTTAAGAAGCTTAGTTTGGCAGATATGAAATTCTGGGTTGAAAATTATTTTCTTTAAGAATGTTGAGTATTGGCCCCCACTCTCTTCTGGCTTGTAGAGTTTCTGCCGAGAGATGTGCTGTAAGTCTGATGGGATTCTCTTTGTGGGTAACCCGACCTTTCCCTCTGGCTGCCCTTAACATTTTTTCCTTGATTTCAACTTTGGTGAATCTGACAATTATGTGTCTTGGAGTTGCTCTTCTCAAGGAGTATCTTTGTGGCATTCTCTGTATTTCCTGAATCTGAATGTTGGCCTGCCTTGCTAAATTGGGGAAGTTCTCCTGGATAATATACTGCAGAGTGTTTTCCAACTTGGTTCCATTCTCCCCATCACTTTCAGGTACACCAATCAGACGTAGATTTGGTCTTTTCACATAGTCCCATATATCTTGGAGACTTTGTTTGTTTCTTTTTATTCTTTTTTCTCTAAACTTCCCTTCTCACTTCATTTCATTCATTTCATCTTCCATCACTGATACCCTTTCTTCCAGTTGATCACATCGGCTCCTGAGGCTTCTGCATTCTTCATGTAGTTCCTGAACCTTGGCTTTCAGCTCTGTCAGCCCCTTTAAGGACTTCTCTGCATTGGTTATTCTAGGTATCCATTCGTCTAATTTTTTTTCAAAGTTTTTAACTTCTTTGCCATTGGTTTGAATTTCCTCCTGTAGCTCGGAGTAATTTGATCATCTGAAGCCTTCTTCTCTCAACTCGTCAAAGTCATTCTCTGTCCAGCTTTGTTCCATTGCTGGTGAGGAGCTGCGTTCCTTTGGAGGAGGAGAGGTGCTCTTCTTTTTAGAGTTTCTAGTTTTTCTGCTCTGTTTTTTCCCCATCTTTGTGGTTTTATCTATTTTTGGTCTTTGATGATGGTGATGTACAGATGGGTTTTTGGTGTGGATGTCCTTTCTGTTTGTTAGTTTTCTTTCTAACAGACAGGACTGTCAGCTGCAGGTCTGTTGAAATTTGCTAGAGGTCCACTCCAGACCCTGTTTGCCTGGGTATCAGCAGCGGTGGCTGCAGAACAGCGGTGGCTGTAGAACAGTGGATACTGGTGAACGGAAAATGCTGCTGCCTGATCGTTCTGGAAGTTTTGTCTCAGAGGAGTACCCGGCCGTGAGAGGTGTCAGTCTGCCCCTAATGGGGGGTGCCTCCCAGTTAGGCTGCTCGGGGGTCAGAGACCCACTAGAGGAGGCAGTCTGCCCATTCTCAGATCTCTAGCTGTGTGCTGGGAGAACCACTACTCTCTTCAAAGCTGTCAGACAGGGACATTTAAGTCTGCAGAGGTTACTGCTATCTTTTTGTTTGTCTGTGCCCTGCCCCCAGAGGTGAAGCCTACAGAGGCAGGAAGGCCTCCTTGAGTTGTGGTGTGCTCCACCCAGTTCGAGCTTCCCAGCTTGTTTGTTTACCTAATCAAGCCTGGGCAATGGCAGGCGCCCCTCCCCCAGCCTCGCTGCCACCTTGCAGTTTGATCTCAGACTGCTGTGCTAGCAATCAGCGAGACTCTGTGGGTTTAGGACCCTCTAAGCCATGTGCAGGATATAATCTCCTGGTGTGCCATTTTTTAAGCCCATTGGAAAAGCACAGTATTAGTTAGGGTGGGAGTGACCCGATTTTCCAGGTGCTGTCTGTCACCCCTTTCTTTGACTAGGAAAGGGAACTCCCTGACCCCTTGTGCGCTTCCTGAGTGAGGCAATGCCTCTCCCTGCTTCGGCTCACGCACGGTGTGCTGCACCCACTGTCCTGCTGCCACTGTCTGGCACTCCCTAGTGAGATGAACCCTGTACCTCAGATGGAAATGCAGAAATCACCCATCTTCTGCATCACCCACGCTGGGAGCTGTAGACTGGAGCTGTTCCTATTCAGTCATCTTGGCTCCACCCCTCTTCCAATTGTTTTTGTCCTTCTGTTTTGTTATAGCATTCTAGTGGGTAAGAAGTGGTGTCACATTGTAGTTTTGATTTTCATTTCCCTGCTGACTGGTGATGCTGACTGTCTTTTCGTGTACTTTATTGGCCATTGTTACACATTTTTGGTTAAGTGACTATTCAAATATTGTGCTGATTTTAAAATTGAGTCATTTATCCTTGTGTTCTTTAGTTGTAATTGTATTTTATATTCTGGATAGAAGTCCTTTACCAAATATACGTTTTGATATTTTTTCTCATTCTGTGGCTTGTCTTTTCATTTTCTTATTGATGTCTTTTAAAGAGCAAATGTTTTTAGTTTTGATCATGTCTCATTTTTTTAACTTTTTTTGTTTAGCAGAAAAAGATTTTTTTCTTTATTTAAGGTCATGAACATGTTAATTTATGTTTTCTTCGAAGAAGTGTATGGTTTACGCCTGAAATTTAGGCCTATAACCCATTTTGAGAGAATATTTGCTTATGTGTGAGTTAATGGCCAAAATCATATGGCCAATTGATTTTGACAAAAGTAAATTCAATGAGGGAAAAGGATAGTCTTTTAAACAAGTGATACTGAGACAACTGAATTGTCCACATGCTCAGGGGATGTTAGCCTGCTATGTCAAGTGATGCCCATCTGAGTCACCACCTATTGGCATCAGAGTTAACAAAGAATAACTCAATATGATAATTATGGGTTAAATAATACGCTGTAGCTTTCTGCTTTTCCCGTTCAACAGATAGTCACATCTCATGCAGCGCCAGCTGCATCCCTGAGACACCATGGTGAAGGTGAAGCCTGGAGTCAATGGATTTGGCCATATTTAGGCTCCTGGTCACAAGGGCTGCTCTGAACTCTGGTAAAGTGGATATTGTGGCCATCAATGACCCCTTCATTGACCTTAACTTCATGCCCTACATGTTCCAGTATAATTCCACCCATGGCAAATTCCATGGCACTCCCAAGGCTGAGAACGGGAAGCTTGTCATCAATGGAAATTCCATCACCATCTTCTAGGAGCTAGATCTCACCAAAATCAAATATGGTAATGCTGGCACTGAGTACACCATGGAGTCCACTGGTGTCTTCACCACCATGGAGAAGGCTGGGGCTCACTTTCAGGGGTGAGCCACAAGGGTCATCATCTCTGCCCCCGCTGCTGACATCCCCACGTTTGTGATGGGTGTGAAGCATCAGAACTATGACAACAGCCTCAAGATCATCAGCAATACATCCTGTATCACCAACTGCTTAGCACTCCTGGCCAAGGTCATCCATGACAACTTTGTTGTTATGGGAAGACTCATGACCATAGTCCATGCCATCACTGCCACCCAGAAAACTGTGGATAGCTCCTTCAGGAAACTGGCATAATGGACATGGGGTTCTCCAGAACATCATCACTACATCTGCTGTCACTGCCAAGCCTAAGGGCAAAGTCATCCCTCAGCTGAACAGGAAGCTCAATGGCATGGCCTTCCGTGTCCCCACCACTAATGTGTTGGTCATGAATCTGACCTGCCATCAGAAAATACCTGCCAAATATGATGACATCAAGAAGGTGGTGAAGCAGAATTGGAAGGCTCCCTCAAGGGCATCCTGGGCTACAATGAGCACCAGGTTGTCTCCTCCAACTTTATCAGCATCATGCACTTTTCCACCTTCGATGCTGGGACTGGCATTGCCCTCAATGACCACTTTATCAAGCTCATTTCCTGGTATGACAATGAATTTGACTACAACAACAGGGTGGTGAACCTCATTGCCCACATGGCCTTCAAAGAATAAGACCTCTGGACCACCAGCCCCAGCGATAGTATGAGAGGAAAAGAGAGGCTTTAGCAAAATCTCTTTTCCATCGCCTACTTATTACTCTGTCTACCAATTATCTTGGAGGAGAGGTCAAATAGATGCCATTCAACCAAGAGTTCCAGAGGCTAACAGTAATGTTATGGTAGCCAGCCTCTAAGGTGACTCCAGTGATCTCAACCTCCTGATATTTGTACCCTTGTGTGTGGGTTGAACCTAGTAACTTGCTTTTAACTAGTATAATATAACAAAAATGATGGAATGCCACTATCATGATTAGGTTAGTAGGGATTGTGACTTTCAACTTGCTTTTACGGTTGCTCTTTCTCTTTGGCTTTGATGAAGCAAGTTGCCCTGGTGGAGAGGACAATATAGTAAGGAACTGAGAGCAGCCAACAGTCAAGGGGAAACTGAGGCTCTCAGTTTAATAACCTTAGAAGAACTGAATCTTCCAACAACTATATAAGTGAACTTGAAAGTAGACCTTTCTCCAGTGGAATCTTCAGATGAAAACAGAGCTTTATGCCAATTCAAGAGCTCTTGGAACCCCAATGTTTAAGGAAAAAGAAGAGATAGACTGTCATATTTCCAACAAGCTGCCTTCTTTCCTTGGGGATTTCTTTTGCATTACAAAGAACATTATCCCTTCATTGAACCCAGTTTGAAAGCCACAAGTAGTTTAGCAAATATTAGAATACCTGAAGTTACTAAGTGTTGGTGAAGACGTGGGGAGACAAGCATGTTATTTATGGAAGTGTAAGTTGACACAAATTTCTAATGAGTATCTGACAAAATATTGTAAACTTTCACACACTTGACCCAGCAAGTCCACTCCAGAAATTTATTTTAAAGGATAATCAGTTAAGATCAGACCAAGAGGTCATATGGGATATCTCCTTGCACATAGAAAGCTCTACATATGAGCTTTAATATATTAATTGAGTCCTTTACAATGTATCAGGTTCTTTACATATATTATCTCATTTAACTTTTAAAATGGACTTTATTTTCTGTAATAGTTTTAGCTTCACAACAAAACTGAGGGAAAATGCAGAGAGTTCTCGTATACTCCCACCCCAACACATACATAGCCTCCCCCACTATCAACACGCTCTACCAGAATGGTACATTTGTTACAATGAGTTGACCTGCATTGATACATCTTTATCACTCAAAGTCCAAAGTTTACTCTTTTCTTGCACATTCTCTGAGTTTTGACAAATGTGTAATGACATGTCACCACCATTTTAGTGTCCTCTGCCCTAAAAATCGTCTGTGCTTTGCCTATTCATTCCTCTGTGCACCCTCACTCTGACAGCCATTGGTCTTTTTACTGTCTCCACGGTTTTGCCTTTTCCAGAATGTCATATAGTTGGAAACACACTGCATGTAGCCTGTTCATATTAGCTTCTTGCATTTAATAATATACATTTAAGTTTCCTCCATGTTATTTATGGCTTGATAGCTATTTTTTGGCACTGAATAACATACCATTGTCTGGATGTACCACCGTTTATTTGTATATTCTCCTACTGAAGGACAATTTGGCTGCTTCCAAGTTTTGATAATCATGGATAAAACTACTTTAAAGATCAAACCTAAAAGTAGGTATTTGTGTAGACATAAGTTTACTATTTATTTGTGTAAATGCAATGGAGCGTGATTGCTGGATCATATGGTAAGGATACGTTCAGTTTTATGAGAAACTGCCAAACTGCCTTACAAAGTATCTGTACCATTTTGCATCCCCACCAGCAATGGGTGAGCATTCCTGATGCTCCACATTCTTGCTAGCACTTGGTGTTGTCAGTGTTGTGGATTTTCACCATTCTAATAGGTGTGCAGTGGTATCACATTTTCATTTTAGTTTGCAATTCTCTAATGACATATGATGTTTAGTATCTTTTCATATGCTTTTTTTTAAGCTGTATATCTTCTTTGGCGAGGTGTCTGCTCAGGTCTTGTGAATACCTATATCAGATTGCATTCCAAATGTAACACATTTTTAGAAGTTAAGAGATTCGTTCTGAGATTTCATATGTACCCTTCAGTTTACTGTGGGCATTCCTTTTTTCATGTTTCTGAGCAATGGAGAACAGCCTTTTGATATTATCTTGATAATATTCTTGCTTATTTCCCTTGTAATTTTGGATCTAGACCTCTAAGCCCAGAGACAACTTAAAAAATTACATACATGTGTATCTGGGAGCAATGTTATCACCAGATAGCTGTATTCAAAGACAGCTTCTACTATATTCTTTTATAAAGTAAGTTAACATCATTGTGTGTATACCACATTGCTTTAATACCATATGCTCATGTGATTTGTTTCACTCTTAGCCCAAACCAATCTGTAATGTCTCCCACAAGTACTCAGCTGGTGATTTCAGGATCAAAGAGATGACCTTATGCAGGCCATTATGCCTGCACTGAAGTGCCTGTAAAAAAAAAAAAAAAAAAAAAGCACTTTGGGAATTTTTGCAAAGTGATTAGCAGCCAGCAGGAAAGCATGAAATAAAATTGATTTACAGGACTGTGATTGGCTATTTGGAGGGGTGGACGTTATGCTACTTACCTTTTCTCTGATTTCAAGTCTTATCTTCAAGGCTTTATTTATTTATATTCTTAACCACAAAGAACAATTTAGTTGAGATGTTCTTATCTTTTTCTGATGTGAGGAGAATCATGAAACCACAGTTATGAACTTAATACAAATGAAAGGAGGCTGAGAAAAGTGGTATCTGACAAAGAGTTCAATGATCTAGAAGTGAACTTCCAAAGAGTAAAGATCTAGAAAGGGCACAAAGTCCAACTGTTCATGAGGCTGATTCCTGATAGATGGCTGGGGTGTGAAGGCTGGGGAACAGGCCAGAGGAGAGCAAAATCTGCTAGGTTTTGTCATATGCCATGAGACGTGGCTGGTGAGACAGCTCTCTCATGAGTCTGCCCACTGTCTGAGGTCATGTTCGTGGGGACCCCAGGGTAAGAGAAGATTTCTTAGACTTAAATCTGTGCCATTAGTTTAGCTCTTTTGTACTTTATTGAGAAAGCCTTCATCTGTCTACTAAAGCTATCCAATATGACCAGAATAAACATATCTCCTTTCTCATTTACTGTGGAAGAACAGGACTAGTCAATTTTAATTTGTTTTGACAGTTCCTGAATCTCTTATCTGAAAACTCTCTTTCTACTACTTTTCTTGGAGGTCAGTGCATTGCACAGAATAGCCATTAGCCAATGGGCCATAAAATCCTGTAACATCCTAGGTCATGAGAATGAATATTTTAGGGTATTTTTTTTCTCCCCGTTCCTTCTTGTCTCTGGCCTTGGCTCTGTGACATAAAGTAAAAATAATGGCCAAAGTTCATTGCAGCAGTGCGTGAGTTAGGCTATACCAAGATCACCCTTGTCCCATATTTCTTCTTGATCTTGTGAAATTATATGGTCTGAATATGTTCCCTCCAAATTCATGTGTTGAAACTTAACTGCCAATGCATTAGTATTTAGAGCTGAGGACTTTAGAAAGAGGTTAATGTATGAGGACAGGGCCCTCATGAATGGGATTAGTGACCTTATAAAAGAACTTGAGGGAAGTAGGTGGCCCCTTCCATTCTTCTGCCTCATGAAAACACATTGTCCATCTCCTGCTGAGGATGCAGCAACAAGAACCCATCTTGGAAAGAGACACTGGGCTCTCACCAGACATGGAACATACTGATACCTTGATCATGGACTTTCCAGCCTCTGGAACATGAGAAATAACATTCTCTTATGTGTAAATTATCTGATCAAATATATTTTATTATACTAGCACAAACAGACTAAACCATGATGCTTCCATTTTTTACAAGTCACAAGTAACAGAAATCAGGGTCTTGAAGGTCATCTTCAAGGCCCATGGTCATCTAGGTATCCTGTCCCACAACGCAACTGTGACTGCTGTGTCAGCCAGACAGTTGCCTCTAGACATGTGCTTTCTTAATATGTCCCTAAACTTTCAGCATGGGCACTCCATCCTTGCTGCCATATCAAAGACCTCTCCTTGGCCTCAAATTATCAGCCCACCAATGCAGCAGCCAATTTGAGACCTGAATATAAAGTTAAGGCCTAACACTGGGATCATGGTCAATTTTCCTTTTGTTTTTACCAACTCATTAACAATGACATCTAATGTGGCCTTCTGAGAACCCTTTTCAATGACCACAATTCCCCAAGTATCCACTATTCTTCCAAGTATTCTAATGACACCTGCTTTTTTTCCCCTTTAATCTGGGTTTTCTGTGCTGTACTGTTTAATAGATAGATAGAGTATGATTTCTGTTGGGGAATATTTTATAGGTATAGCTCTTCTGTCCAGAGTGCAATGTTCCATAATAATCTCCTAGAGGTATAAAGGATGTGCAAAAAATTAGAATCCACTGGCTGTTTCAGTCATTTCTGATCTGCTCTGTTAAGATCTTTTGTTCTGAGAAGAATCAAAGAAACTGCTTTGAGTCATACACTTTATGAATTTGTTTTTTAAACAGACTACTCATTTGAAGGTTTGGGTGTTCACTTCTTTTTAATTATGGTTTCTGAATTTCAGTTATAGGCAAGCAGGCTGTATGACTTTACTTCATTTTCCCTTTCTAAATATGTGGGTGGTGGACACCCTATACATGTATTTGGGTTAAGCAAATAGGCCTTCCAAGTTATTACCAGGGAGACTGCTGTGGGACTGCTTTCTCTTTTGACATTTTCCATGCTAATGTTCCCTTGACCCAGCCCTTGACTCTGTGGGTTAATCTGGGCAAAAGTGGACCTTTACTGTGGCATGGGTTCATGCAGGAAAGTGTCCAGTTGAGGAATGATAGAAGACTTTTCAGGTCTGTTGGCTTAGGTAGTGACCCATTCTGCTGAGTTCCATCCTAACTTACAGTTTTCCTCCTCTAACTGCTATAATTCTCCAGATGTGATGATGTATTTTGATCTGGCTTTGCCTTCCTGGATTAATTTACTTAATAAATATTTAGAAGGCCCTCTATGACATTGGACATGATTCTAGGCTCTTGGGAATGTAGCAGGGAGCAAGACTGTCTAAGGTCCCTATGCAGATACAGATAAACAATAAAATCTACAACTGAGAAGTTAGTTGCATATTGTTTTAACAGTTAAGAGGGGAGAAACAGTGTGATGTGATGAGTGAAGCAGAGCGTATTCAGGAGAGGATGATCAGGGACATCTCACTTCATCAGGGCAGTGACAGTTCAGCTGAGATCTACATGTCAACAGACAGCCAACCATGAGAAGATGAGGAACACCATTTCATATAAAGGGAATGATAAATGTGAAGATCTAGAGGCAAGAAAGTATTGCATATTTATGGAAGGGAAGAGAGGCCAGTCTGGCTGAGGCATCGTGAGTAAAAGGGAGAGTGATGAGGAAGTGAGTTGGAAGGATGAGCAGATCATGCAGTGCCCAGGAGAGCTGGAGATCAGTTTAGAGTGTATAGTTAATGGAATGGGAAGCCACAGAAAGGTTTTAAATAGGTGGGACATAGGATTTGAATTTACTTAAAAACATGTCTCAGGCTGTTGTATGGAGAACAGAATGTGGTAAACAGCCACAGAATGGGAAAAGCCAGTGCTGAGGCTATTCATTTAGATATTCTTTCTTTTTTTTTTAACTTACTTTTTTACTTGTTTTTTGTTATTTTGAGACAGGGACTTGCTATGTTACCCAGAGTACTGGAGTGCAGTGGCATGATCCTCAACTCCCCAGGCCAAGTGATTCTACTACTTCAGCCTTGGGAGTGGCTGGAACCACAGGCGTGCACCACCATGCCCAGGTAGGCTTTTAACACATTTTTAATTTTGTAGAGACAGGGTCTCCCTATGTTGCCTAGAGTGATCTCAAATTCCTAGACTCAAGTGATCCTCCTGCCTCAGCCTCCCAGAGTGCTGGGACTATGAACATGAGTCTTCATGCCCAGCTATCTCTAACTTTGCTTTTGAGTTGGCCTCTGCCCACATTCCAGTAAGAGAAACTGTACTGGGTCAACTTGGAATTTTTGAGGTTTGATTATTTTAAGCTATAGATTTTCTTAACCTTGAAGAGCTTTATTGTTTGTTTGTCTTTTCAATGTAAAGAGCGATTAATTGGAGTGAGGTCTAAGTACCTGTATTTTGTAGAAACTCCCCAGGTGATTTTAATAGGCAAACAGGGTTGAGAACTCCGTAGGACCAATTAGGGACTGACAGAGCAGGAACTTGCCATCTTGGCCAAGCACTGTCATTTTAAAATTCACCTTGATCAGAAACTGACTAAATCCAAAGCAGATCAGCCTAATGGCTAAGGTCAGCAACATCCTGTCAACATCTCTTACCAGAAACATTCCAAACCCCTTCCCAACAAGAGACATGCCAGCCCTGAAATAATCTCCTGTCTGGTCAGAAAGACGTCAGCCCCAAGATAACCTTCCCTCCAGCCCAAAGACATTCCAACCCTGCCATAAACTTCTCCCCTACACAGAAATATTCCTAGCTTGTGATAAGCCCCCTCACCCTAATACCAATATATACTCTTAGTCTGTAAGAGAGAATGCTCCTGACTGAAATTGGCCAAAAGCCCCTCTCAGGTTTATTTTTCTAAAATAAATCTGTCTTTGACTGTTGAGCCACATTTTGTGTTTCTTTCCTCTTTAACTCTTATATTTGGTGCCAAAACCTGGGATGAGTGCTGAGGGTAGAGCTCTCTTGCAACCCAGGAAACAGTGGGCAATGGCAGCTCATCCTGAGCTAACTCCTGGATTCTGAGGGTCTCTGGCCACCTGCCCCATCTTCTCTCCTATTTCACTTTTTTGAGCAATTTGCATGAGGAGGACAAGTAACCTGAAGGGAACTGTGAGGCTCTGGCAAGGGCTACTCCCTAGAGTAATCAAAACCCTCAGTCTTGGGAATCCACCTCCAACCACTGGCAATGTGTATTTCACTCTCTTCCCTCTTCCTCCCTCAACCTCTCTCTCTCTCCTCTCTCTCTCTTTCTTCCTTCCTTGTGCAGCTCCAGCCTAAGAGGCCCTTTGCCAATTCCAACTGGAACATCCAGCATCAGACACTAATCCAGCTGACTGGTAAAATTTGCCCTCCCCTGGTTTTCTCATGGTACCCAGGAAAGTCAGGTCGGCCATCCCGGTCCTTGGAGGACCAGTGGGACTAAGCTAGAGGAAATCTTGGGAACACCAAGTTTTTTCTCAGCTTGACTGTCCTCTTTAGAAAGAGTATTTCAGGTCTCTGTCTTTTGTCTGGGGACACCTAGAAAAAAACAGACACCCTCGGCTTTTTCTCACCAGTCCACATGGGTGCCAAACAATCCCACATTCATATGCCCTCTCCACTGTGCTGTCTCCTTCATAATCTCGACAAACTTGGCTTACGTATTGAGTTTTTTATTGCAACATGGCCTGGCCCCAATAGAAATTACATAATGACAGCAGATGGCCTGAAAATGGCACCTTTAACTTCCAAATTCTCAGGAACCTTGACAACTTTATAACCAGGAATGTCAAACGGCAAGAGGTTCTCTATATTCAGGCTTTCTTCTGCTTCTACTTAGATCCCAACCCTCCCTGTGTCAAGCTTGCACCCCTCATGAAATCTTTCTTCTTAATAAAAACCCTCCCCGGTCTCTTCTTCCTCTGAAACCCCTTTTTACCCTGCAGATGAACCTGTCTGTATTCTCATCCACCTACATCTGCTACTTGCCTGTTCAAACCCTCTGCCTTGGTGGCCCCTCCTGTCCCCAAGCCTTCAGCCCCAAACCCTGCTCTTCCTCCTTCTCCACCTGTTACATGTTCAAAAACCACCTCTGCTATTCTCCCTCTCTGGGAAGTGGCTGGGGCTGAAGGCATTGCTCGCGTTCATCTCCCTTTTTCCATGTGTGATTTGTCACACATCAAGCAGTGTCTGCGATCTTTCTCTAAAAATCCCTCTCATTAGCGCAGGGAGTTCCTGCACATAACCCAGTAAAAAAGAGTGCTGAGCTTAATTAAAATGGATATTCAAGCTATGAGTATATTCAAAAGGCCTTTATGTTTTTTTCTTCTTATATCTTATTTTCCTGGAAAAGGTTTTTTCTCAGTTAACTGAATTACTTTTCTCCACTCCCTCTTGCCACTCCTGGTGCATGTATGAAAAACCCTAAAATGACTTCTGATGGCCTGGGACTCCTTGGGAAAACACAAAAGGTTCCACAAATCCCATTTTGGGAAAAATTTCTGTTTTCCTTATGGAACCCCTGGAATTAAAGGTGAATAAGTACCTCTCAAAATCTGTCTTTGCAGCTATGCTTGTTTATTAGGCCCTGGAAACTGTTTTCCTAGCCCTGTTCTTAAAGAGCCTCACCCAAAGGCCAATAATCCAATTGGGAAATTAGCAAAAAAAAATCTTATAACTACTGAATCTACTTCTGGTTGTCTGTGTGGCTATATATGTGTTATGCGTGCAGTGTCTATTAAAAGAGCTCTAATTAATTGACCTAAGAAAAATAAGCACTTAAATATTTTTAAGGGAAAAGTAAAAGCTGTGGGACCTTTCAGTTCATGTGACTTTAATCTTTAAAACTTGCTGGTACAGTAAGATTAGAAATGTCTTAAGAGTTGCCAGCATACATTTTTGTTTGCATTAATTGATCAAGCAATTTCATACTTATTTCTGCCAAGTATTACAAGGTGTCAAAATTTGACATAGATGTTACAAAACTATAACTCAGCCCAAACAGAATAATCTTTGCTTGTGTAATTTTTTAATAAGTGAAACATTAATATTGGTTTAATGAAGACAGCCACATCTTGAACTATTTAGTAAAATGCCCTAACTTCTAATTTTATGGCCTTAGGCAGTCTTGTCCACAGCCATGAAGGAAGTTTGTTTGGGGAAAGGACTGTTATCATCTTTAATATTAAAGAAAAGAGAATTTATATAAAAATGAATCTTATATGGTAAATTCTTGTCCTAAAGTAAATTAACTGGTTGTTTAAAGAAAGAAATGTTTACAACAATTCAGAAAGTCGAGGCATGTCTGAGATTGTCTGTGAAGGTCGTGAAAAGTTTTATAAAGGGAATTTGTGTAAGAAATGTTGAACAATTTAAAAGTGAGTAGACCTCCTGAATACTTCATGAAATGTCACTATAACTCTTAGCCATACAAATTGCCTGATTTGTAGCTAGGTAAAACCTAGGACACATGGAGTTAAATGCTGGAATAAGCTAGACCTTAACTGCATTTCTGTCTCGGTCCTAGACTCTACATCTAGTACATAATTAAAATCCCAAACTTACCAACAAAAGTAAAGGTTGCTAAAAGTTAACAGTGTAACATGCGTGTAATACTATTGAAAAAACAGTTTGCAAATACTTTTGACAAAAAGATTATAAGGAGGCATGAGAGTGTGGATTTTTACCTAGATTAAAAGGTTAAAAAATTTTTTGGAGGTTTAAGAAAATTTTGGAAGGTTAATTGTACAGGAAATTCTGTGTGTAAACATATTGGCTAAAGTTGAAGAGGTATCATCTAGTTTTCCTGCAAATTGAGCATTAAAATAAAAGCACAATGGATTTCTCTTAAAACACTAACCTGCTCTTTAACAAAAATTATAAAGTGTTAAAAAGAGTCTATAAAAATCTTATATTAAAATTGGGTAAATGCGTCTACAAGGTTTTATTAACAATTGAGTTTAACATTAATAGCACACTAATATAAAGGTAAAATTTAGCTTATTTGGTATAAAATCATACAGGAAGCATTGTAAAATATAAAATGGTGTTTGGCTTTCTTTGGGCTATATTTGTATAAATACGTTATTGGTATGTGCTCCAAAGTTACGGGAGACTCCTATAATTCTGATATATCTCAGTGTATGTTATCAGTAATAATTATAATTGTTATGTTAAAATTATTGTGTGCCACAGAGGTAACAGATATCCTTATCAATTATGCCTTTAACTATGGCTACCCTAAAACTTTGTGTCATCCATAAACAATTGTTGTCTTCTTTAGGTCCTCTTTAGAAGGTGGTTTTATAGTCAGTTATAAAGCACTAACAAAATTTGGAGTATACTTGTTTCTCTCTACCTGATTTTCTCCAGAATTTGGAAACTGTGAGTATTCTTAAGTTATGGCAATATAGTTGTTTGCATAAGTGCAGTAAGAATCTGTTTTCTTTTGTAACAGGACACAATTGGAGAAACTGGTTATTTCACCAAGGCTTTGACTGGAATGGTGTGCCTTCCTTCAAGGAATCAAACTGGACTTATGAAGCCAATAAAGCCCTTGGGAAACTGGCCTCGTATTTTGTGTACACAGTCCCTGTACAGGGTTTCTGATCTGTGGTAAGTAATGAAGGTCACTTTCTGACAGGCCGGGAGGCCCAACTTATTTGGAACCTCAAGAGGAGAGGAATTCACCAAACTCATAGTTATTTGATGGTACAAATCCATGGCTGCGCTTGGCTTTAAAAAGGTCTTATCTCATATTCCTTCTATGGAACAAAGTTCTGTCAAAGCCAGTTTAAGAGGCCTATGTAACAAATCATTATTCTTGCTGCGCTGTATGCAAATAATTAAGCCAAGTACAATAAAGCAAACCAGTCCTACCATGATTTGTCTTTTAATAAAAATGGGAAACTGAAGAGAGAAAATTATGTTTCAAAAACTGTAGCATACCTGTTGTTAAATTCTAGTGTTGCCTAACATTTTTCAATTCTTATTATTTTCTACTGTTTAAATTAAATTCTAACTTTTCTGACTACAAATTTCCAAAATAATCTGTGCTTTCTTAAACCCTATAAACTGAAAACCAGATGTTTCAGCAGGCACTGCCTCTAGGACCCCGACCCTCACATGAGGAAATAAAGAAATAGGAAATCTTAAGCCAAAAATCATAAAAAAATAAGTAACCAAGTAACAATTACTCATCTTACTCAGTCTCACCCCTACCTCACCAAATACTTTTTGTCATTCTTACCTCTCCTTTTAAGCCAAATATTAAAACTTTTAAATGGTAATTATTACTATGCCACCCTTGTGGGAATTGCTTTACTCACTCTACTATTTGCAATAGGACTATATACTGTAGCACCCTTCAGGTAAATATCAGAGAAACTCAATTACCATAACATTTTGCTTAATTATTATCTTCATAGCAGGAATAATGGTTACCAACAGGAAATAACACATGGGCCTTCCCAAACATGTGCCTCTGCCTCTCATTAGGTGAGGAATGTTTCTATCTCAACCAGTTGGGCCTGGTAAACAGGTAAAACAGAAAAGAAAAGAAAAAGCTGGAATACCAAAACAACCAAATAGGTCTTTGGTTTGGGAACAAAATCATAGCATGGACCATCCCATGCCTGGGCCCTCTCCTAATAATATGCCTAAGACTAATGTTTTTACCCTGCCTAATTAACCTTTTTCAAAGATTTTTAACTGAAAGGATCAGGGCCATTTCACAAACAACTACCGAAAAACATCCACACAAGGCATTGCTCCTACAGTCAATCTGAGACCAGAAAACTCTCTGTGTCCTCATCAGCAGGAGGTAGCCAGAAAGAACACGTCGCCCCTCATCCTTTTTATAACTGTAGGGTCAGGATTGACAGAGCAGGAGCATTGCCATCTTGGACAAGCACTGTCATTTTAAAATTCACCTTGATCAGAAACTGCCTAAATCCAAAGGGCATCAGCCTAATGGCTAAAGTCAGCAACATCCCGTCAACATCTCTTACCAGAAACATTCCAAACCCCTCCCCAATGAGAGACATGCCAGCCCCGAGATAACCTCCTCTCCAGCCAGAAAGACATCAGCCCCAAGATAACCTCCCCTCCACCCAAAGACATTCCAACCCTGCCATAAACTTCTCCCCCACACAGAAACATTCCAACCTTGTGATAAGCTCCTTCACCCTAAAACTAATATATATATATGCTTAGTCTGTAAGAGAGAATGCTTCTGACTGAAATTGGCCAGAAGACCCTCTCTGGTTTATTTCTCTAAAATACATCTGTCTTTGACTGTTGAGCCACATTTCATGTTACTACCCTCTTTCTTTAACTCTTACAGGGATCCCGTTTCTTTTTGGGGGATTACAGTAAGTATAACACAGAAGGATCAAATGCTTCCCTCTGCCACGGCGTATGGAGACAAAGGGCAGTGCAAGATGCAACAGGCTTTGTCTGCTCCTGGTAGGCCTGCCTTTCACACAACTGCTCCAAATAGTGAAGACAATATAATAAGTAAGAGCCAGGAAAAGTCCTGTCTTGGCTGTCCATCAGATAACAATGGAATAGGTGTGGAAGGCTGCTGCTGGCCCTCACCATCGTCTTCACTACTCATAGTCTGCCTTCTTCCCGTTCTCTCAGATCTTCATTCCCCCAACTCAGCTCACTTAACACTTAACAAAGCAAACCCCAGGCATGACTCCTTTTCTCAGCTGCCCTTGGCATTCACATAATTTCCATCCTCTCTGCCCCTGGTGGGAGGGGAGGAGCACACCTGGCCAGCCTCCGGCACGAATTGCTTAGTGCTTGCCCCTCTGTCTCCCTATCACAGCCACAAGTGCCATGCAGATTGCAGTTTTCTGGTTTTCAAGGTCATCTCCACTAACCCAAAGCACATTCCAATGGGTTTCAATTTCCAGCTGCTCCCCTGAGATTCAGGCCACTGTTCACAATGCTCTCTGAATCCAGCCAGTGCCCTGCCTCATTCCAGCAGTCGGGAATGCTCAGCTTTGGAAGCCAGTGAGGTGGGCGGTAAGGTGTTTTATATGCCAAGTTGCCCTGTGTTTAAGAAGATTGAAAAAGGTGTCAGTGTACGTGTGGTGTTCATGTTGGCATTCTCACACATATATTTGAAGAATGTTTGATCTAAGTAAAAGGAATGACAGACTCCAGTTCCTGGAAACCAGGGATTCTTTGGAAGCAGTTCCATGCATTCTTTTTACTCACTGAAGACACTCCACTGAGATGCCTTTCTGGACCTACTAGGGCTGAAGTAGGGAGTGGTTCTGCCTGGGTGTTCTGATACCATCTGTGTATGACTGGCCTACTCCAGGCCCCAAGGCTGTGTCTCATTAAGAGCAGAGCCCCTAATAAGTTCACCTGTCAGTTGAGTGGGCATGTGCTGGACGTAGTGCTCAATGCTAGGGAGACAGACATGAGAGAGGTAGAGATGCTTACACATTTCAACATCATTTAAGGGTGAAGGTGAAGGCTGATATTGTTCCCTACCTGCCCAATATGCTTGTAGTGAATTATTCTGCCAACTTTAAGTATTACTTTAGGGATTGGCACTAGGAGCTTCAGGGGGTGGGAGGTGGTCAGGGGGAACTTCATGTCAAAGCTTCACATGTTATGTTAGGGCAAGATGGTACATTCAGCAAAGGCAGAGCATTAAGTAGATTCTCTGCCAAGGACTTTACAACTATAAGTCAGTGTCCCCACCACTGCTGCAAATCAGGTAATGTTCACTTTAGCTGGCTTTGTTGGGCAAGGGAAGGGACAGTGTGTGACCTTGTAAAAGCTAGTTCACTTTGGCAAGAGGCTGAAAAAGGGTCTGGCAAGACATTTCTCTTGTCAAGAGTAGCATTAGCAAATGTCTGAAATGAGTATCATCTCAAGAATTCAGCTGAAGTAGCTATATTGCTTTCTGTGTTGAAGTTAATAGAGTTGGTAGAAATCACAGACATGACTTCACAGCCTGAGATTCACTGGACTGACACAGCCACTGTTCAATGCTGCTGCAGCCCAGACCAAGCCCTGTATGTATTCTTGATCTTGGCCTCATCTGTGCAGTGGAAAGATAAAGGTATAAGGTGTGGGGAAATCAAACAAAATGAAAAACATGAAGGCTCTTGTAAGATTCAGGGGCTTGTGTGAATGTTAGGAAGCAAGGTGGTTACCGGGTGGTTGTGCCCAAGTGCTGCAGAGAAGGGGCTGCTGAGGGGCATCCTAAAGTCTTGTGTCATAGCTCCTGGGAGCCTAGAAGGAGGAGAGAGGCAGTTGCTGTGCATGTGGCCTGTGTCCTCTGGGATTTCCAGCTCCTGGGGCAGGGTAATGAGGGAGTGAGAAGGCATGGCCTCCCTTTCCTGAGAACAGGAAGAAAGAAGGAACTAGTTCTGCTTCTCTTTGAGGGTGTGCTGTGCGTGGAGTGTGCAGGGCAGAGCTTTGGCATTAACTGGCAGTGGACTTGAGCAAGGCATGACTTTTCTGGGTTTCTGATTCCTTTTCAGTAGGCACTGTCTCTATTGGCTCTGCCCACTTTTATGTCAAGTGATTGTCTAAGAATTTTAAAACCTACTTGGGAAACGTCCATAGCTAAATGCAAAAACAAGAGACCATATTTAAGTCAGCATTAAGTTCTGCAGTTCAGTGGTCATCAGATATCAGGGAGGGAGGGAATCGGTTCCTACTTGGCTCCACTTCTTGATCTTTTACAGCCCTATGAGAAGTATGATGCCCCATGCCCAGTGAGGTGCCAGGTGCCACTAGACCCAAGGAAGGTCTGGAAAACCACTTTCTCGAATAGCTTTGGCTTCACACAAACAAACAAGCATGTAGAGGCATGTGTTATTATGACGTTTAACTGCAGAAGTGTGCAGGTGCCAGAGGATGCAAATCATCTTACACTTTTAAAGCCCAATGTCACTGGCAACAGACCTTAGAAATGAGCCATAGCCTTCATTTTTCAGGAAAGGAAACAGACGCAGGAAAGTGAAGAGATTTGCTTGACTTTGATAGCAAAATTGAAATGAGAACCCAGGATTTGCACCCTTCACTCTCATTTGCAGAAATATTCTGTTTCTAAAATGAAAAAATACTGGCTTCTTTTTGCCATCCTCTCCCCCTTTCCTTAGTCTCAGTCACCCCAGCTACTTTTATTTCTATACCATTAAGTACCTGCCTATCTCCATTCATGCAGAACTCTCATCCTACAGGCTGATGTTGAGGTGGGAGATGAGCTGTTTGAGCCAGGCAGATGACTTAGGCAGCTGGCTGGTTGTTAGGCCTGCCTTCTGCCCTCTTTTGAAATGTCTCATTCCAGTTTTTTTTTTTTCTTAATACATATGTTGGTAGGACAACCTCCTGGCTCTGTGGCTTCACCTGCCTTCTCAGCTTAGGGTTAGCAAATACTGGGTCACCACTGCAGGTGAGAATAGAGTCCAACTTTGTCTTCCTTAGGGAACACTCATACTTCAACAGCCTTTAGATCATTTCCTAAGATCTCATTTATTCTGGTCCAGGGTCCCTTTCTTTTGAGAACTAACTTCCCTCCTTCCTTCCTTCCTTCCTTCCTTCTTTCCTTCCTTCCTTCCTTCCTTCCTTCCTTCCTTCCTTCCATCTTTCCTTCCTTCCTTCTTTCCTTCCTTCCTTCTTTCCTTTCTGCTTTCTTCCTTCCCTCCCTCCCGTCCTTTCTTCTTTCCTTCTTTCCTTCTTCCCTCCTTCCCTCCCTTCCTTTCTTCCTCCTTCTTTCCTTCTTTCTTCCTTCCTTCCTTTTTTCCTTCCCTCCGTTCCTCCCTCCCTCAAGTCAAGTTAGTGGACACCCACACTGTACTGGAAGTGGTCTCTAGCAGACAGACCCTTTACTGGTCCTTGGAAGGCTGGAGACCTCCTGGGAAAGGTGCAGCCTGACCATGAGGAGGAGTCAGCTGAGGAAATGGTGCCAAGGGGATGGGACATGCTGCAGACAGAAGCAGCCATGGCGGAATCTTGGTGTGGCTGGTTGTGTGCAGATGGTGTTGGGAGCTGTGGCAGAATCTATAATTCCCCTGGGCTGTGCTGTGCTTCTGCTCTGAAATCTGTGTGTCTTCTGGACCCGGGACGCTTGCCACAAACTCTTCTCCTTTCTTTACCATGTGGATTCCAGCATGTTTTAAAGTAGCAGAGCGGAGAGACCGGGGTTCTAGTTCAGCTCCGGTACTGACGGTTTCAGTGACTATTGGAAAGTCACTTCACTTCACAGGTCTCAGTTTTCTCACTGGTAAATGGAAGAAGGAAAGGAGTTCACAGCTAAAAGCTGAAGTAAATGTCTCTAGAGTCTTCTTTAAGTTTTAATTTTTTAAAAAAATTTAGAGACGAGGTCATGGCTGGCCTTGAAATCCTGGGCTCGAGTGATCCTCACTCCTCAGCTTCCTGAGTAGCTGGGACTACAGGCATGCCCCACCATCCCTAATGAAGCCTTTTTAGTTAAAAGATCTGAATTTCACAAAAACATTGATCTGCTCTTGAGGAGCCAGGGAGCCTTTTTCATGTACCCACGATTGATCTGAGGCCATAGCTGTTTAGCCTGCTGCTGAAAGAAGTTCTCATAATGAGGGCTGACTGCATATTTTACAGAAATAGAATCGGTGCAAAATAAAATGTGGGGTCCCATGGCAGCCCTTTAGGCCAAGCACAGGCCCTGGGTGACTGCACCAGCTGTGTGCCTACAGAACTGCCCTGCTCAGAGCTACACCAGGGATTTCACAGACTCCAGAAGGTGTGAGAGAGAGTTAGGGCCGTGCTCATGAGAAGAGTATTCCTACCTCAGTGGCCAGAGTTCATGCTAGGATGACAATAGGCCCACAGCCCATCTCATGCCCACCTCTCTATCACCAGTACCTGTTTTAGAAGAAGGGCTGACTTCACTAGTGCTGGTTCTTCCATTTCTCGAGGAAAGATTGCGCTGTTCAATAGGGAGCTTCAGGTTTCCAGAACAGATTACTGACTGTTTTGGAGTCTGCAACTGACCCCAGTGCCCCCTACCTTTGGGGAGAGAGTGGCCAAGCCATTTTGTTCTGTTCATCTGGCCTTCCCCCTCCAATTCCTCATAACAATCTTCTTTCATGCTTCAAAACACAGACTCCATTCTCTGCTCATTACCCTTGGGTGGCATCTTGGGCCATGATAAAGAAAAAGAACTTTCTCAAAATATGCACCAGAGTCCCCTGATATCTTAAGAATTACATGCAACCAGAGATGTTGAGTGATTCTCACCTGTATCACCTAAGAGTGGGAGATTCTCTTCTGAATTCAATTTTCAAAAGCAGATTTTCATTTTTTTTTGTTGTATAAAAATGCTCTGAGCATTGCATGATTTCAGGTTTTGGATCTAATTCCCAGTCCCTTTATAACCTTGGCAGCTGGGCTTCACCTTCATTAGCCTTTCCCTTTCCCTGCTCATTGGCCTCTCACAACCCCACTCCCTCTTCATATCACACAAATCAGTTCATTCTCAGCCCCATACACCCCATGTGTCTTCTCTTTTTTTCCAGTTTTCAACACGATAATCCAGCTTCTTCAGCTTCATTGACACATTAAAAAGTCATCTTTGAATTCGTTCTTACTTTGCCATTCAAAGCATTCTGTTCCCTGACTCCCCAGCCCTTCTTCGCTCCATTCTAACAGTTGAGTTTGCTTGTGTTTTATCCATCCATCCATCCATCCATCCATCCATCCATCCATCCATCCATCCACCCACCTACCCATGTGCCTATTTTGAATCAGGCACTGGGGACAGAGAGATGACATGATGAATTACTGTCCTCGTGACATGGCAGCTTAGGGGTGGGGAACAGGATATATACAAGAAAAATTAGTAGCAGTGCAATTAAATATGCACAAGGCACAGAGGCTGTAAAAAGAGATGTTTGGATGGTGAATAAGGAGCTGGGAAGGCAATAAGGTGCTGGCAAGAGATCTGGGGACCCTTTAAGCAGAAGGAATGCTGTGCACCGGCCTGGGTGGATGTAAAAGCATGCTGCATGTAGGAAGCGCTGTTTGGAAAATTGTTGAGGCACAAAGTAGGAGAATCTGGGGATAGGGCAGGGATTTGTGAGAATTAGTCTGGACTATTGGGCAGGGCCCAGGGCTTCAGAGGCCCTCTATGTTATGCTAAGGCTCTCAGGCTCATCCTGACAGTCCTGGGCCTCCACCCAGTGGTTGGTTTTAGGGAAGGTCATGACATGGTGAGACTAGTTTGGAGAGACAACTCTGGCAACACTGCTGAGGATACGTTTCACGGGTGACTCTCCAAGACAGGGAGGCCTATGGGGTGTAAAAGTAGGAATGACATTACCAGGGAGGAAGACGACACATTCAAGAGGTGTTGTGGAGGTAAAGTTGGTAGCGCTGAATGATAGGTGGTAGGAGTGGGGACTGCCATCTAGGTTTCTGGCTTGAGAAAGTGGGTGCATGAGAGTTTTGTGCCCACACCCAGTGCTGTCTAAACTAGTGGCCATTCTGCCTCAGGCCTACCTCGGTTGCCCCTGTCTTCCATTTTGTTACCAACATATAAATCAGGCCTTCATTTCTTACCTAGATTCTTGAAGTATCCTCAGCATCTCTTTCAGTCCATCCTACGAAATACTGCCATCATAATCTTCCAGGGACAGCTGAACAATTCCCATTGCATAGTGAATGATGTCCCATCTTTTAGTATCACCATCAATATTTACAGCTAGAGGAGACATTCTTTTTCCTTGGAGTCCAATTTTTGAGAGAAGATGAGGCATATTATATGTGAAGTAATTGAATGTCAAGTGGTCTTTAAGAGGGGTCACAGAATTCCTACTCTGAAGGCAACTGAAGGAAGGAGGCAGGGTGTCTCCAGGGGTGATCATGAGTGATCATGGTCTGTGCCCATCATTTTTTTCCAGGTGCATCTTCCACTTCTCCCCTGGCCTTGTGCTCTCTGGTCTGGTTTCATTGTTGCCTAAAAGTGACCCCTTTTCCCACCTGGGTCTTTGCAGACTGCATTGCCTCTGCCTGGAATACTTTCACTCACATTCCTGTCTGTTGAAATCCTACCCATCTTTTGATATCCAGTCCAAATGCAAGAACCCCATGAATGCCCAGGGGAATGGATCCTCCAGAAGCACTATCCTCTCTTATGACACCGCACATTTACTGTGCACAGCATCTAACATGTCTCGTATTTTATCTCCCCCACTGGACCGCTAGACCAGGAGCAGAAGTGGAAAATCGGAGGCCTTAAGCCTGGGGTCAACCTTTGAATGTGTTTTGTTAATTTGCATATTTTTCCCTCACAGAATTTAATTTTTTTAAAAAATCATGACCTGTGTTAAACATACAGAAAAACTGAGAATATTATATAATAATGTATATTTGGGACTTATCACCAAGAATGAACAGATTTGCTGCTGACACCTCGCCACCCACTTTTTAAGATACAAAATGTTACACATACAGTTTGAACACTAGCCCACATATCCCTCCCCTGGAGCTGGTCTTCACACTGCTTTTTCAAATTTAGGGTTAGTCACTAATATTTAGAAATGAAAAGATTTCACATAAGAGTTGGACTTTGGCCACTTTTCTGCAAGATCTCTCTAGGCCACTGTGGGCTCCCCACTCCATCCCTGGCCTGGGAGCCTGCCTGTCGGGTCCATGGCTGAGTCTTGCACCTGAGCTCCTCATCTGCCCTCTGTACACGTTTCCCAGAAGGCGGGTGGGCATCCTCATGTCCCTCATCCTCCTCTTCACCACTGCCCAAACTGTGCCCCCTGCCTTGGAACCAGGAATCCAAGGCCTCCTTCAAGCCCCACTGGCTCCTGTGGCTTTTCCCAGTGACTTCAGCTCAGCTCCATTCTCTGTACTCACATATACCTAAACCCTTAAGCTGGTGGCTGAGCACTTGCCTGTGTTTTCATTCATTCCTTTGCCAGGTACCCTGCAGAGCCACCCCGGTGGAGAAAAGACACCTAAAAGTCCGTGCTGGGTCAGGTTTCCTTCCTTGTTCTTCCCTCTGAGACTTTGCTGCCGCTGTGTGGTGAGTCTCGTGAGGTGCAGCAGAGTTTGGTGCAGGAGCTCCGCCAGCCTCACACCCTCAGGTATAAGAAGTGATGGCACATTTTGTTGGCCACAACACAACAAGGCCTTATTGCTTGTTCAGTTGAGAATCCTGGCCCATCCGATTCCCTCGTCTCTTTCTTTAAGCAACCCTTGCTGCCCGTTGAAAATATGTCCTTTTCTTTACCTTCCCTGTGAAAAGTGCCCTGGTGGTTTTATAGGCGTGGGGTTTCGCAAGGCTGAAAAACCAGGGGGAAGGGCTCTTTCCTCAGATTCCACCACTCTCCTTTTCTTCCCATTCTATTTGACATTAACATACGGATGGTGTGCATGCCTTTCAAGAGCTGGACAGATGCTGGCTCTTGCATTTTGTGCAGTGGCCGGGGAAGGATGGGTGTTCCATTTTCCACGTTACCCCACTGCCTGGGGCCACACCCCCTGATGCTAGTGCTGATCATCTGTCCCTTGTGGTTTTGACGATGGTGGAAACCTGTTCATCTGGGCCAGAATATGGTTTCCTTTACTCTACAGGATGAACACTGAAACTAATTCCTTTGTGGTAATCAAATTCAACTGATTAATGATCTGTAAATTTCCTCTGTAAGAAAGAAGTCATCTTGATGTTGTGTATTACTCTAATCATGCTGTGATACATCCAGGTCCAGAGGAGATAGCTTCCCCTCCCCACACTGTTGACCCACAGCAACCTCCTCACCTGCTTCCGCTCAATTCTGTCCCTGATGCCCCTGACAGTGTTTCTTTTGACTGTGTTTTTGTTGGTTGCTTAATAACTATGTCATCATTGAAGTCCCCAAACTTATATTGATTGGCCTCATCTCTTCATGGAAATTGAGACAAATGAGAGGACCAGTGATTAAAGGGGAGATAGAGAGAAGAAAGTGGCTAAGGAGATGGAAGAATGAAGGAAGAACAGATGTAATTTAAAATGAAAAAGAGAAAGGAGAGAGAGACCATTAAATCTGGGGATATGGGATAGTAGACTTCTACTTTGAGGCTGAATAGAAGGTATATTTTGGGGAAAGTTCACACTTGTTTTCTTTACTTGCCCAGGAACCCATGATGTGGCTTCATTGGGTGATTGGAAGGGTGAAATGCAGGGTTATGAATAACCAGAATGATCAACACACATATAGCCAGGTGTGTTCTACAGACCTTCAAGGAAATTGGCACTGAAGGTGGAGGCTGGATGCATTTTTGCTTCTCTCTGCCCTGCTCAGGGCCATTTGCTAAGGCATGCAAACCCTTCCAGATACTCCTCGAGGATTCTCCTGGATTCTAGAGAGTCCCCTGCAAGGGACTGGGCAAGAAGGAGGTAATCCAAGGTAGCCGGGGCTCTCCCATAAATCGGCACCCCATGCTTCAGTGCTCTGCTGTACCACGGACAAGACCAGTTCAGGCTGTGTAATTGGGTGGAAAGATAAGGACTTTCAAGGCCAACTCCCTCATAGCAGGCCTAGTCACTAATCAGTGTGACTGTGCACAAGTTTCCTTGCTAATAAAATGGAAATTGTCACTCTACCTCATAGATTTCTGATGAGTATTAAATGAGATAATATATGTCATATGTAGGTTATGTTGTACATGTGTGAAACATAGTAGAGCTTATTCATTCAGTCTTCATCCGCCCTCCCTGACCCTCCCACTACTCTGCCCACCTCCTAACCCCTGTTTCAGCCTACTCTTCTAAATGAGAGATGGTGATACCTGGAAATGTAAAAGAAAGGAGAAAAGTATGTATTAACAGTAACCACACTTTTCTCCACTTTAAGCATTAAATCATTTATTACTCTTTTCATTGAACTCTGTGAAGAAATAGGAGATTTAAAAGAAAAGAAATCCCTTCTCATTTAAGAGGGGAAATGGAGCTATAGTAGTCGAAAGAGACCCTCAAGTTAAAAGAGATCCCAAATTGTTCAGAATCAGGCCACGAGATTTGGTAACAGCAAATCACCTTGTGTGTCCTCTGGCATGTGATTAGGACAGAAAGCTTTTGGTTAGGCCACTGACTGCACAGGTTTTGATGGCACAGGAAGATAATAAGTTGGCTATTGTGTGAAAGGGAGGCAACAGGATCTGGGCTTGTGCCCTTGTCACCTTCTGTATGAAGCCAGGAGGATGGAGCTTGATGACATCGCCTAACAATACCCACATGCACATCTCTGTCATCCTTAAATCACTGAGTCTTGGACTTTAGGGTCTCCTTGTTCCAGTCCACAAGGGAACCAACCCACTCCATGGTTTTCTGCTGGGCTTCCTCCCAGCTGTAAATTGGCTTATACGCCAGATCTCGCTGAGCCTTCTTGTAAGAGAAGGTGACCATGCTGTTGGACAATGTCACTGTGTGGCAGTTGAAGGGAGGTCAATAGGTATAAATTGACCTGAGCAGGAAGCTCACTATTTCCAGCAGGAAGCCAATTCAGTACCTCAGGGCTAAAGGAAGCCTCCATCTGGAATCAAGGCAGAGGCCGAACTCTTTGCTCAGGGCGTAATTAAGGTTATCATAGCTTTGGTGAGGCGTGTCATCTGAGATGTAGTAGAACTGTCCTCAGACACTTGGGACCTTCTTGGGGCCCCACAGGGCCTCAAGGCCAGAATGTGGGCCCAGCCCACATAGACTGGGTTGGTTGTGGAGAACTTTCCAACAGTTGACAGGATCGCATTGTTTTTCAAGGCCTTATTTATATTGTCAGTAAGAAATGGGCTTCCTTCCCCATAGATATGCATTGAGCTTAAGGCACAAGTGTACAACATGCCAGCATTTTTCAGAGTCCACACATTAGCCACCAGCACAGCCTTCTCAGCAAGTTTTTGCTGTATGGATATGGAGCAGACCATGTGTTTTCCAGATGCTCTTGTTTGTGTCGATTCTGGAAAATCTCTTTGTAGGAGTTGGGCCAGGCTACCTGTATGCTGCTGGTATGGATGAAGACTAGCACACTAGCTTGGACACAGGCCTCCAACAGCTGTTGGGTACCTGCCCATGAAGAGCATGCTGTCAATGTCAGGAAATATCCCTAAGGGGGACCAACCACGTGAACAGATCCATGTGTCTCACTCCCCACTCCCAAGTTCAGTGGTTGTAATAGACTCGAGGTACATTCTTCAGTGGATCTGACTGAGATTGGGTCATGCTACAGCCATAGGAAAAACACAAAAATGAAAATCCTACTGGAAAGGCTAAGTGAGGTCTTAGTAAAGCACACCTCTCTATCTCCTGCCTCAGTCGAGAGACATCTAAACGATAAATTTATTACTCAGGCAGCTCCTGTCATCAGGAGGAAGTTGCAGAAACAGGCTCTGGGATCAGATAGTACATTAGAGGAGCTCCTGAAAGTGGCCATCTCGGTCTTTCCTCATAGAGACAGAAAAGCCCAGGAAAGAGAGAGGAGATACAGAAAAAAACCAAAAGCTTTACTGGCCTTGGTGCAAGCCCACAAACCCCAGAATTCCTGGGGTGCATCTGTTAACTGCTAAAGATATGCCAAGAACAGTTATGTCTCTTCTAAAGTTTAACCAGTCCAGGGTGAAACAGCTCGTACAATGTTGTTAGTATATTTTACTTCTTGTCTCTGTAATCTTTGGCACTAAATTCTTTCCTTGTTTAATACACATGTTTAATTCTGTGCCTGTTAAAAAGGCCCAAGATTCTAGCAGACACACACAAGCTGCTGGATGTCAAGAGGAGCAGATCAGGGGAAGAAGACAGAAGCAGCTAGATGTTGAGGGAAGCACATCAGTGAAGAAACACAGGGCAGCTGGATGTTGAGAGGGATGCACTGACCAGCAGAAGGATGCAGAGTTTGGCCAAGCAGTTAGGGAAGTGTCAGGCCACTGAGCAGCACACTCCGGGGGAAAACCATTCTATTCTGGCTTCCTCCATCTGCTGAGAGCTACCTCCACTCAATAAAAGCTTGCACTCATTCTCCAAGCTCAGGTGTGATTCAATTTTTCTGGTACACTAAGAGAAGAACCCAGGATATAGAAAGCCCTCCGTCCTTGTGGCAAGCTGGACGGTCTAAGGTCTAATTGAGCTGGTTAACACAAGCTGCCTATAGACGGCAAAACTAAAAGAGCAAAACTAAAAGAGCACCATGTAACACATGCCCACTGGGGCTTCAGGAGCTGTGAACATTTGCCCCTAGATGCTGCTTTGGAGTTGGAGCCCTCCAGCCTGCTCATCCGTATGCTCCCCTAGTGGTCTGAGCAGGGGCACTGAAGGAGGGAGCCACACCCCCATCACACGCACTGTGAAGGGGACAAGGGATTTTTCCCATTTCATTCTCATCAGTGTACAACAAGATTTAAAATGATGACTATAGTGGCACTTGGAAGATTTGATTCTGGCCCACAGAGGCAAGGGGTGGCTGGATATCAAGAGTCTGAAGTCGGAGTTTAGCTGAATTTGATTGGAGCCACAGTAGAAAGAGCATCCACAGCCTTTGGAGTCACACAGGGGTGAGTTTAAAGTCTCATTCTCCTACTTACTTACTTACCTGGGGGGCCTTGGACAAGTTACTTGCCATCTCTCAGCCCTAGTCTTCTCATGTAAAAAACTGAAGGTAGCAGCTTTGAACTCCCCCAGTTGGTAGTGATTAGCAAAGACACTTGGCCCAGAGCATAGCAGGTGTTCAGCGGAGGGACTTCTCTTCCTTCATTGTTTATCTTTCTGATCCTTGTTTGCTCCACCTTGCTCCATCTCCTCCTCAGGCTACTGTACCTTTCACGTTGAAGTTCATGATAGACTCTCTGTGAGTGACACCGAAGATGTCAATGATAGAGGCGGTGTGGATGACTACCGAGATGTCCTGGCAGGCTCTCTTCAGGCATGACTGATCCAGAATGTCTCCTTCTAGCACTGTCATCTTGGTCTTGTTCTGGAGCTCTGCAAGAACATAGGTCAGGTCATTGGAAGGGTTTCCGAATCTGGCTTGGAAGTTTCCTGATAAAGATGATGTTACATAGGTGTTCGAGGATGGTTAGAGTTGGGTTGTTAGAGTGGAGGATGTACACTCCATGGAAGGAACAATTAAACAAAGGCACAGAAGTCAGCACGTTTAGCAATTTTTTGGGAAAGAGCAAACATCTGTTTCTACCCCATCTCATTTCAGAAAAGTAATCTGAGCAATGAGCTGTCAGGTGTGCCTGGAATATAAGCACGGCTAGGGTCATGGGAGACTCACCAAAATTTTTAAGGAGAGTAGGGTGATTGTGGAGAGTTGGGTATAAGAGGGAAAAGTTTGAATTTAATTCTGTAGGTAATGCAGAATTGTGATTTTCGGTCTCCAGCACCATGTCACAGAAAACCCCTTATTTATATTTGGAACAAGTAGAGAAACAGGCCAGGGGTGGTGGCTCACACCTGTGATTCTAGCAATTTGGGAGACTGAGGCAGGTGGATCGCTTGCATCCAGGAGGTTGAGACCAGCCTGGACAACTTGGTGAAACCCCGTCTCTACCAAAAATACACAAATTAGCCAGACATAGTGGTGAATGCCTACACTCCCAGCTAATAAGAAGCCTGAGGTAGGAGGATGGATGGGTCCCAGGAGGTGAAGGTGGCAGTGAGCAGAGATCATGCCTCTGGACTCCAGCCTGGGTGGCACAGCAAAATCCTGTTTCAAAAAGAAAAAGAAAAACAGAAGCAGAATTGTAGTGTAGGAAGTTAACCTTGCCTCAAGGATATAAAATGGACTGGTATAGGGGATATGAGAAAGCCAGGGGATCAAGAGATTAATCAGAATGTCTGTGCCAAAGTTTAGATGAGGACTGGAAGCGGGGTCCAGCAGTGGAAGCAGAGGAGGAGAGAGATACACCAGGTTGGAATTTCAGACCTCACCTTGAAGGTCCTGGTACCTGTTGGATCTTGGCTGAGAGGAAAAGGAGAAGATAAAATCACCCCTATGGTTTCCTGCTTGAGCAACTGGGAGGAGAGTGGAGCCATTACTAGCGAATTGCAGAAGAGTTTAAATAATGAATTTTTTTGAAAATTCTTATTGGATATTATCAAAGGAGGTACAAATGCTGAAAATGAGTCAGTCACCAATGAACTAACATCCAGCTGTGTAGCCCAGGGCAGCAGTTACAACATCAATGTCTTCAGGCTCCTCTGAAATCCACAGGTAGTGATGCTGCCAGTAAAGTTGTCACCTGGAATTAGCCCACAAAATGAACACCATGCTACATGGAGCTCAGATAAATACTTTACACTCATTTGTGCTTTATAATCTGCATACAGCTCACAGCTTGCTTATTTCCTTTTACAGCTGTCTCATGAGGTAGGTGTTCTGAATCCCATTTTATTGGTGAAGAAACTGGGGCTCAGAGAGGTTAAGGGACAGATTAAAGGTCACGTTTCTAGTGAAGGCTCAAAGTTGCCCACCCCACCTCCAAGTCTTGTACCCTGTACACCAGGTGCAGGAATAGCTGTTTACAATCAACTTTTCTGAGAAAGAGTAAGAATAAGTCAGTTTAACTGAAATTGGCAACAAAGGCCAAAGAACAGTGAGAGTAAAATTCAGAGTGAAAAATTCAAAGCAGGAGAAATTCCTTCCTGGGATACAGGTGGGACCATTTGCTCTCCTGATGCCTCTGCCTTGTTTTGTCTACTCCCAGCCCCTTCCCACTGTCAGGCAACTCCAAGGAGGCCCTGGAATGGGGGAGGCAGGGAAGAGGCTGCTGGGGAGGAGGTGGGTGACAGCCTGAGAGTGGAATTTTCTCTGGTAGTATTTCCACCTCTGTACTTCCTGCTCCCTTCATCTGCTTCCCATTTGCTGCCAACTTCAGACTGGCTCAAAGGAATTGTCATTTCAAAGCTGAAGAAGTCTAAAGCCAAGAGAAAATGACTCTTCCGCAGTGAGTTCACAGGGAACTAGAGAGACCAGGAAAGGGGACTTTGTGGATGGAGCCATTGCTCCCTCCCTCCTCAAGCTGCTAGACGAACTACTGCTTAAGAGCACAGATGCTGCACTAGACCACATGGGTTCAAATCCAACTTTGCCATATTCTAACTGTGGAACATTGGACAAGTTCATTAATCTCTCTCTGACTGTTTCCTCATCTGTAAGAAAGGAGGCTAATAACATTAACAATCTCATAGGGCTGTTATGAGCAGCAAATGAGTGGGCACATGCAAACCATGTAGCACAGTGCCTGGCACAGAAAAAACACTGAAAGGATTCTCTGTTTTTATCTTCATACAGTCTTTTGCCCATCCATTATACCCCTGCATTTTCACCACAGGGGAATTGTTCCTCTAGGCTAAGCATTGCTTTTTCTTTGTATTACGTGTTAGAGTGCAAATATTGGTGAGACATAATGATTACAATCATTTAAAATTCATGAAGTGTTAATATTTGTTTATCAAAGACACCATTAGAACAGAGGGTGGAGGAAATCAGAAGAGGTCAGAGAAGAGTGAAAGAAGAGTAGAGTGCTGGGTGTGGTCCCTGAGTGCTGTCAAGTGGGGACTCTTCTGTGGGCAGCACATGACCCTCTGCACAATCAGAGCCCACATGTAGATACACAGTCCTCCCAATCCCATGGGATGGGGAGGAGGACAGGGAATTGGACACACAGGGAGGCAAAAGGAGAGACTGAAGACCCATTTTGCCAAGTGTCAGCCCCAGGGCCAAGTGAAGCCTCTGGATGAAGCTTTGGTCTGAGCTCTGCTACACATTAATCAGATGGCCTTGGCAAATCGCTTTGTTTCTGGACCTTGATGCGTTCATTGTCCACTTGGATATCACCCCTTTTCTACCACCTTCCTCATAGTGTTATTTGCACAAGGAGTTGCTACAACAAATTCTGCAATTGCAGGGTGGGGGTGGGGGGGGGGCGGGTATTGAGCAACAGAGACAAATGGTTTTTAAAAAAAAGCCATATGTGAGAAATGAAAATGAGGCATGCCTGGCCTTATACTGCCTCTTACTCTGTCTCTGCTCTGTGCTGTGTGCTTGTGCACACTGTCTCCCTCTCACTGCTGCTCTCTCTCTCACTCTTTCTCATTCGTTCTCCATCTTTCTCATTTTCTCTCTCTGATTTTTCTCTCCCCTTCATTTTCTCTCTCTTTCTCACTCTCTGACATGCACACACAGGCACATATGCACACACATACACACACTTAAACACTCATCTTTACCTCCGCTTCCTTTTATTTTACCTCCACTAAAGATGCTGAGGATGCTATGAAACAAAACAAAGCTTGGGGCAGTCTAGACAGGCAGGGACCCACTGGTGAGGTCTCCAGGTAAATGCTGTCCTTTGTGAATGATGTAAAGCAATTGCCAAGACAAAAAGCTTCAGAGCATAAAAGACTTGTAGACAAGAATGAGAACTGATGTGGGATTTTCTAGATGAAAAGAGGCCTGGAGGCTGAGGTGGCTGCCTCTCAAGTTCTGGGTCAGGGCCAGAATCCAGTCTCTGGACAGCCTGTCCAGTATCTTTCACACTATGCCATTTTATACTATTTAATTTTCTTTTTTTGATGACTTTGGATGTGGGATTGGCTTAGGTTTGGCTACAACTTGCCATAACTTGCCAGAAAAGCTCCACCTTCCCACACCCATGCAAGGTTTAAAATGTAGCCACACACCCATGACTCAAGTTTACTTACTAGAAAATTTCTCCCTCAATCCTGATCTGAAGGCCTTGTCCAAGGCCCTGATCTCCTTTAGCTCCTTCTCCTTCACCAAGAGGTTGACAATCCTCTGACCCGGAAACCCTCCTGCTCCTGTCACAAGGCAGCTCCAGCCCATCATGGCCAATCCAAGATTGCAGGAAACACTCGCCAGGAAATAGAAGATCCTGGGGAGCAGATCTTATTCTAGGGTGACCATGGAGAGGACTAAAAACAGAGGTAAAGTGGTTATAGACTTGCACAGATGCCTTATTTTCCTCCACCACATTGTTTGCAAAAATTCCATGTCCCCACCACTGCCAAGAGTAGCTGAAAGAAAATGAAAAAGCTTTCACCATTAATTAAATGGTTAAAAGGCTGGACAGAAGAGTCAAGGTGCTGGCCACTTCATTCCCTAAGGCAGCCCTGGAGCTTTATGCTCTGTGGCTCCTAGCTTGTCCCTTATCACTCTGAACTCATGCCACATACTCATTGCTCCCATCTCCTCCGGCATCCCTTTTCTCAGAAGAATAGTGACCTTTAGGTTATATCTCTAATTCTTCCCAGGAACAGGAAGAGAAATCCAATCCTAAGGCCACTCTTCGAAAAAGATTAAGTGGTAAAATGTGTGGTAAAGAGTCTGTGGAGAAGAGTGTGGTAAAGAGTCTTAGGTTTAGCCTTAACAGGACGCTGGTCAGTTCATACCAGCTGTCTGGGATCTGCAATCTGTGAAGTTAAACTAGACTGGGAGATATCTCCAAGTGCAATGTGAACTTTGCCTTTGTGCAGTAAATATGTTTGGAGGGGAATCCACATTAGCACATTATTTCCTGTCTGAGTGTCATTTGAAATGTTGCTATTATCTTGTAAAGTTTAGAAATTTGCAATGGTGACAGCTCCAATCACTTAGTTTTATGTGAGGTGACTTTCTTTCCTACTGAATATATCCAAGACCTCAATTGCAACTTTCCCCTGAAGAGCTCTGGGTTACTAGATGAAGAACATCATTGAAGGAAAGGTATCTATTGATAACTGCTTAATAATATGGCCCGTACCACAAGAGTGGAGATTGTAGTTGTTTGCCCCAATGACTCTTGTCATAGATGTTTGAACTTATGCCATATTTTTGGCTGCAAAACCATTTTCAGCAAATTCCTGAACTGAACATGCTGTGAGTGCTTCTGAAGCCTATGCATTAGAACTGCCCAAATTTACCCACCGTAAGCTCCTGAGACACTTTCTTTACTTAAAAAAATGTAATTTGTATTCATTAAACTGCCCAGATCTCAAGTGTTCAGTCCAGTGAAACTTGACAGTTATGTATGCCCGTGTAAGTACCATCCAAAAAAACAGAGGCCATTTTCTTCTTGAAAAGAAGTTCTTAGTTAATTCCTTGCACTGTACCCAACCTACTTGGTAGACAACTACTTTCTGATTTTTATTCTCATAGAATTCTTATTTTATTCCCATATTTTCCTAACTTTTTATTTTAAGATTTCTGTGGTTCTGGATACATATTTAAATATAAAATCATTCTGAAATGAAGTTTTGTTCATGGAGTATAGAAAAATTGACCATTGATTGTCTCTATTGTTTGTTCATTTTTTATTTCATGATTTTCTTTATTATTGGCTTACATTTATTAATTTTGTGTTTATTTTACAGTTATTTTTCAGTATTCTTATGATGAAAATATAGATAATTGACTTTACTCCTTTGTTCATTTCCACTATAGGCATTTAAAGTTGTAAATTTCTCTCTAAGCACTATGTCAGCTGTAGCCAACATTTTGATGCATTATCATCACTCAGTTACTGATGTTTTAAATTTTTTCTTGTGAGTTCATCTACGACCAAAGTGTAATTCAGATTATGTTGCTTGTTTTCTAAGACTGGGGGCTTTCTAGATATCTTTTTTTTTTTTTTTTTTTTTTTTTTTTGAGACGGAGTTTCGCTCTGTCGCCCAGGCTGGAGTGCCGTGGCAAGACCTCAGCTCACTGCAAGCTCCGCCTCCCGGGTTCATGCCATTCTCCTGCTTCAGCCTCCAGAGTAGCTGGGACTACAGGCGCCCGCCATCACGCCCGGCTATTTTTTCTATTTTTAGTAGAGATGAGGTTTCACCGTGTTAGCCAGGATGGTCTTGATCTCCTGACCTTGTGATCCGCCCACCTCGGCCTCCCAAAGTGCTGGGATTACAGGTGTGAGCCATCTATATATCTTATTGTTGCAGATTTCTAATTAAATACTATTGTGGCCATAGCATATTCTCCACATGATTCTGATCCTTGGATATACATTGAGACTTATTTTATGGTGCAGCAAATAGTCTATGTTGGTGAAAATGCCATAAGCATGTGAAAAGAATGCTTTTTGCAGTTGCTGGAAATAATACTCTACAAATGATTTGGTTTGAAACCCCACTCTGGGTCTTGCCCTCCTCCCATGTTGTAGACATTCATCTGCTACTTGGGGTCTGACTACCAATGCTTCAAACCCACTTGCCTAGGAAAGGTTGGCCCTGTGCTGGAAGATGTAGCAGCTGGTTCTCTGAAACTATCGGAACTAGCTACAGGCCCTGGGTCTTGCTGAGACTTGTGGAGCACTATCTGAAACCACTCAGGTGCATCGCATGCCTTTGTCTGCTGTATCAGATGCTGGAGTGTACCTTATAGATACCCCATCACCTTCAGGGTGGGGCCGGACATTCCCTCAGCTGTTGAGAGTTCTGGAGGCTGATAGATTTCAGCCAGTGTCTCTTGGAATCTCTGAGTGGAAGCAATAAATATAAGCCCTGAAGAAAGTGAGAAATTAAACAAAGGGCAAGACAGATGGGGCCCACACTACTAAACTTTTTTGTTTTTAAACAGCTTTACTAAGGTATAATTGACATATCATAACATTCACCTTTTTTAAGTGTACAGTTCAATTATTTTTAGTAAAATTTTAGACATGTGTGACCATTACCACGACCCTGTTTTGCAACATTTCTATCATTCCTAAAAAATCCCTCATGCTTATCAGTTGCCACCTTTTCTTCCCACTCCCCAACTCAAGGCAACCCTTAATTGACTTTCTGACTCTACAGATTTGCCTTTTCTGGACACCATATAAATAGAATCATGCAATATGTGGTCTTTTGTATCTGTCTTCTTTCACCTAACTTAATATACTTTTGTGTTTTATCTATGTTGTAGCACATATCAATATTTCATTCCTTTTAGGTGTCAAATCCTATTAAATTGTATTGATAGTTCCCATTTGTTTGTTCATTCATCTGTTGATAGATATTTGATGTGTTTCCACTTTATGGACTGTTATGGATAAAGCTGCTATGAATATTCATTCACATTCATGTGTTGTGTGGACATAGGTTTTTATTTCTTTTGGGTAAACAGCTAGGAGTGAAAGTGCTAGGTCATATGGTAAATGTATCTTCAAAGTTTTTAAGAAACTGCCAAACTGGTTTTCAACATGGCTGCATGTCCCATCGACAATGCATGAGTAGTTTGATTTTTCCACATCATTGTTTTTTCACTTCCTCCAGTTGCTTCTGTCCTTTTTTATTATAGCATTCTAGTGGGTAAGAAGTAATGTCTCACTGTAGTTTCAGTTTGCATTTCCCTGATCACTAATGATGCTGACTATCTTTTCATGTACTTTATTGGCTATTCCTACACCTTTTTGGTGAAATGGCTATTTAAATATTTTGCCCATTTATAAAATTAGGTTATTTATCTTTTCGTTGTTCAGTTGTAAGTGTGTTTTATATCCTGGATATAAGTCCTTTATCAAACATAGAATTTGATATTTTTTCTCAGTCTGTGGCTTATCTTTTCATTTTCTTATTGTTGTCTTTAAGTGCAAACATTTTTAGTTTTGATCATGTTTCATTTTTCAACTCTTTTTTTAACCAGGAAAAGTTGAGTTTTTGTCTAATTCAGGATCATGAATACGCTAACCTATGTTTTCTTCTAAGAGGTGTATAATTTAGCCTTTACATTTAAGCCTATAATTTATTATGAGGGAATTTTTGCCTATGTCTGTGTTAATGGCCTGGATTCATATGGCCAATTGATTTTGACAATAGGAAATCCAATGGGGGAAAGCATAGTCTTTTAACCAAGTGATAATTAGACAACGGAATTGTCCACATGCTCAGGGAATGTCAGCCTGCTGTATCAAGTGATGCTCATCTGAGTCACCACCTATTGGCATCTGAGCATGTGAAGAATTTCTCAGTGTGATAATTATGGGTTAAATAATATGCTGTAGCTTTCTGCTTCTCCCATTTGACAGACAGCATCATCTTCTCGTGCAGAGCCAGCCACATCCCTGAGGCACCATGGTGAAAATGAAGGCCTAAGTCAATGGATTTGGCTTTATTGGGTGCTGGGTCACCAGGGCTACTTATAACTCTGATAAAGTGAATATTCTCACCATCAATCACCCCTTCATAGAGCTCAACTACATGGTCTACATGTTCCAGTATGAGTCCACCTATGACAAATTCCATGGCACCATCAAGGCTGAGAACAAGAAGCTTGTCATCAGTGGAAATCCCACCACCATCATCCAAAAGCTAGATCCCACCAAAATCAAATAGGGTGATTCTGGAACTGAGTACATCATAGAGTCCACTGGTGTCTTCACTACCATGGAAAAGGCTGGAGATCACTTGCAAGGTTGAGCTAAAAGAGTCATCATTTCTGCCCCCTCTGCTGATACCCCCATGTTTATAATGGGTATGAACCATGAGAAGTATGAAAACAGCCTCAAGAACATCAGCAATGCCTCCTGTACCACCAACTGTATAGCACCTCTAGCCAAGATGATTCATGACAACTTTGGAATAGTGGAATGACCCATGACCACAGTCAGCGCTATCGCTGCTACCCAGAAGACTGTGAATGCCCCTTCGTGAAACTGGCATCATGGCCGCAGAGATCTCATCTTTGCATCTACTGGCGCCGTCAAGGCTGTGGGCAATGAGATCCATGGGCTGAACGGGAAGCTCACTGGCATGGCCTTCCATGTACCCACCACCAATATGTTGGTCATGGACCTAACCTGCCATCTGGAAAAACCTGCCAAATATAACATCAAGAAGGTGGTGAAGCAGACATCAGAGGATCCCCTCAAGGGCATCCTGTGCTACACTGAGCACTAGGTTGTCTACTTCAGCTTAACCATTGACACCCACTCTTCCACCTTTGATCCTGGGGCTGTCATTGCCCTCAGTGACCACTTTCTCAAGCTCATTTTCTGGTATGACAATGAATTTGGTTATAGCAACAAAGTGGTGAACCTCATGGCCCACACGGCCTCCAAGGAGTAAGATCCCTGGACCACCAGCCCCAGCGAGAGCAAGAGAGGAAAAGAGAGGCCCTCAGGTGCTGGGGAGACTCTGCCACACTCAGTCCCCCACGACACTGAGAATCTCCCCTCCTCACAGTTTCCATGCAGAACCCCTGAAGAGGGAGGGGCCTAGGGAACCCCACCTTGTCCTGTACCATCAATAAAGTCCCCTGTCTGTGCTAGGCCAAAAAAAAAATGCTATATTAGGAAAACTCACAAAGATTACTGATCAGAAAAAGAATAGATAGCATGATTTCTCTATTCTCTTTTTTATGCTAATGCATAAATTGTCAAGAAATGATGGGCTCACAACGGCAATCTGCATTCCAATGTAGGAACACTAGTCTCCCTTATTATAATTTTTTTTTTGTCATGTAAGCAGAAGGACACAGCTTTAACAATGGAGGAACACACAGGCTGTTGGTGTGAAACAGTCTGGATTTAGGTGCCAACTGTTCACAAGATGGTGAAACTCAACTGCCCAGCACCTAGAGTCCTTGGGCCTCATGCAAAGAGTTTTCCTTTTCTTAGGGGATAAAGCCACCCATTGTACAGGGAGCTATAGTAGGCACAGCCCCTCATGTTGGGAAAAGGAAATCCCTCTTTTAGGCCAGCTTATTAAATTTCTGTGTTACTTTAGGATAATGACACCCCTTGTGCTATAGTCCTAGAGAGGTCAATTTGGACATGAGTAGCACAGAATAATTTTTAAAGGCACAGGATTAGATGAAATAAACTAGGGTAAGAATATTCATGGATAAAAGGGAAAGTTCCTGGACTGAATCCTGGAATAGATGTATCAATATTTAGAGGTTGAACAGAGAAGGAGGGACCAGCTAAATGTACTGAGTAGGAGTTGGTAGCAGGCAAGAGGAAAATTAGGAGATGGCCTTGTAAAAGTCAAGCAAAGAAAGTGTTTCAAGAAGAGTGTGGACCACTATTGGATGCTGCTGACGCATCAAATGCAATAGGAAAATAATTGATTATTGATTTTGACAACATCATAAGTAATTTGGTAAGAGAAATTTCCAGGAACTGTTGGGTTGAAAGTTCAATTGGAAAGTCCAACACACAATTCATCTGTGTGTTGAGGAATAGAAGAAAAATGTGAAGACAGTGACTTAATAAACACCTGTTCAAGAAGTAGTGTCATGAAGATCTCAGTAAAAAGGTGTTACAGCCAGTGGAGTCAAGAGTTTGTTTTTGTTGTCTTAAAACTGGACTGCTGCCTTTATGAATCCTCAGCACCTTGTACAGAGCAAATGTTCAAACATTTTCGAGTGTTTGACTCAATAAAGCATCTGTGTCTCATACACCTTTTTATTACCATAAGAATTTTCACAACATCTGACACGTAATAGAAACTTAATAAATGTTTACTGAATAAATGAAAGGAAGGATGAGTGAACAATCAAAGACTCTAGAATGTCTTAGTGCTTTTGAAACTTAGTGCTTATGAACTAATACATAAAAAGAAATAGAAGAGAACAGTGACCACAAAAATGAAAAAAGTAGAAAGTTTTCCATACTAATGTGAGGCTGGGACCAATGAACAGGCCAAAGCTGTTTGCCAAGGAGAAGCAATTTTCCTCCCAGCTAAAACATGGCTATGAGTAGGGTCCCAGGTATTTGAAGGGTACTTGAAGAGCCAGTTTTCAGAAGTAGGGAAAAATGGGCCATCTCCTCCACCATACAGGAGAACTGGGGGCAGAGCTTTTGGTTTATATGAGCTCAACTTGGCTATCTTTCCCAGCAAGGCCTTTGGAGTGAGGAAGAAGAAGTCTTTGGCAAAATCTCTTTTCCATCTCCTACTTAATTCTCTGTTTGTCAGTTATTTTGGGAAGGTCACATAGCTGCCATTCAACCAGGTGCTCCAGAGGCTGAAAATGATGGTATGGTAGCCAGCCTCTAAGGTGACTCCAGTGGTTCTACTTCTTCATATTCATTCCTTTGTGTGTGGGCTGAACCTAGTAACTTGCTTTTCATCAATATGATAAGACAAAAATGATGGGATGTTACTTCCATGATTAGGTTAGAAAAGATCGTTACTTCCATCTTGATTTTACGTTTCCTCTTTCTCACTGGGCTGGATGAAGCAAGCTGCCATGCTGGAGAGGACAATATAGCAATGAACTGAGGGCAGCGAACAGTCAAAGGGGAGCTGAGGCTCTCGGTCCAATGAGCTTCGAGGAAGTGAATCTTCCAACAATTATGTAAGTGAGCTTGAAAGTAGCTATTTTCCCAGTTGAGTCTTCTGATGAAATTGGAACTTTGTGCCAATCCCAGAGTTCTTGGAACTCCAATGTTTAAGAAAAAAAAAAAATGCCAGGTGCAGTGGCTCACAACTGTTAATTCCAGCATTTTGGGAGGCCATGGAGAGTGGATCACCTGAGGCCAGGAGGGTGAGACCCACGTGGCCAACATGATGAAACCCCATCTCTACTAAAAATACAAAAAAATTAGCTGGGCATGGTGGCATGTGCCTGTAATCCCAGCTTAATGGGAGACTGAGGCAGGATAATTGCTAGAACCCAGGTGGTGGAGGTTGCGGTGAGCCAAAGGTTGCGGTGAGCTGAGATCATGCCACTGCACTCCAGCCTAGGTGACAGAGGGAGACTCCATCTCAAAAGAAAAACAAAAAGAAAGAAAGAAAGAAAAAAGAAAAAAAAAGGTAGACTGTCGTACTTTCAACAAGCTACCTTCTTTCCTTGGGGACTTCTCTTGCATTACAAAGAACATTCACCCTTAGTTAAACTCAGTTTGAAAACTACAAGTGGTTTAGCAAATATTAGATACAGTGAAGTTTCTATGTGTTGGTGAAGATGTGGGGAGACAGGCATGTTATTTGTGGAAGTGTACGTTTATGCAAATTTCTGGTGAGTATTTGACAAAATATTTTAAACTTTCACACACTTGACCCAGCAAGTCCACTCCAGATATTTATTTTAAGGAAAAATCAGTTGAGATCAGACCAAGAGGTCATATGGGACATCTCCTTGCACATAGAAAGTTCTACATATGAGCTCTAATATATTAATTGAGTCATTTACTATATATGGCACTTTACATATATTTTCTCATTTAATTTTTAAAATAGACTTTATTTTCTATAACAGTTTTAGCCTCACAACAAAATTGAGAGAAAGTGCAGAGAGTTCTCATATACTCTCATTCCCACACATACACAGACTCCGCCACTATCAACATCCTGCACCAGAATGGTACATTTTGTACAATCAATTGATTTGCATTGACACAACTTTATCACTCAAAGTCCACAGTTTACTCTTAGCCTTGCACATTCTCTGAGTTTTTACAAATGTATACTGACATGTAAACACCATTTTAGTATCATCTGCCCTAAAAGTCCTCTGTGCTCTGCCTATTCATCCCTCTATGCATCTTGACTAGTACAGCCGTTGACTTTTTACTGTCTCCAAGGTTTTGCCTTTTCCAGAATGTCATATATTTGGAATCGCACTGCATGTAGCCTGTTCATTTTGGTTTCTTGCATCTAGTAATATATGTTTATGCTTCCTCCGTGTCTTTTTAAGGCTTGATAGTTCTTATTTTTTTTTACCACTTAATAATATTCCACTATCCATTGAACTACTGAAGGGTGATTTGACTGCCTCCAAGTTTCAATAATCATGAATAAAGCTGCTGTAAAGATCTAACCTAAAAGTATGTTTTTGTGTGGACATAGTTTCTTATTTATTTGTGTAAATGCAATAGAGCATAATTGCTGGATAATGCATTAAGAATATGTATAGCTTTATAAGAAACTGCCAAACTGCCTTACAAACTCTACCATTTTGCATCCCCACCAGCAATGGATGAGCATTCCTGATGCTCCACATTCTTGCTAGCATTTGGTGTTGTCAGTGTTATGGATTTTCACCATTCTAATAGATGTGCAGGGGTATTTTTGTTTTAGTTTGCAATTCTCTAATGACATATGATATTTAGTATCTTTTCATATGCTTTTTTTGTAATCTATGTATCTTCTTTGGAAGGTGTCTGTTCAGGTCTTTTGCCTGTTCAGGTCTTTGTCTTTTGCCTTTCTATCAGATTGCATTCCAAATGTAAGACATTTTCAGAATTGAAGAGATTCCTTCTGAGATTTTTATATGCATCTCTTCAGTTTACTGTGGGCATTCCTTTTCCCATGTTTCTGAGCAATGGAGAACAGCTTTTTGGTATTATCTTGATAATATTCTTGCTCATTTCCCTTGGAATTTTTGATCTAGCCCTCTGAGCCCAGTTGCAACCTAAAAAATTATACCCATGTGTGTCCAGGAGCACAGTTATCACCAGGTAGATGTATACAAAGAGAGCTTCTACTACATTTTCTTGTAAAGTAAGCTAATGTCATTGTCTGTATGCCACATTGTTTTAATACCATATGCTCATGTGATTTGTTTCACTCTTACCACAAACCAATCTCTAATGACTCCCCTAAGTCCTCAGCTTGTGATTTCATGGTTGAAGAGATGACCTTAAGTGGGCCACTACACCTGCATTGAAGTCCTTGTAATAAAAGAAACTTGGGGAAATTTTGCAACGTGATCACTAACAAGCAGGAAAGCATGAAAAAAAACTGATTTGCAAGATTCTGACTGGGTGTTTGGAGGGGTGGACATTATCGTACTTATGTTTTCTCTGATTTCAAGTCTTATCTTCAAGGCTTTTTTATTTGTTTACTTAACCACAAAGAACAATTTAATACTGAAATGTTCTTATCTTTTTCTAATGTGAGGAGAATCATGAGACCACAGTTATGAACTTAACACAAATGGAAGGAGGCTAACTAAGAAAGATGGTATCTGACAAAGAGTTCTATGATTTAGAAGGGAAATTCCAAAGAGTAAAGTTCTAGAAATGGCACCAAGTCCCACTGTCCATGAGGGTGATTCCTGATGGATGACAGGGGTATTAGGGTTGGGGAACAGGCCAAAGGAGAGCAAAGTCAGCCTAGGTTTGGTCATTTACTGTGGGGCGTGGCTGGTGGGACAGCTCTTCATGAGTCTGCCCACAGTCTGAGGCTGTGTTCTTGGGGACTGCTGGGTAAGAGAAGATTTCTTAGACTTTAATCTCTGCCATTCATTTAGCTCTGTAGTAATTTATTGAGAAAGCCTCCATCTATCTACTAAAACTATCCAATATGACCAAAATAAACATATCTCCTTTCTCATTTACTGGTGAAGAACTGGACTTGTCAATATTAATTTGCTTCCAGGGTCCCTGAATCTCTTATTTGAAAACTCTGCTACTTTTCTTGGAAGTCAGTGCATTGCACAGAATAGACATTAGCCAATGTGCCATAAAATCCTGTAACATTGTAGGTCATGACAAAGAATATTTTAGGCTTTTCTTTGCTCCTCTGTTCTTTCTTGTTCTGCTCTTTCTGGCCTTGGCTTTGTGACTCAAAGTAAAAAATATCCCCAAAGTTCCTTGCAGCAGTGCATGAGTTAAGCTAAACCAAGATCACTCTTGTCTCATATTCTTTTTAATCTCTTGAACTTGTATGGTCTGAATATATCCCCTTCAGATTCACATGTTGAAACTCAATTGCCAATGTGATACTGTTTAGAGCTGGGGCCTTTAGGAAGTGATTAACATATGAGGACAGGGCTTTCATGAATGGAGTAAGTGACCTTATAAAAGGGCTTCAGAAAACTAGCTGACCCCTTCCATTCTTCTGCCACATAAGGACACAGTGTCCACCTTTTGCAGAGGATGTGGCAAGAAGATGCTGTCTTGGAAGGAGACACAGGGCTCTCACCATACATGGAACCTACCGACACCTTGATCATGGACTTCCCAGACTCTGGAACATTAGAAATAAGTTTCTGTTATTTGTAAATTATCCAATCTGGTATTTATTTGTAAATTATCCAATCTGGTATATTTTGTTATACTAGTAAAAAACGGCTTAAACCATGAAGCTTCCATTTTGTTTCAAGTCACATGTTGCCATGCAAATAAGGGTGTTGAAGGTCATCTTCAAGGCCCATGGTCATCTAGGCATCCTGTCCCATAATGCAGCTGTGACTGCTGTGTCAGCCAGCCAATCACCCCTAGATATGTGATTTCTTAGTATGTCCCTAAACTTTCAGCACAAGCACTCCCTGCTTGCTGCCAGATTAAAGACCCCTCCCTGACCTCAAATTATCAGCCACCAATGCAGCAGACAATTTCACAGCTACATAAAAAGTTAAGGCCTAACACTGGGAGCATGGTGATTTCATTTTTCTTTTTATCAACCCATTAACAGTGACATCTAATTTAGACTTCTGAGCTTCTTTTCAATGATCATGATTCTCCAAAGTATGCACTACTCTTCCAAATATTCTAACGACACCTGCTTCATATTTTCCTTTCATCTGGCTTGACTGTGCTGCTCTGTTTAACAGATAGAGAGCATGAGTTCTGTTGGAAAACATTTTGTAGATGTAGCTCTTTTGTCCAGAGTTCAAAGTTCCATACTTATTTCTTAGAGATATACGGGATATGCAAAAAATTATAATCCACTGACAGTTTCAGTCATTACTGATCTGCCCTTTTAAGATCTTTTATTCTGAGAAGAACCAAAGGGACTGCTTTGAGTCACACATTTTATGAACTAATTTTTTAAGGGACTGCTGTTTTGAAAGTTTGGGGGTTCACTTCTTTTTACTTCTGGGTTCTGAATTGCAGTTATAGGCAAGTAGAGCTGTACCGCCATACTTCATTTTTCCTTTCTAAATATGTGGTGGTAGACACCCTATATATATATATGTTTGGGTTAAGCAAATAGACCTTAAAAGTTATTACCAGGTAGTCTGCTATGGGACTGCTTTCTCTTTTGGTGTTTTCCATGCTAATGTTCTTTTGACCCAGCTCTTGGCTCTGTGGGTTAATATGGGCAAAAGTGAACCTGTACTATGGTGTGGGTTCATGCAGGAAAGTGTCCAGTCAAGGAATGATAGAAGACTTTTCAGGTCTGTTGGCTTAGGTAGTGACCCATTCTGCTGGGTTCCGTCCTAACTCACAGTTTTCCTCCTTGGACGGTTATAATTTTCCAGATCTGCTAATGTATTTTGATCCAGCTTTGCCTTCCTGGATTAATTTATTTAATAAATATTTATGAGGCCCTCTATGACACTGGGCATGATTCTAAGCTCTTGGGAACGTAGCAGGGAGCAAGACTGCCTAAGGTCCCTATGCGGGTACAGATAAACAATAAAATCTACAACTGAGGTTAGTTGCAGGTTTTGGTAAGAGCTAGGAGGAGAGAGACAACGTGATGTGATGAGTGAAGCAGAGCGTATTTCGGAGAGGATAGTGAGGGATGTCTCACCTCTTTAGGGAGGTGACAGTTCAGCTGAGATCTACATGTCAACAGAGAGCCAACCATGAGAAGATGAGGAACGTCATTTTATGTAAAGGGAATGACAAATGTGAAGATTCAGAGGCAAGAAAGTTTTGCTTGTTTATGGAATAGAAGGAAGGTCGATCTCTCTGGGCATCATGAGTAAAAGGGAAGTGATGAGGAGTTGGAAAGTTGAGCAGATCATTCAGTGCCCGGGAGAGCTGGAGATCAGTTTATAGTGTGGTAAATGGAATGGGAAGCCATGGGAAGGTTTTAAATAGGTGAGACATAGGATTTGATTTTACTTTAAAAAAATCTCAGGCTGTTGTATGGAGAACAGAGTTTGGCAAGCAGCAAGAGAGATCATGGGAAAAGCCGCTGCTGCCACTATTCATTTAGACAGATATATTTTTTTCTCTAACCTTCTTTCTTTCTTGTTTTTTTTTTTTGAGACAGGGTCTTGCTCTGTCACTCAGAATACTGATGTGCAGTGGCACGATCCTCAACTTCCCAGGCCAAGAGATTCTCCTACCTCAGTCTAAGGAGTGGCTGGGACCACAGGTGTGCACCACTATGCCTGGTTAGACTTTTAACAAATTTTTAATTTTGTAGAGATGGGGGTCTCCCTATGTTGCCCAGGGTGGTCTCAAAATCCTAGGTTCAAGTGATCCTCCCACCTCGGCCTCCCAGAGTGCTGGGATTACAGACATGAGTATCCATGACCAGCTATCTCTAACTTTGCTGTGAGTGGGCCTCTGCCCACCTTCCAATTAGAGAAACTGTACCTGGTCACCTTGGAATTCTTGAGGTTTGATTGGTTTAAGCTACAGATTTTCTTAACCTTGGAGAGCTGTTTTGTTTTTCTTTTAAATGTAGAGAGTGATTCGTTAGAGTGAGGCCTAAGTATCTGTAATTTTGTAGAAACTCCCCAGGTGATTTTAATGAGGAAACAGGGTTGAGAATACTGTGGGACCAATTAGGGACCCCCCATTCTTTCTTGGGGATTACAGTAAGTATAAAACATAAGGCTCAAATCCTCTCCTCCACCAATATTATGGAGGCAAAGGGCAGTGCAAGGTGCAACAGGCTTTGTCTGCTTCTGGTAGACCACCTTTCACACAACTGCTCCAAATAGTGAAGACAGTAAAATAAGAGCCAGGAAAAGTGCCTGTCTTGGCTGTCCATTAGATAACTTCCACTGCTTCCATCAGTCCAGCAGTGGAAGGCTGCTGCTGGCCTTCACCTTCCTCACCATTCATAGTCTGTCTTCCTCCCCTTCTCTCATATCTTTATTTTCCCAACTCAGCTCACTTAACAAATCAAAACCACAAGCATGACTCCTTTTCTCAGTTGCCCTTGGCATTCACATAATTTCCGTCCTCTCTGCCCCGTGGGAGGGGAGGAGCACACCTGGCCAATCTCCAGCATGAATAGTCTAGTGCTTGCTCCTCTCTCTCATTGTCACAGCCACAAGTGCCCTGCAGATTGCAGTTTTCTGCTGCCAGACTGTGGTTTTAAGTTCATCTCTGCTAACCCAAAGCACATTCCAATAGGTTTCAATTTCCAGCTGCTCCCCTGGGATCCAAACCACTGTTCACAGTGCTCTCTGCATCGAGCTGGTGCTCTGCCTCATTCCAGCATCTGGGAATGTCAACTTTGGAAGCCAATGTGGTAGGCGGCAATTTGTTCCATATACCACTTTGCCCTGTGTTCAAGAAGGTTGAAAAAGTTATCAGTGTACATGCGGTATTCAAGCTGACTTTCCCACTCATGTATTTGAAAGATGTTTAGCCTAAGTAAAAGTATTGGCAGACTCCATTTCCTGGAGACCAGGGATTCATTGAAAGCAGTTCCACGCATTCTTTTTATTCACTAAAGACACTCCACTGAGATGCTTTTCTGGACCTACCAGGGCTGAAGTAGGGAGTGATTCTGCCTGGGGGTTCTGATACCGCCTGTGTATAGCTGGCCTTCCCCGGGCCCCAAGACTGTGACTCATTAAGAGCAGAGCCCCTGAGAAGTTCACCCCTCAGCTGAGTGGGCAAGTGCCGGGCCTAGTGCTCAATGCTAGGGAGACAGATATGAGAGAGGTGCAGATGCTTACATATTCCAACACCACTTAAGGGCAAAGGTGAAAGCTGATTTTGTTTCCTTCCTGCCCAACCGGCTTGTGGTGAATTATTTTGCCAACTATAAGTATGATTTTCAGGGGCACAAGGGACTGCAAGGGATGGGAGGTGGTTAGGGGGAACTTCTTCCTGTCAAGGCTTCACATGTTATGCTAGGGCAAGATTGTACATTCAGCAAAAGCTCAGAGTTAAGCAGATTCTCTGCCAAGGACTTTGGAACTGTAAGTCAGGGTCCCTGCCATTGCTGCAAATCAGGCAATGTCCACTGTACCTGGCTTTGCTGGGTGAGGGAAAGGACAGTGTGTGACCTTGGAAAAGCTAGTTCACTTTGTCAAGGGGCTGGAAAAGGATCTGACTAGACAGTTATCTTGTCAAGTGTAGCATTAGGGAATGTCTGAAACGAGAGTCACCTCAAGGTTTCTGCTGAAGTAGCTCTGCTGATTTCTGCGTCGAAGTTAATAGATTTGGTAGAAATCACAGACAGGACTTCACAGCCTGAGATTCACTGGACTGACACAGCCAATGTTCAGTGCTGCTGAAGCCTGCACCACCATGCCTGATGAAGCCATCTTTAGCTCTATAATCTGAACTCCACAAAGATATTGAACTGCCCTAGGGGAGCCAGAGAGCCTTTTCCATTTACCCATGATTGATCGATGAACGATAGTTGTTTTACCTGCTGCTAAAAGAAGTTCTCATAATCAGGACTGGCTACATATTTTACAGGGATAGGGTCAATGCAAAATAAAATGTGAGGTCTCATGTCAGTCCCTTAAGCCAAGCACAGGCCCTGTGTGACCTCACCAGCCATGTGCCCTCACAGCCGCCCTGCTCAGAGCTACACCAGGGATTTGACAGGCTCCAGATGGTGCGAGAAGGATTTAGGGCCGGGCTCATGAGAAGAGTATTCCTACCTCAGTGGCCAGAGTTCATGTTAGGATGACCATAGGCCTGCAGCCCATCTCACACCCACCCCTCTGTCGCCAGTACCTGATTAGGAAGAAGGGCTGACTTCACTAGTGCTGGTTCTTCCGTTTCTTGAGGAAAGATTACACTATTCAAAAGGGAGCTTCAGATTTCCAGAACAGACTACTGACTGTTTTGGAGTCTGTAACTGACCCCAGTGCCCCCTGCCTTCAGGGAGAGAATGGCCGAGGCACTTTCTGTTCATCGAGACTCCCCTCTCCACTTCCTCATAATGAACCTCTTTCACGCCTCAGATCACCGACTCCATTCCCTGCTCATTAGTCTTGGGTGAGACCTTGGGCTGTGATAAAGGAAAAGAACTCCCACCCAAATTCCCACCAGAGTCCTCTGATGTCTTAAGAAGCACATGTACCCAGAGAGGTTGAGTGGCCCTCACCTGAGTCTCCTAAGAGTGGGAAACTCTCTTTTGAATTCAGTTTTTAAAAGCAAATTTTCTTTCTTTCTTTCTTTTCTTTCTTTCTTTCTCTTTTTCTTTCTTTCTTTCTTCTTTCATCTTTTCTTTTTCTTTCTTTTTTTTTGTAGTATAAAAATACTCCAGGCATTGCATGATTTCAGGTTTTGGATCTAATTCCCAGTCCCTTTATAACCATGGCAGCTGGACTTCACCTTCATCAGCATTTCCTTTTCCCTGCTCATGGGCCTCTCACTCCCACATTCACTCTTCACATCACACAAACAAGTTCATTCTCAACCCCATACCTGCTGTGTGGCTTCCCTTTTTTCCCATTCTCATCATGATAATCCAGGTTCTTCAGGTTCATCAACACCTTGAAAAGTCATCTTTGAATTCTTTCTTGCTTTGTCATTCAAAGCATTCTGCTCCCTGACTCCCCATCTCTTCCTCTCTCCATTCTAACAGTTCCATTTGCTTGTGTTTTATCCATCCATCCATCCGCCCACCCATTCATCCATCCATGCATCCATCCATTCTTCCATCAGCCCACGTGTCTATTTTGTGTCAGACACTGGGGAGAGAGAGATTATATGGTGAGTTACTGTCCTCGAGACATGGCAGTGTAGGGGTGGGGAACAGGATATATAAGTGAAAATTTAATGTCACTGCAACTAGATATGCACAAAGCATGAAGGCTGTAAAATAAGAAGCTGGGAAGGATGCACTGGCAGGAGAGCTGGGCACCCTCTAAGCAGAGAGAATGCCGTGTACTGGCCTGGGTTGACGTAAAAGCATGCTGCATGCAGGAAGCCCCGGGTTTTGGAAAATTGTTGAGGCACAAAGTAGGAGAATCTGGGGATAGGACAGGGATTGGTGGTAAGAATTAGTCTGGAGTGTTAGGCAGGGCCCAGGGCTTCAGAGGGCCCTGTTATGCTAAGGCGCTCAGGCTCACCCTAACAGTCCTGGGGCTCCACCCAGTGGTTCGATTTAAGGAAGGGCGTGACATGGTGAGACTAGTTTGGAGAGACAACTCTGGCAACACTGCTGCGGATAGCTTTCACGGGTGACTCTCCAAGGTGGGGAGGCCTGTGGGGGGCGCAGGGGGATAAAAGTAGGAATGATGTTACCAGGGAGGAAGAGGACACATTCAAGAGGTGTCCTGGAGGTAAATTTGGTAGCAATGAATGATAGGTGGGTGGAGTGGGGGGCTACCATTCAGGTTTCTGGCTTGAGAAAGTGGGTGCATGAGAGTTCTGTGCCTACACCCAGTCCTGTCTAAACTAGTGGCCATTCTGCGTCGGGCCTGCCTCAGTTGCCCCTGTATTTGGTTTTGTTACCAATGCATAAATCAGGCCTTCATTTCTTACCTAGATTCTTGAAGTATCCTCATCGTCTCTTTCAGTCCATCCTACAAAATACTGCCATCATAATCTTCCAGGGACAGCTGAACAATTCCCATTGCATAATGAATGATGTCCCAGCTTTTAGCATCAACATCAATATTCATCGCTGGAGGAGACATTCTTTTCCCATACAGTCCAATTTTTGAGAAAAGATGAGGCATGTTATATGTGAAATAATTGATTGTCAAGTGGTCTTTAAGAGGGGCACAGACTCGTACTCTGAGGGCAAAGAAGGAAGAAGGCAGGGTGTCTCTAGAAGTGACGCCGGGTGATCCTGTCTGTGCCCATCATGTCTTTCTAGGTGTATCTTCCACCTTTCCCCTGGCCTAGTGTTCTCTGGTCTGGTCTCATTGTTGCCTAAAGGTGACCCCTTTTACCAGCTGGGTCTTTGCAGACTGCATTGCCTCTGCCTGGAATACTTTCACTCACATTCCTGTCTGTTGAAATCCTACCCATCTTTTGATATCCAGCCCAAATGCAAGGACTCCATGAATCCCCTGTGGGAATGGATCCTCCAGAAGCGCTTTCTTTTCATATGACACTCTGCACATTTACTGTGCACAGCACCTAACATGTCTCATATTTTATCTCCCTCACTGGACCACTAGACTGGGGGCAGAAGTGGAAAATCGGAGGCCTTAAGCCTGGGTCCAGCCTTTGAATGTGTTTTGTTAGTTTGCATATTATTCCCCAGCCAAATTTAATTTATTAAACAAAAACCTGTGTTAAACATACAGAAAATTTTAAAATATGATATAATAATGTATATTTGGGACATCACCAAGAATGAACGGATTTGCTGCTGACACCTCGCCTCCCACTTTTTAAGATACAAAATATTACACATGCAGTTTGAACACTAGCCCACACATCCCTCTTAAAGCTGGTCTTCACACTGCTTTTTCAAGTTTAGAGTTATTAACTAATATTTAGAAATCAAAATACTTCACATAAGAATTGGCCTCCCACCACTTTCCTGCCTGTTCTCAGCAGACCACTGCGAGTTCCACACCCCACCCAGGCCCTCAGAGCCTGCCTGTCTGGTCTGTGGCTGAGTCTTGCACCTGAGCTCCCTCATCTGCCCTCTGTACATACTTCCCAGCAGTTGGGGGGGCTCTTCATGCCCTTTATCCTCCTCCAAACCACTGTCCTGGCTGTGCCCCCTCCTGGATCCAAGAATCCAAGGCCTCATTCAAGCCCCATGGGCTCCTGTGGCTTTTCCCAGTGATTTCAGCTCAGATCCATTCTCTGTATTAATATACACCTAGCTCTTAAGCTGGTGGCTGAGCACTTGCCTGTGCTTTCATTTATTCCTTTGCCAGGTACCTTGCAGAGCCACCCTGGTGAAGAAAATGGACCCAAAAGTTCCCACTGAGTCTGCTTTCCTTGTTCTTCCCTCTGAGATTTTGCTGCCCCCATGTGATGCATTGCGTGAGGTGCAGCGGGGCTTGGTGCAGGATCTCTGCCCACCTGGCACCAGTAGGTGTAAGAAGGGATGGCACATATTGTTGGCCACAACACAACAAGGCCTCTATGCTTGTTCAGTTGAGAATGCTGGCCATCTGATTCCCTCATCTCTCTTCAATCACTCCTTGCTGACTGATGGAGATATGTCCTTTCCCTTTCCTTCCCAGTGAAAATTGCCCTGGTGGTTCATAGGTGTGGGGTTTCACTAGGTTGAAAAACAAGGAGGAAGGGCTCTTATCCCAGATTCCACCACCCTCCTTTCCCTCCCATGCAATTTTGCATTAACATATGGATGGTGCGCATGCCTTTCAAGAGCTGGACAGATGCTGACTCTTGCATTTCATGCAGAGGACGGGGCAGGAGGGGTGTTCCATTTTTTACCTTACCCCACTGCCTAGGGCCACTCCACCCTGATGCTAGTGCTGATCATCTGTTCCTTGGGGTTTTGAAAGTGGTGGAAATCTGTTCATCTGGGGTAGAATGTTCTTCTCTTTTCTCATCAGAATGAACACTGATACTATATCCTTTTTGATAATCCAATTCAACTAATTAATGATGTGTAAATTTCCTGTGTAGGAAAGAAGCCATCTTGATCTTGGGTGTGACTCTCATCATTGCCGTCACACCCAGGTGCAGAGAGAGACAGCTTCCCCTCCACACACTCTGACCCCACAACAACCTCCTCACCTGCTTCAGTTCAACTTTGTCCCTGGTGCCCCTGAGACTGGACTTTTTTGTTTGTTTGTTTTTACTGTTGCTTCTTTGGTTGGTTATTGACTATGTCATCATTGAAGTCCCCAAACTTGTCCTGATTTGCCTCCACTTCTCAGGCACATTGAGAAGAATAAGAGGGCCAGTGATTAAAAGGGAGATGGAGGGAAGGAAAGTGGCTAAGGAGATGGAAGAATAAAGGAAGAAAGGATGTGATTCAAAGGAGAGAAGGATAAAGAAAAAGGAAGAGGCAGTTAAATCTGGGGATGTGGGATAGTACACTTCTACTTTTTGAGCTGAATAAGAGCTGTATTTTGACGAAGTTCACACTTGTTCCCTTTACTTGCCCAAGAACCCATGATGTGGCTTCATCATGTGATTTGAAAGGCTGAAATGCAAGGTTGTTAATGACCAGAATGGCCAACACACATATAGCCAGGTTTGTCTTAGAGACCTTCAAGGAAATTGGCACTAAAGCTGGTGGAGGCTGGATGCATTTTTGCTTGCTCTCCCCTGCTCAAGACCATTTGGTAAGGCATGCAAGCCCTTCCAGATGCCCCTCGGGGAATTTCCTGAGTTCTAGAGAATCCCCTGCATGGGATTGTGCAAGAAGGAGGTAATCCAGCTAAGCTAGGGTTCTCCCAAGGATTGGCACCCCATGCTCCAGTGCTCTGCCATACCACTGACAAGACCAGTTCAGGCTGTTTGATTTGGTGGAAAGATAAGGACTTTCAGGGTCAATTTTCTGATAGCAGGCCTAGCCACTAATCAGTTGACTGTGAACAAATTTCCTCACCAATAAAATGGAAATAGTCACCCCACCTCATAGGTTTCTGATGAGTATTAAATGAGGTAATATATGTCATATGTAGCTCATGTTGTACATGCCTGCAATAAGGGCAGAGCTTATTCAGCCTTCAACCACCCTTCCTGACCCTCCCACTACTCTGCCCACCCCCCAACCCCAGTTTCATGCAACTCTTCTAAGTTGGAGATGGTGATACCTGGAAATGAAAGGGAAAGGAGGAAAGTATGTATTAACAGAAACCATACCTCCCTCCAGGTTAAGCATTAAAACATTTATTGCTCATTTCCTTGAACTGTGTGAAGAAATAGGAGACTTAAAAGAAAAGAAATCCTTCTCTTTTAGGAGGAGAAATGGAGAGCTCTAGCAGTTAAAAGAGACCCTTAAGATAAAAGAGACCACAGTTGTTCAGAATCAGCCACTGAGATTTGGAAAAAGCAAATCACATTGTCTGTCCTCTGGTATATGATTAGGACAGAAAGCTTCTGGTTGGGTCAGGGAATGGGCAGGTTTTGATGACACGAGGAAGACAATAAGTTGGGCATTGTGTGAAAGGGAGGCAGCAGGACCTGGGCTTATGCCCTTGTCACATTCTGTATGAAGCCAGGAGGATGGAGCTTGATGACATCTCCTAACAATACCCACATGCACATCTCTGTCATCCTTAAAGCACTGAGTCTTGGACTTCAGGTTCTCCTTGTGCCGGTCCACAAGGGAACCAACTCACTCCATGGTTTTCTGCTTGGCTTCCTCCCAGCTGTAAAGTGGCTTATATGCCAGATCTCGCTGAGCCTTCTTGTAAGAGAAGGTGAACATGCTATTTGACAATGTCACTGTGTGGCAGTCGAAGGGCGGTTGATAGGTGCAAACTGGCCTGAGCAGGAGGCTCACTATTCCCAGCAGGAAGCCAATCCAGTACATCAGGAATAAAAGAAGGCTTCATCTGGAATCAAGGCAGGGGCCGAACTCTTTGCTCAGGATGTAATTAAGGTTATCATAACTTTGGTGAGGCGTGTCATCTGAGATATAGTAGAACTGTCCTAGGACACTTGGGGCCTTCTTGGGGTCCCGCAAGGCCCTCAAGGCCAGAATGTGGGCCCAGGCCACGTTGCCAACATAGACTGGGTTGGCTGTGGAGAACTTGCTGACACTCGACAGGATCCCATTGTTGTTCAGGGCCTCATTTATATTGGCAGTAAGAAATGGGCTTCCTTCCCCATAGATATACATGGGTCTTAAGGCACAAGTGTACAAGGTATCACCATTTTTCAGAGTCCACCCATTAGCTGCCAGCACAGCCTTCTCAGCAAGCTTTTTGCTGTATGGATATGGAGCAGACCATGTGTTTTCCAGAAAGTCTTCTTCATGGGCATTCTCAATGATTTCCTTGTAGGAGTTGGGCCCGGCTAACTGGAGGGTACTGGTGTAGATGAAGACTGGCACAGTAGCTTGGACACAGGCCTCCAACAGGAGCTGGGTACCCGCCCAGAAAGAGCATGCTTTCAGTGTCAGGAAGTATCCCTAAGGGAGGGCCAAACACATGAACAGATCCATGTGCCCCACTCCCCACTCCCAAGTGCAGTGGTTGTAACAGACTCAGGATACATTCTTCTGTGGCTCTGACTGACACTGGGCCACACTACAGCCATAGGAAAATCACAAAAATGAAAAGAAACTGACAAGTGGGTTCTGGAGAGCAAGAATTTTTAGACTTTTGGGTTTCAAGGACGTGCGTGTGTGTGTGTGTGTGTGTGTGTGTACCTTAATTTTGGAAAATGACCTAGGGTTATCACTCTTTGTTTTGCCAACTAAAGACATTGAAAAATTATGATTTTTCATCAATACCATTAAAGACAGATCGTTTAAAATTTAAAAATACTCTGAGTATATGGATAGTCCCAATCCTTAGGCAGAAAAGGGCAGTGGAAGAATTCACATGACACACACACAAATACACAGTATGCAGGCAATATACACTCTTCAATATACATGAAATTGTTGACATTTTCCTCATTTTGTTGAGGACTAATAAAACTTTGTCACAAGGACCATCTCTGGAGTCACTGAGTAAACAATGGGTTGTGGGAACATGCTGGAGACCCACTCTTTTCCTGATGGCGTGTTCCCTGGGAAAGAGGCTCCCTATTTAAAGTCTCTGTGCAATTTGAATTTCTGGAGAGACAGTCTTAGGCTTTCAAAAATTAATCTAACGAGGGAGCAAATCTGGAGTTAGTTTACCTTCAAGGGGGAATTGATCAACATTGTGAAGTATTTTCTAAGCCTGGGAGTGATAATGGTTTTAGGAAACAGATGTCTCTAACACTTTCCTTGTCATTTCATATCCCCTGTTGTATGGAGCTGTGGAGAACAGGAATTAAAATAAAAAACTGGTTACTCTTAGCATCCTCCTTGCATTGTAGGGGTACTTAGAGGTATGGGTAAGTAGCAACTGGAAAAGGTTTTTTTTTTTTAGATGGTGCTGAAGACTCAAAAGCAATTAGTTGCTTTAGAAAAGGAGTTTGAGGCCGGGTACAATGGCTCAAGCCTATAATCCCAGCACTTTGGGAGGCAGAGGTGGGTGGATCACCTGAGGTCAGGAATTTAAGACCTGCCTGGCCAACATGGTGAAACCCCTCTCTACTAAAAATACAAAAAAAAAAAAAAAAAAATTAGCTTGGCATGGTGTTAGGCACCTGTAATCTCAGATACACTGGGAGGCTGAGGCAGGAGAATCGCCTGAACCCAGGAGGTGGAGGTTGCAGTGAGCTGAGATCGTGCCATTGCACTCCAGCCTGGGTGACAAGAGTGAAACTCTGTCAAAAAAAAAAAAAAAAAAAAGAAAGAAAAAAAAGAAAAGGAGTTTGAGTAGACTGAATGTGGAGGGCCAGGCCAGGGGTTGGAATGCTGTGGTGCTGAAGACTGGGTTCTGGAGATCAGAGAGTGAGAGTGCATTAGAAGATTCCTTAAGAAAATGTGTCTGAATTTAAAGTAGGTTGGAAAGCCAGGATTCAGAAAGACCACCAAGCATTTAAGGGATGAGGACTGAATGAGGGTGCACTTTGGGCACCTGGCTGGAAACAGCTATGTAATTAGCAGACCCTGTGGTGAGCTGAAGAGACTGTATTCTGGACACTGGGAAACTCTTATTGTTAAGAACATATAGTGGGAAGGCATGTGCTGGATAATTCTGTCCTGACAGACCTCTGTGAACCAGATTTGCTAGTTCTCTTGAGAGGATTTCTTCTTTGAGGTGGGCAGGAAGACTCTGAATGTTCTCATCAGCCTACACATAAGGTTCAAAATGATGACTATGGTGGCACCCGGAAGGTCAGATTCTGGTCCGGGGAGCCAACGGGTAGCTGGATTTCAAGAGTCTGAAGTCGGAGATTAGTTGACTTTTGACTGGGGCCACATTAGAAAGAGCTTCCACAGCCTTTGGAGTCACACAGGAGTGAGTTTAAAGTCGCACTCTCCTACTTACTTACTCACTCAACTGTGGGACTTTGGACAAGTTGCTTGTCATTGCTCAGTCCTAGTTTTCTCATCTATAAAACTGAAAATAGCAGCCTTGAGTTCCCCCAGTTGGTAGTGATCAGCAAAGTCACTTGGCCCAGAGCACAGCAGGTGTTCAATGGATAGACTTCTCTTTCCTTCCTGTCCTTCTTTCTGATCCTCATTTCCCCACCTTGCTTTATCTCCTCCCCAGGCTACCCTACCTTTCACATTGACATTCATGATAGACTGTCTGTGAGTGACTCCGAAGACATCAATGATACAGGCGGTGTGGATGACGACCGACACGTCCTGGCAGGCTCTCTTCAGGAATGGCTCATCCAGAATGTCTCCTTCCAGCACTGTCAGCTTGATCTTGTTCTGGAGTTCTGTGTGAGCAGAGGTTAGGTCATTGGAATGATTTCTGTATCTAGCTGAGAAGTTTTCTGATAAAGGTGATGTTACATAGGTGCTCAAGGACGGTTAGAGTGGGGTGTTAGAATGGAGGGCAAAATTCAATGGAAAGAACAAGCAAACAAAGGCACAGAAATCAGCATGTGCAGCAGTTTACTAGGAAAGAGCAAACATCTGTTTCTACCTTATCTCATTTCAGAAAAGTAATCTGAGCAGTGAGCTGTCAGGTGTGCCTAGAATGTAAGCATTGCTGGAGTCATGGGACACTCACCAAATTTCTTAAGGAGCCTAGGGTGATTGTGGAGAGTTGGGTATAAGAGGGAAAAAGTGAATTTAATTTTGTAGGTGATGAGGAATCAGGTATGGAATCATGATTTTGGGTCTCCAGCATCATGTCAAAGAAAAATGCTTATTGATATTTGGAATAAAAGAGAAACAGGTCGGGTGTGGCGGCTCACGCCTATTTCTTTTTGCATTGCAAATATAAATAAGCAATTTTTGGAATTTTGGGAGGCCAAGGCGGCTGGCTAGTTTGAGCCTAGAGGATTGAGACCAGCCTGGACAACCTGATGAAACCCCGTGTCTTCTAAAAATACAAAAATTAGCCCTGTGTGGTGGCATCTGTCTATAGTCTTCACTACTCAGGAGGCTGAGGCAGAAAGATGGATGGAGATGGATGGAGCCCAAGAGGTGAAGGTGGCAGTGAGCTGAGATTGCACCTCTGCACTCCAGCCTGGGGGGTAGAGCAAGACCCTTTCTCAAAAAAAAAAAAAAAAAAAGAAAAAGAGAGAGAGAAACAGAGGCAGAGTTGTGTTGTGGTGTAGGTAGTTAACCTTGGCTTGAGGATATAAAACGGACTGGTACAGGGGAAATGAGAGAGCCAGGTGATCAAGTGATTAATCAGAATGTCTGTGCCAAAGTTTAAATGAGGACTGGAACCAGGGTCCAGCAGTGGAAGCAGAGGAGGGGAGAGATACACCAGGTTAGAATTTCAGACCTTACCTTGAAGGTCCTGGTACCTATTTGAGCTGGGCTGAGAGGAAAAGGAGAAGATAAAATCACCCCTATGGTTTCCTGCTTGGGCAAGTAGGAGGAGAGTGGAGCCATTACTAGGGAATTGAGGATAGGCATAAATGATGAATGTTATTGAAAAACTATTATCAGATATCATCAAAAGCAGATAGCAATGCCGAAAATGAGTTGGCCGCCGATGAATTAACATCCCAGCTGTCTAGTGTCTAGCCAAGGGCAGCAGATACAACATCCATATCTTCAGGCTCCTCTGAAATCCACAGGAAGTATTGCTGCCAGTAAAGTTGTCAGCGGAATTAGCCCACAAAATGAACACCATGCTACATGGAGCTCAGATAAATACTTTACACTCATTTGTGCTTTATAATCTGCATACGGCTCACAGCTTGCTTATTTCCTTTTACAGCTATCTTGTGAGGTAGGTATTTTGAGTCCCACTTTATTGGTGAGGAAACTGAGGCTCAGGTATTCTGCACCCCAGGTGCAGGACTGGCTGTTTAGAATCAACTTTTCTGAGAAAGAGTAAGAATAAGCCAGTTTAACTGAAATTGGCAACAAAGTCCAAAGAATTGTAAGGGTGAAATTCAGAGTGAAAAAAATCAAGGCTAGAGAAATTCCTTCCTGGGGTACAGGCGGGACCATTTACTCTCCTAATGCCTGTGCCATGTTTTGTCTACTCCCAGCCCCTTCCCATAGTCAGGCAACTCCAAGAAGGGCCTTCAGTGGGAGGAGTCAGGGAAGAGGCTGCTGGGGAGGAGGTGGTAACAGCCTGAGAGTGGAATTTTCTCTGGTTGTATTTCCCCCTCTTCTCCCTTCTCTGCTGCCTTCCTCTGCTTCTCCTTTGCTGCCGACTTCAGACAGACTGGCTCAAAGAAATTGCTGTTTCAAAGCGGAAGAAGTCCAAAGCAGAGATAAAAGGACTCTTTGCGAACGAGTTTGCAGGGATCAAGAGGCACCAGGAAAGGGGACTTTGTTGATGGAGCTATAGCTTACTCCTTCTAGAAGCTGCTAGACTAACTACTGCTTAAGCGCACAGATGCTGCACTAGACTGCGTGAGTTCAAATCCAGCTTTACCATATTCTAACTGCGGAACCTTGAACAAGTTAATTAACCTCTCTCTGGTTGTCTCCTCATCTGTAAGAAAGGAGGATAATAAAAAACCGATCTCATAGGGTTGTTATGAAGAGCAAATGAGTCGACACATGCAAAAGGTTTAGCACAGTGCCTGACACAGAAAGAACACTGAAAAGATTCTCTGTTTTTATCTTCATGCAGGCCCCTGCCCATTTATTATACCTTCTGAATTTTCACCATAGGAGAATGGTTCCCTTAGGCTGAGCATTGTTTTTTGTTTGTTTGTTTGTTTGTTTGTTTTTTCTGGTATCAGGTGTTACAGCAAATATTGGTGAGATATAAAGATTACAAACATTTAATATTGGTCTTATGTTAATCAAAGACACCATTAAAACAGAAGGTGGAGGAAATTGGACATTTGAAGAGGTCAGAGAAGAGTGAAAGAAGAACAGATTGTTGGGTGTGGTCCTGAGTGCTGTCAAGTGGGGGCTTTTCTGTGGGCAGGGGAGTACCCACTGGGCAGCCAGAGCCCACATGTAGATACACAGTCCCCCCAAACCCCTGGGTTGGGGAGGTGGACAGGGAATTGGTTTGGGGCACACAGAGAGGCAAAGAGAGAGTCTGAAGACCCACTTTGCCAAGCATCAACCCAATGGCCAAGTGATGGAGCCTCTGGAAGGAAGCTCTGGCCTGAGCGTTGCTATACATTGATCAGATGGCATTGGCAAGTAACTTTATGTTTCTAGACCTTGGTGGGTTCATTGTCCAGTTGGATGTGACCCATTTTGTACCTTCCTCACGGGGTTATTTGCACAAGGAGTTGCTACAGCAAACTCTGCAATCAATTCCTTTGGGGTATTGAGCGACAGAGAGAAATGGTTTAAAAAAAAGCCATTTATAAGAAATCTAAATGAGGCATATCTGGCCTCATACTGCCTCCTACTCTGTTTCTGCTCTGTGCTGTGCACTTGTGCACACTCTCTCCCTCTCACTGATGCCCTCTCTCTCTCTTATCCTCTCTCTTTCTCATTCATTCAGACTTTCTCATTCTCTCTCCTCCTCATTTTCTCTCTCTCTCTGACACACACACACAAACCACACAAACACTTATACACTCATCTTTACCTTTGCTCCCTTTTATTTTGCCTTCACTAAAAATCCTAAGGAAGCTTCCAAACAAAACAAAGTCCAGCACAGTCTAGAAAGGCAGGATCCACTGGTGAGGTCTTTAGGGTAATGGTGTCCTTTGTGAATGTTGCAAAGCAATCGCCAAGACAAAAAGCTTCAGACATAAAAGAGTTGTAGGCAAGAAAGATAACAGATGTAGGATTTTCTTAATAGAAGAAGAGAGGCCCGGAGGCTGAGGTGGCTGCCTCTCAAGTTCTGAGTCAGGGCCAGAATCCAGTCTCTGGACACTCCTTTAAGTATATTTCACACTATGAAATTTTATGCTATTTAATATTTCCTTTTTGATGACTTTGGATGTGGGATTGGCCTAGATTTTGCTACGACTTTCCATAACTTGCTAGACAAGGTCCACCTCCCCACACCAATGCAGGGTTTAAGCTGGAGCCACACAACTATGACTCAAGTTTACTTACTAGAAAATTCCTCCCTCAATCCTGGTCTGAAGGCCTGTCCAAGGCCCTGATCTCCTTCAGCTCTGTCTCCTCCACTAACAGGCAGATGATCCTCTGACCCAGAAACCCTCCTGCTCCTGTCACAAGGCAGCTCCAGCCTGTCATGGCCAATCCGAGGTAGCAGGAAACACTCTCCAGGAAACAGAAGATGCTGGGGAGAAGATCTTATTCTAGGGTGTCCCTGGAGAGGGCTAAAAAGGGAGATCAGATATTTATACACTCACACAGATGCTTTTTTACTTCCACCCATTTTTTTTTTGCAAAAATTCCATATCCTCACCATTGCCAGAAGTAGCTGAAAGAAAACGAAATAGCTCTAACCATTAGTTAGATTATTAATAGCTGGACAGAGTAGTCAGGGTGCTGGTCACCTCATCCTTTGAGGCAAGCCTGGAGCTTTGTGCACTGTGGCTTCTGGCTCAGCCATTATCACCATGAACTCCTGCCACAAACTCATTGCTCTCTGCTCCTCCAGGATCCCTTTTCTCAGAAGAATAGTGACCTTTAAGTTTTATCTCCCAGGAACAGAAAGAGAAATTCAAGGCTGCAATGTGACAAAGAGTCTTGGGTTTAGACTTAACAGGACACTGGTCAGTTGATACCAGCTCTCTGGGATCTGCAATCTGTGAACTTAAAGTAGACTGGGAGAAATCTTCAAGTGCAATGTGAATTCTGACCTTGTGCAGTGAATACATTCGGAAGGAAATCCACATTAGCCCATTATCTCCTCTCTCAGACTATCATTTGAGATGTTGCTCCTGTCTTGCAAGGTCTAGAAATTTGCGATGTTGACAGCTCTAATCACTAAGTTTTATGTGAGGTGACTTTCTCTCCTACCCAATATATCCAAAACCTCAATTGCAATTTTCCCCTGGAGAGCTCTGGATTCCTAGACAAAGAACATCACTGAAGGGAAGCTATCTAGTGATAACTGCTTAATAATATGGCCTGTACCACAAGAGTGGGGATTTCTGGTTGTATGACCCAGTGACTCTTATCATAGATGTTTGAACTTTTCCCATATTTTTGGCTGCAAAACCATTCTCAGCAAATTCCTGAACTGAATATGCTGTGAATGCTTCTGTAGCCTATGCCTGACAACTGCCCAATATCACTACCATAAGCTCCCCAAAACACTTTCCTCTATTTTAAAAAAATCAAGATGTAATGTGTATGCATTAAAATGCCCAGATCTTAAGTGTTCAGTGCCAATGAACTTTGAGAGTTATATATGCCCATGTAAGTACCACTCAAAGAAGATATAGACCATTTCCTTCACTCCATAAAGTTGTTTTCCAACTGTTCCCTGTTATTTCCCTGCCCTTCACCCAATCAGTCTCATAGGCAACTACTTTCTGATTTTTATTCCCACAGAATTCCCATTTTCTCTTTCAATTTCCTATATTGTCATAATTTATTCTTCTAAGATCTCTGTGGTTCTGGATATATGTTTAAATATAAAATCATTTTAAAATTTAGTTTTGTGCATGGTGTACAGAAAAATTAACTATTCATTTTCTCTATTGTTTGTTCTTTTTTATATTTCATGATTTTCATAATTGGATTACATTTATTAACTTTGGGTTTATTATACTCTTATTTTTCAGTATTCTTATGATGAAAGCATTGATAATTGACTTTAGTCCTTTGCTCACTTCCACTATAGGCATTTAAAGTTGTAAATTTCTCTCTAAGCACTGTGTCAGCTGTATCCAACATTTTGAGGCACTGGGTTATCATCACTCAGTTAATGATGTTTTGAATTTTTTCTTGTGAGTTCGTCTATGACCAAAGTGTTATTCAACGTATGTTGCTTGTTTTCCAGGTTTGGGAGTTTTCTAGATATCTTATTGTTATGGATTTCTAATTAAATACTATTGTGGCCAGAGCATATACTCTGTATGATTTTGATCCTTGGATATATATTGAGACTTGTTTTATGATGCAGCATATGGTCTATGTTGGTGAAAATGCAATAAGCACTTGAAAAGAATGCTTTCTGAAGTTGTTGGAAGTCATACTCTACCAATGATTTGGTTTGAAACCCCAATCTGGGTCTTGCCCTCTTCCCACATTGCAGACATTCACCTAATACTTGGAACCTGACTACCAGTGCTTCAAACCCACTTGCCTAGGAAAGGTTGGCCTTGTGCTGCAAGATGTAGCAGCTTGTTCTCTGAAGCTATCAGAACTAGCTACAGGCCCTGGGTCTTGCTGAGACTTGTGGAGCACTGTCTGAGGCCACCCAGGTGCATCGCAGGCCTTTGCCTGCTGTAGCAGGTGCTGGAGTGCACCTTAGATAGCCCTCATCTCCTTCAGGACAGTATTGCTCATTCCCTCAGCTGTTGAGAGTTCTGGAGGCTAATAGACCAACCAGTGTCTCTCTTGGAGTCTCTGAGTGGAACCAATAAATATAAGCTTTCTTTAAACCAATAAATATCTCACTTTCTTTAGGAAAATGAGAAATAAAACAAAGGGCAAGACTGATGCGAGCCAAACTACCAACTTTCTTTTATTTTTAAACAGCTTTACTGAGGCATAATTGACATATCATAACATTCACCTGTTTTAAGGCACAGTTCAATTACTTTTAGTAACATTTTAGAGTTGTGTGACCATCATCACAATCCTGTTTTGGAACATTTCTATCATTCCTAAGGAATTCCTCATGCTCATCAGTTGCCACCCCTTATTCCAAACCCCCCAGCTCTAGGAAGCCCCTAATTGATTTTCTGACTCCACAGATTTGATTTTCTGGACACCATATAAATAGAATCATACAATATGTGGTCCTTTGTATCCGTCTTCTTTCACTTAGCTTAATATACGTTTGTGGTTCATCTATGTTGTAGCATGTATCAATATTTCGTTCCTTTTAGGTGTCAAATCCTATTAAATTGTATGGATGGCTCCCATTAGTTTATTCACTTATCAGTTGATAGACATTCAATGTGTTTCCACTTTTTGGACTATTATGGATAAATCTGATGTAAATATTCACATTCACTTGTCGTGCTGACATACATTTTTACTTCTTTGCAGTAGACAGGTAGGAGTGAAACTGCTAGGTCATATGGTAAATGTATCTTTAATGTTTTAAGAAACTACCAAATTGTTTTCCAATGTGGCTGCCTGTCCCATCAATAATGCATGAGTATTTCAATTTTTCACATCATTGTGTTTTCAGTTCCTCCAATTGTTACTGTCTTTCCTTTTTATTATAGCATTCTAGTGGGTAAGAAGTGGTATCACATTGTAGTTTTGATTTGCACTTCCCTGCTGACTGATGATGCTGACCATCTTTTCATGTGCTTTATTGGCCATTCCTACACTTTTTGGTGAAATGGCTATTCAAATATCTTCCCCATTTTAAAATTGGGTTATTTATCTTTTTGTTGTTTAATTGTAAGTATATTTTATATTATAGATACAATTCTTTATCAAATACATGATTTGAAATTTTTTTCTTAGTCTGTGGCTTATCTTTTCATTTTTTTATTGATGTCTTTCAAAATGCAAACATTTTTAGTTTTGATCATGTCTCATTTTTAAACTTTTTCCCTTTGACCAGGAAAAGGTGGGGTTTTGCCTAATTCAAGGTCATGAATATATTAATCTATGCTTTCTTCTAAGATGTGCATAATTTAACCCTTACATTTAGGCCTATAATCAATTTTGAGGGAATTTTTGCTTATGTGTGAGTTAATGGCCTAAATTCTTATGGCCACTTGATTTTGACAAAAGTAAATTCAATGAAGGAAAAGGATAGTCTTTTAAAGAAGTGATACTGAGACAACTGAATCATCTACATGCTCAGGGAATTTCAGCATGCTGTGTAAAGTGATGCCAATCTGAGTCATACACTATTGGCATCAGAGTTTGTGAAGACTTTCTCGATATGATAACCATGTGTTAAATAATATGCTGTAGCTAGTTCTCCTCTCTTCCTTTTCCACAGGCGGCCACAATGTCCTGTTTTGCTCCAGCCATATCCCTGAGACACCAGGGTGAAGTTGAGGGCCTGAGTCAACGGATTTGGCTGTATTGGGTGTCTGGTCACCAGGGCTACTTTTAACTCTGGTAAAGTGGATATTATCGCCATCGATGACCCCTTCATTTAGCTCAACTACAAGGCCTACATGTTCCAGTATGATTCCACCCATGGCGAATTCCATGGCACTGTCAAGGCTGAGAATGGGAAGCTTGTCATTAATGGAAAGCTAGATCCTACCAAAATCAAATAGGGCGATACTGGCACTGAGTACATTGTGGAGTCCATCAGTGTCTTCACTACCATGGAGAAGGTTGGGGCTTGCTTTCAGAGGGGAGCCAAAAGGGCCATCATCTCTGCCCCAGCTGCTAACGTCCCCAGGTTTCTGATGGATGTGAGCCATGAGAAGTATGACAACAGGTTCAAGATCATCAGCAATGACTCCTGTACCACCAACTGTTTAGCACCCCTGTCCAAGGTCATCCATGACAATTTTGGTATCGTGGAAGGACTCGTGATCATGGTGCACACCATCACTGCCAGCCAGAAGACTTTGGATAGCCCCTCTGGGAAGCTGTGGCATGACGATCACAGGTCTCTCCAGAATATCATCCCCGCATCTACTGGTGCTGCCAAGGCTGTGGGTGAGGTCATCCTTGCCCAAATGCAAGGACCCTATAAATCCCCAATGGAATAAATCCTCTGGAAGCACTTTCCTTTCTTATGGCACTCTGCACATTTACTGTGCACAGCACCTAACATGTCTCATATTTCATCTCCCCCACTGGACCACTAAACTGGGAGCAGAAATGGAAAATTGGAAGTATTAGTCCTGGGTCCAGCCTGCAGACTTGTTTTGTTAGTTTGCATGCTTTTCCCCCCACAAAGTTTAATTTATTTAAAAAATTATAACCTATGATAAACATACAGAAAATTTGAGAAAATGGTATAATAACATATATTTGTGGCATATCACCAAGAATGAACAGATTTGCTGCTGACACCTGTCCACCCACTTTTTAAGGTATAAAATATTACACATACAATTTGAACACTACCCCATGCATCCCCCTCCTGCAGCAGGTCTTCACGCTGCTTTTTCAAATTTAGAGTTAGTCATTAATATTTAGAAATCAAGAGATTTCACACAAGAGTTGGCCTCTGGCCACTTTCCTGTCAGTTCTCACCAGGACATCATGGGCTCCGCACCCCACCCCAACCACTGGACCCTGCCTGTCAGGTCTGTGGCTGACTCTTGCACCTGAGCTCCCTCATCTGCCCTCTGTACACGCTTCCCAGAAGGTGGGGGCAAGGAGCTCCTCATACCCCTCATCCTCCTCTGCACCATTGCCCAGGCTGCGTTCCCTACCTGGACCCAGGAATCTAAGTCCTCATTCAAGCCCCATGGGCTCCTGTGGCTTTTCCCAGTGACTTCAGCTTAGCTCCATTCTCTGTACTTATATACATCTAGTCTTTAGGCCAGTGGCTGAGCACTTTCCTGTGTGTTCATTCATTCCTTGCCAGGTAAACCGCAGAGCCACCTAGGTGGAGAAAAGGGACCCAAAAGTCCCCACCAGGTCAGGTTTCCTTGTTCTTCCCTCTGAGCCTTTGATGTCTCCATGTGGTGCATCGCATGAGGTGCAGCAGAGCTTGGTGCAGGAGCTCTGCCTACCTGGCACCCTCAGGTATATGAAGGGATGGCACATTTTGTTGGCTACAACACTCCAAGGCCTTTTTGCTTCTTCAGTTGAGACTGCTGGCCCATCCGATTCCCTCGTCTCTTTCTTCAAACACCCCTTGCTGCCTGTTGGAGATATGTCCTTTTCCTACCTTCCTTGTGAAAATTGCCCTGGTGGTTTTATAGGTGTGAAGTTTCACTAGGCTGACACACAAGGGGGAAGGGCTCTTGCCCCAGATTCCACCACCCTCCTATCCTTCCTATGCTGTTTGTCATCAATATATGGACTGTGTGCATGCCTTACAAGAGCTGGACGGATGCTGACTCTTGTATTTTGTGCAGCGGCCAGGGAAGAATGGGTGTTCCATTTTTCACCTTACCCCACTGCCTGGGGCCACTGCACCCTGATGTTCATGCTGATCATCTGTTCCTTGGGGTTTTGAAGGTGGTGGAAACTTGTTCGTCTGAGCCAGAATTACTTCCTTTTTCCCTTCAGAACAAACACTGAAACTATCTCCTTTGCAAGAATCAAATTCAGCTGATTAATGATCTGTACATTTCCTGTGTAAGAAAGAAGCCATTTTGATGTTGGATGTGACTCTCTTCATTGCTGTCACACCCAGGTCCAGAGGGAGACAGCTTCCCTTCCCCACGCTCTGGACCCACAGCAACCTCCTCACCTGCTTCAGTTCAACTCTGTCCCTGACGCCCCTGACAGTTTTTGTTTTTTTTTTTTTAAACCTATTGCTTCTTTGGTTGGTTAATGACTACATCATCATTGAAGTCCCCACATTTGTCTTGATTGGCCTCCTTTTCTCATGGAAATTGAGAAGAATGAGAGGGCTAGTGATTAAAGGGGAGATTGAGGTAAGAAAATAGGCTAAAGAAATGGAAGAATAAAGGACGAAAAGATGTGAATGAAAGAAGAGAAAGAAATGAGAGAGAGGCAGTTAAATCTGGGGATGTGGGATAGTAGGCTTCCACTTCTTGGGCTGAATAGAAGGTACATTTTCAGGGAAGCTCATGCTTGTTCCCTTTACTTGCCCAGGAACCCATGGTGTGGCTCATTGTGTGATTTGAAAGGGTGAAATGCAAGGTTATGTATGACCAAAATGGCCAGCACACATATAGCCAGGTGTGTTCTAGAGACCTTCAAGGAAATTGGCACTGAAGCTGGTGGAGTCTGGATGCATTTTTGCATCTCTTTACCCTGCTCAGGCCCATTTGGTCAGGCATGCAAACCCTTCCAGATGGCCCTCAGGGAATCTTCTGGGTTCTAGAGAGTCCCTTGCATGGGATTGGGCGAAAAGAGGTAAACCAAATGAGCTGGGGCTCTCCCAAGAATTGGCACCCCATGCTCCAGTACTCTGCTGTACCACTGACAAGACCAGTTCAGGCTGTGTGATTCAGTGGAAAGATAAGGACTTTCAAGGCCGACTCCCTGGTAGAAGCCTTAGTCACTAATCAGTGTGACTGTGAACAAGTTTCCTCACTGATAAAATGAGAATAGTCGCTCTCACCTCATAGGTTTGTGAAAGAAAATTATGTTTTGGGACCCCAAACTCATTTAGCCAAAGGGAAAACTCAAGCTGGGAACTGGGTCATGCAAACCTGCCTCCCCCTTTTGGTGCCTAAATAAGATGGCTACAAGATGAAAAGCTACATGCCTCCCCCGTATTTTGCCCACAAGGAAATTTCCAGTGAGCTGTTAAAACTTCATCATGGCAATGCAAATTGATAACTTATCTTTACAGGTGCAGTCACCCAGGATGCCAGACACAAATGCATATCTGATTGTTCCCCTACCCAGTGTTTTCTGTGTTACCTTATGTATAATGCAGATTCCCTGCATTTTCCCTCTGCCTCTTTTATGTCATCTTATGTAAAAAGTGCAGATTCATTGAGCCAGACAAGGGCATGAATGGCTATTTTTCCCTCCCCTCCCCTTACATAAAAACTGTGTGCTTCTCAATATCCCACTCTTTCCCCCTTTGAATTTGGAACACTCAAAATCATCTACAGAGAAAGGCATAGACCTGTCTCTTGGATGTGCCCTTAACTTTAACAAATGAAGCTGCTAAAATGATTGAGATTTGTCTCATCATTTTCCTCGACTGACATCTGGTAACCATGGAGGGATCCTGAGTGAAAGTGACCTGGCCTGTGGAAATTTGCCTCTCAGTGCTTGGTACCTGCTTGGGCACTTTATATCCCAAAATGACAGGAAGATTTGCCGAAGTCAGGCACCTCTTTCCTCCAGGGATCCCTTCTAATATTTTTCAGTTAGGGGTCTGAGGTTTATTTGCTGTTAAAACAACTCGCCTTTTTTGTGGTAGTTCTTTTACTTGCTTCCATCAAGGAAAGTGAGCTCATCTGCTTCTGCATCGGTGGAGAGTGGTCTCTGGCTTGGGCCCCATCACTAGGTAAGAAACTGGTTTGGGATTGCGTCTTATCAATTCTTTTAAATGACTAAAATTAACATTAACAACAAGCTGGTGTTACTTTCCTGCTTACACTTAGAGCGCTCAGTGTGATCATTGTTAGTTTTGCTTAACTGTTTTGTTGTTTGTTTCTGTGTGTGTGTGTATGTGTATATTTCAGTCCCTTCTCCTGTCGGATTTGACCAACTCTGAACCCTCTAGCTCATGAGTGTGGAATCTTCCACTATGAAGAAATAGAGCACCTTGCTCCCCTCAGCCTTTCGAGGCATTCACAGGTGACAGAATCATGTGAGGGTGTCTGAGAGAAACACTCCCTGAAATGTGCCCTAAATAGGTTTCTCCCTCAGAAGAACATACTTAGGGTCTAATCTCAACCAGCAGGTGCATATAAGGAAGTGATCCCTCCTGCACCTTGAGCCCCTGACACATTGTGCCAGGTAACCATGACACAGGTGGACCAAACTGGGTCAAGGGGTAATGGATCTGAAAAGCTAGACCTGCAAGCAGCACATTTTGCGCCCGACACATGTCCCAGCTTGGTCAAATTTGAAGAGGAGCTCTAAATTATGGCGAACAAGGCCTCTAAGATCCCAGCAGCTGCAAAACATAAAGTTCCCCCTTTAGGAACTCTAGCTAGGTATATGCAAAATACTTATGGCAAATGATCGTGCAAATATTTAACCGAGTGGACCACTGTAACTAAAGCAGATTCTAAGTTACAATGGCCTAAATGGGAATCTTTTGAGATGCCCAAATTAGTGTACCTGTGAACCAGGATGGAAACGCAGGCACAAAAACCAAGCAACCGGAATGGGAGAACTATTTTCAGTGGTATCTAGAAAGTAACAAAAATGGGGAAGACCACCTCATCTCCCTACAGGAGGGGAACAAACAACTTAGGAATGCTAATAAAGAACTCTCTAATATTTTATCTCTCTTAAAGAAATCCTTGGGATCCCCTAATTCCCGTTTGGCACCTTCCCCACCTCCACCTACACTCCCACTCTACCCTGACCTCTCTGAGCTTCCCAGACCAGATCTGTCCCCACCTTCCCCTGTATGTTTAACACTTGCTCAACAGAAGGCAGTCGGGAATCTGACTTCAAAGACCCCACCCACTGAGGATTCCCTGACAACGCCAATGGCAGTCTCATCTGGAAGTTGTGGGAAAGGGGGACCCCGCAGGGACTTCTCTCATGATTTCCTCATTTTGGGAACAACCAGTAACAGGTAGGGGAACCCCAGCAGTTGTCTACCAACCCTAGTCAAAGGCTGAATTATGAGGCATAAAGAATTTGCTGACCCCATAAAGATCCAATTGGGTTTGCCCGAGAAGTTGAGCTTATTATCAGAACCTATGACGAAGGTCACTCAGATCATTATCAGCTAGTCCACATTGTTGGTTTCAGAAGCTAAAGCTAAGGAATGGCTGGAAAAAGCACAATGGTCAGACCCTATAGCAGATTTGACTCCTGAAGGCACAATAGAGCCACAATAATCAGCCCCCACAAATCCAGAAGACGGGTGTAAAGACGCATGGGAACAAACAACCACTCTGTTAAATATTATTCCTTCAGTGTTCCAAAGGGTTGTGGATTGGAATAAAATCCAACAATGCTGCCAGAACCCAAGTGAATCAGTTTTAGATTATTTCACATGTTCTGATAAACTTTAAGACAATATTGCGGGATGTCAGCTGATTGCTTTGAAAACACCAAAAATGATATATTACTAAATGCAAATTTCTTAAACAGACTAGATGATGATTCAGCCACCCTTGTAAAACACCACATGACAAATTGGGCCACAGCCAGAACTAATGAACTAGTTAACTTATCTGACCAGTTATCTCGCATTATGATAAAGAAGAAAAAAAGAAGATGGCCTGAGTTATGCATTTACAGCTAAAGCAATTAACTTCTCAAACCTGTCAGTCCCAGAAAGATTTTAAGCTCCCTCAGTCTGAGAACTCTTTCCTCCCAGTCTGTTACTACTGTAAAAGACTGGGACACCTCAAGAGGGATTGCCTTAGGCCGAAGCAAAAGAAAAGGCCAGAGAATGCAACTCGGGAAGACTAGGGATTCTCTGAGGAAATATAGGGGTTTCACCTCTTTAAGTATTCTACCCTGACAAACAAATTGGGAGAGATTAATATAATAATAAACTATGAGGTTAAAACTGCCTTGACACAGGCACGACTATTTCTCTGGTAAATCTCACCTTATTTAGAAACCCAAAGAAACCCTTACCCAACTTTAAACAATAACCTCTATGACAGGAAGCCATAGACAGAATTGCCCCTATTATACAAGATTATCTGAAAAAAAAAAAGGCTCATTATTCCCTGCATAAGCCCCTGCAACAGCCCTATATTTCCTGTAAAAAATCCAAGCGGGAGAGGATGAAGATTTGTGCATGACTTGAGAGCAATTAACAATATTGTAATACCCAGGCACTAAGTAGTCCCCACACCACTTACCCTTCTATCAGCCATAGCCACTACCAGCCAGTATTTCTCAGTTGTGGATTTCTGCGGTGCCCTTTTTTAGTATTCCCGTAGATCCAGACAGCCAGTATTTGTTTGCCTTTACTTGGAAAGAATGGCAATATATGTGGACTGTAATGCCCGAAGCGTATACAGAAAGTCTCACTTACTTTTCCCAAATATTAAAAGCTGATTTAGAGGATTTAATTTTTCCCCAGGGCTCAACATTCATCCAGTACATGGAAGACTTTCTCCTTTGTTCAGGCACACTATCTTCCTCCCAGGAAGATAGTCTGTATTTACTCAAACAGCCACCAAAGGACACATCGTGTCCAAAGACAAATTTCAGGTATGCTTACCACAAGTTAAGTGTTTGGGGCATATTATCTCAGTCAGAGGACTGAGTATTCACCCTGACAGAGTGAGAGGAATTTCAGCTTTCCCAGTGCCCATCACTATGAAACAACATAGAGGATTTTTGGGCCTGCCAGGCTGTTGTAGAAACTGGATACCAATTTTCTCCCTTATGGCTCAACCTCTGTATTCATACCTAAAAAATGAACAACCTGATCCCATCATGTGGACTTCAGAGGGACAAGCAGCTGTACAACAAATAAAGGAAATTCTAACTAATGCCTCAGCATTAGGACACTCAAACTATTGGCTTTCTCCCTTTTTGTGCATGAAACTGGAGGTACTGCATGCAGGATACTGATCCAGAAACATGGTGATCATCGGAGACCTATAGCCTACTATAGCCAACACCTGGACCCTGTGGGTTAAGGGCTGCCTCCTGTGTGAGAGCAATAGTAGCCATGGCCCTTCTGTACAAGTCTGTTGAAGAAATAATTATGGGTTCCCCCCTTACCATTTTTGTGCCACATTCTCTTAAGACCCTTCTAAACTCTCATCATACTCAGCATCTGTCAACTTGTTAGCCTCTTATGAAATTTTGCTTTTATCATTTCCCAATATTACTATTTCCCGCTGTAATAATCTTAATGCAGCCACTCCCTTGACAGGCCCTACCAAGGAAACCCCTCATGACTATGTTCTGATGACTGACCAACTTCTCACCCCCAGGACAGACCTATAAGAGACGCCACTGGATAATACTGAGATAGAATCATACACAGATGGGTGTTATTTAAGAGGAGAGGAAGGAAATTTTAGAGCAGGATATGCTGTGGTTTCTGTACCAGAGGTAACTAAAGCCAGTCTTCTTCCCCAAGCCAGATCAGCTCAAGTGGCCGAATTGATTTTCCTGATCCAAGCTTGTCAATTGTCAAAAGACAAGGCTTTTGCCATTTACACTGAGAGCCACTATGCTTTTGGGTTGCTCATGACTTTGGGATGCTATGGAAAGAGACAGGATATTTAACCTCCTCAGGAAAATCCATAAAAAATGGACACCAATTATGAGAGCTGTTAGAAGCTATTTTGAAACCAAAACGTTTGGCAATTATAAAAATCCCAGGTCACTCAAAATTAGACACCATAGAAAGTCAGGTAACCAGCTGGCTGACACTACAGCTAAAAGAGCAGCATCCAAGCCACCAGCCCCAGTACAAGAAATGGCCATAAAACCCAAAAACACTTAGAAACATGTTGAAAGAAACCCAGAGCTCCTACAAAAGGGAAATCTACTTGGAAACAGGCAGGGAAATACTTGGCTCCCAAAACTGAAATATGAAGTGGACCTAATAATAAACCTGTTATTCTAATTGGATGTCAGGTGCCCCTTGTGGAATATGTTCATAATCTAAGCCATTGGAATCCAGATAAAGTAATATCCTGGTGTTAACAGTATTACTGGAAACCATCCTTCACAGTGGCACAAAAAGTTTACTCTTGTTATGTTATTTGTCCCAAATATAACCCACGAAAGCCCCTCCATGGGGCCCAGGGTCATTTTTCCTTTCTGATTGGACCTCTTGAAGTATGGCACCTTGATTTTATCCAGCTGCCATCATCTCAAGTTTACAGGTATGTTTTAGTAATAGTCTACATGTTTTCCCATTGGGTTGAACCTTTTCCCTGTAGGCAAGCAACAGCTATGGCGGTTGGAAAAATCCTACTAGAAAAAAGTATCCCACTGTGGGGAGTCCCCTGTGAACTTCACAATGACAGGGGAACTCACTTTACTGGCCAGGTTATTCAAAATATTTGAAAAATTTGGCCCATATCTCAGCATTTCCATTGTGCCTACCATCCCCAATCCTCAGGCCTGGTGGAGAGAACCAATGGAATAATTAAAACACAATTGGCTAAGTTCACAGAGGCATTTTCCCTCCCCTCATTCGAAGCACTCACCCTAGTGCTGCTTACACTCTGATCAACCCCTTTTGGAAAACATCAATTGTCCCCTTATGAAATTATAGTGGGAAGGCCCATGTATATGGGAACAAACATAACAAATCCAACTTTTCTCAAGGGAGATATACTGCAATATTGTGAGCGACTTTTTTTATCACCTTAAAAAAGTCAAGATTTGGTAAGAAATTCCTTTCATAGTGTGCTCCCTGAAGATAAGGCACCTGGTCACAATCTGCAGCCCAGAAATTTTGTCTATTGGAAAAGACATCTAATAAAGAATTCCCTTCAACCCCGATGGAAGGGCCCATACCGGGCACTATTGACTAATCCATGTGCCACAGAATTAGAGGGTATAGACTCTTGGATTCACATCACTCATCTTAAAAAGTCACAATCTCCTGAGCTGGCTGTAACTTCCACCAAAGACCTTCACCTCAAGTTCACTAAACATCGACTTTTAACCCAGGATTAGAAGCAGATGACAGCTATGCTATTGTGGACTGCTTAAACCCAAGATACAGGACCAGGCCTGTATACAAAGAAATGTCTATGTTCATTGTACAATAACCATTACAATGATTGTCCTAGATATACTGGCAACTGCTGTCTTATACAGAACAGGGCACTTGCTTTGTCTAATTTAACATCTGTTAGTAACTAAAATGAATTTCACAACCTTGCTATTATTAATTATATATCCCTACATCTTCTTGCCACTGATGCCCATGAAACAAATCTGTTTCTGCAATAGGCTCAGGATTATGCAGACAGATTACAAAAGGACACCTGCTGGATATGTGGGCTCATGCCTATCTCCAGTGGCTGTGGCCTGCCATGGTGAGTATCCTTCTTCCAAGGTCAGGACTGGATAGAATACCAAAAATGTATTACATCACAGAAACGGTCTGGTATTCTTAGTGCTGGCATAACAAAAGACAATATATATAGTTGGCCCATTAAAAACACTCTTAAGAACAAGGGACATAGCAAAAGTTTTTCAATGGAAAAGACCAGCTCATTTGCTCTCACTTTAGCATCTCCCCAAGTAAAAGAGAAGGTGGTAACCATGCCTCAAACAATGACCCATTTTCAGAATGGAATAATACAAATTTGGGATGGATTTATCTGGCTCACCCATTCTTTGGCCAACTTAGCAAAACAGTATGAGAGATGTGGGGTGGATACCTGGAGAACATTGAGACCACATTATCATATTATAAGACACTGACTGGCATGCCAACAATTGGGTGCAGCAACCAGATATTTATTGGCTAGCTCCAAATGGGACATATTGGCTATGTGGCACTACCTTATGGCCATGGTTACCTCCAAGGTGGTTAGGATGATGTTCCCTAGGTTATGCTTGGGCACAAGGACAAGTAATTCAGACCCTGCCAAAACCAGCAAACCTTTTTCATTTACACTCTTATTGGATGTGTTCAGTATTCCAATGGCATGATCATTTAGCTTCAATCTTTGTACCACAGATAGGTATTGAAGATGTTATATGGCATATAGAGGCCTTAACGAATTACACCCAAAAGGCCCTGAATGATAGCCGCATGAGTATCCCCTTGCTAAACAATGAGGTTATGCTTATGAGGAAAGCTGTGCTGCAAAATCATATGGCTTTAGATACTCATGACAGCACAAGAGGGGACCTGTGCCATCATAAAACTAAATGTTGTGTGTATGTTCCAGATGAATCAAAGAACATAATGCAACATATGACTGCTATGAAAACCCAGATAACCAACCTGTCAGATCCAAAACCCTCACTAATCGATTGGTTGAGTGGTTGGCTTGGATCCTGGGGAACATGGTGGTAGAAACTATTGTTTATAATAGGAATAATAGTAATAATTTGTGTTCCATCCTGTTTTTGCTTACAATGTTGTTATGGTATGTGCTTGCATGTAAGTCAACGTGCAACTAAAAGGCCCAAAGAATTGCTCTAATTGAGGAGGCAGTAATATACCCTCACCCAGCTTCCAGGTTTGCTTTCCTTTTGTTGCTATAAATCTGGCCTAGGTCCCTATATATTTTCTTTTCTCTCTCTCTCTCTCTCTTTCTGGTTTCCTCTCATTTTCCCTTCTTCCACCCCACCCCTCCATTTTTTTTTTTTCTTCATGGGACAAGATTTCCTAGGAATAAGCCTTCCTAGCAAGGTGAGACATAACCTCCCAGGAATGAGCCTTCCTAGTGATGTGGGACCTGAACTTCTAGGAATAAACCATCCTAGCCATGAGAAACCAGCAAAAAAAAAAAAAAAGAAAAAGCAACCAGAGGCCAGGAATGCATATTTCTTTCAAAATGCAGTACTTCAAAAGAGTTTAGAGAAAAAAAGGGGGAAAACGTGAAAAAAATTAAATTATGGGGCCCCAATCTCATTTAGCCAAAGGGAAAAATCAAGCTGGGAACTGGGTCAGGCAAACCTGCCTCCCCCCTTTTGGTGCCTAAACAAGATGGCTACAAGATGAAAAGCTACATGCCTCCCCCATATTTTGCCCACAAGGAATTTCCTAGTGAGCTGTTAAAACTTCACCACGGCAATGCAAATTGATAGCTTATCACTACCGGTGCAGTTACCCCAGACACAAATGCCTATCTGATTTTTCCCCTACCCCATTTTGTCTGTTATTTTATGTAAAATGCAGGGAATCTGCATTTCCCTCTGCCCCTACTGTTTATGTCATCTTATGTAAAAAATGCAGATTCACTGAGCCAGACAAAGGCATGAATGACTATTTTTTTCCTACCATCCCGTTACATAAAAACTGTGTGCTTCTCAATATCCCTCTCTTTCCCTCCTTTGAATTGGAGCCCTCAAAATCATCTTTGGAGAAAGGCATAGGCCTGTCTCCTGGGCACATCTTCAAGTGAATCTCCTAAAATGATTGAGACGTGTCTTGTCATTTTCCTCAATTGACAGGTTTCTGATGAGTATTAAATGAGATAATATATGTCATATGTAGTTCATTTCATACATGCCTAAAACATAGTAGAGCTTATTCAGTATTCATCTGCCCTTTCTGTACCTCCTACTACTCTGCCCACCCCCCAACCCTGGTTTCATGCTACTCTTCTAAGTTGGAGATGGTGATAGTTGGAAATGAAAGGAAAAGGATGAAAGTATGTATTAACAGAAACCATGCTTCTCTCCATGTTAAGCATTAAAACATTTATTGCTCTTTATGTTGAACTGTGTGAAGGAATAGGAGATTAAAGAGAAAAGAAATGCTTTCTCATTTAAGAGGGGAAATGGAGCTCTATTAGTCAAAAGAGAACCTCAAGTTAAGAGAGACCACAATTGTTCAGAATCAGCCACTGAGATTTGGTAACAGCAAATCATATTGTTTGTCTTCTGGTGTATGATTAGGACAGAAAGTTCTGGTTGGGCCAGTGACTGTGCAGATTTTGATGACATGAAGAAGACAGTAAGTTGGGCATTGTGTGAAAGAGAGGCAGCAGGACCTGGGCTTGTGCCCCTGTTGCCTTCTGTATGAAGCCAGGTGGGTGGAGTTTGATGACATTTCCTAACAATACCCACATGCACATCTCTGTCATCCTTAAATCACTGAGTCTTGGACTTCAGGGTCTCCTTGTGCCGGTCCACAAGGGAACCAACCCACTCCACGGTTTTCTGCTTGGCTTCCTCCCAGCTGTAGAGTGGCTTATACGCCAGATCTCGCTGAGCCTTCTTGTAAGAGAAGGTGAACACACTATTTGATAATGTGACTGTGTGGCGGTTGAAGGGGGGTTGATAGGAGTAAATTGGGCTGAGTAGGAAGCTCACTACTTCCAGCAGGAAGCCAATCCAGTACATCAGGGTTAAAGGAAGGCTCCATCTGGAATCAAGGCGGAGGCCAAACTCTTTGCTCAGGATGTAATTAAGGTTATCATAGCTTTGGTGAGGCGTGTCATCTGAGATGTAATAGAATTGACCTCGGACACTTGGGGCCTTCTTGGGGTCCCGCAGAGCCCTCAAGGCCAGAATGTGGGCCCAGGCCACGTTGCCAACATAGACTGGGTTGACTGTAGAGAACTTTCCAACACTTGACAGGATCCCATTGTTGTTCAGGGCCTCATTTATACTGGCAGAAAGGAATGGGCCTCCTTCCCCATAGATATATGTGGGTCTTAACGCACAAGTGTACAAGGTATCACCATTTTTTAGATTCCACCCATTAGCCGCCAGCACAGCCTTCTCAGCAAGCTTTTTGCTGTACGGGTATGGAGTGGGCCATGTGTTTTCCAGAGGCTCTTCTTCGTGGCCGTTCTGGATGATTTCCTTGTAGGAGTTGGGCCCGGCTACCTCTATGCTACTGGTGTAGATGAAGACTGGCACACTGGCTTGGACACAGGCCTCCAACAGTAGCTGGGTACCTGCCCACGAAGAGCATGATGACAGTGTCAGGAAATATCCCAAAGGAGCTGCAACCACATGCACAGATCCATGTGCCCCACTCCCCACTCCCAAGTGCAGTGGTTATAACAGACTCAGGGTGCATTCTTCTGTGGCTCTGACTGAGATTGGGTCATGATACAGCCGTAGGAAAAACACAAAAATAAAAAGAAACTGACATTTGGGTTCTAGAAAGCAAGAATTTCTAGACTTTTGGGTTTCATGGACCTATGTTTGTGTGTGGTGTGTGTGTGTGTGTGTGTATGTATACGTGTGTGTATATATATATATATATTATAAAATATATATATACATATATATATACATATATATATACATATATATATACATATATATATATACATATATATACATATATATATATACATATATATATACATATATATATATACACACACACTTTAATTTTGGAAAAGGACCTAGGGTAATCACTTTATTTTTTGCCAAGTAAGGATATTGAAAAAGTATGATTTGTCATCAATACAATTAAAGACAGATCATTTAAAATCTAAAAAATCAGGAGGCTATACTCTGAGAATATGAACAGTCCCAATCAGTCCTTAGGCAAGAAAGGGCAGTGGAAGAATTTGTGTTACACACACAAATTCACAGTTGAATATAGGCAATATACACTCTTAGATATACATAGAATTGCTGGTATTTTTCTCATTTTGCAATGGATTAATAAAACTTTGTCACAAAGACCATCCCTGGAGTCATCGAGCAAACAGTGGGTTGTGGGGAGATGCTGGAAACCCACACTCCTTTCCTGATTGTGTGTTCCCTGGAAAAGCTGCTTCCAATTCTGGCTATGACTCTGTTACCCAGTTATATAAAGTGGGGGTGATAAACCTTCCTTTAAATCCTGCCCTGGCATTTCCTGTGGAGCCTGGTGGAGGACTGGGGAGGGAGTGTGCCCTCTGCTGATAACACCTGCACTGGGAAGACCTGTCAGCATCACCTGAGCTGTGTGGAAGCAAAGCTCATGGAGGTATCTGGAGTGTCTTCCCTTGAAGAAGGAAGGAATTTCCTAGGCAAAGGATCATTTTTATTTACTTATTTTGTATTCTTAGCCACTTTTAAAGTCTCTGTGCAATTTGAGTTTCTGGAGAGACAGCCTCATGAAATGGCCATCATTGTGAAGTATTTTCTAAGCCCGGGAGTGATAATGGTTTTAAGAAACAGACGCCTCTAACACTCCCCTTGTCATTTCTTATCCCTTGTTTTTGGGAGCTGTGGAAAGTCAAAATTAAAACAAAAAACTATTCACTCTTAGCACACTCCTTGAACTATAGCGGTACTTAGGGGTATGGCTATGTAGAAACTGGAAAGGTTTTTTTTTTGTTTGTTTTTTTAGACAGTGCTGGAGACTCAAAAGCAATTAGTTGCTTTATAAAAGGAGTTTGGGTAGTCTGAATGTGGAGGGTCAGGCCAGCAGTGGGGAGCTGTGTTTTGAAGAGACTGGGCTCTGGGAATCAGAGGGTGAGACTGCATGGCAAGATTCCTTTAAAAAATGTGGATCAAATGAGGGTGCACTTTGGGCACCTGGCAGGAAATGGCTCTGTAATAGTAGACCCTGTGGTGAGCTGAAGAGATTGTATTCTGGACACTGGGAAACTCTTTTTGTTAAGAAAATATTATGGGAAGGCATGTGCTGGATAATTCTGTCCTGACAGACCTCTGTGAACCAGCTTTGCTAGTTCTCTTGAGAGGACTTCTTTGAGGTGGGCAGGAAGACTCTGAATGTTCTCATCAGCCTACACACAAGGTTCAAAATGATGACTATGGTGGCACCTGGAAGGTCTGATTCTGGCCCGGGGAGCCAAGGAGTAGCTGGATATCGTGAATTTGAAGTTGGAGTTTAGTTGACTTTTGATTGGGGCCACAGTAGAAAGAGCTTCCACAGCCTTTGGAGTCACACAGGAGTGAGTTTAAAGTCTAACTCTCCTACTTACTTACTTACTTTTGGGGCCTTGGACAAGTTACTTGCTGTCTCTCAGCCCTAGTTTTCTCATCTAAAAAACTGAGGTTACCAGCCTTGAACTCCCCAGTCAGTAGTGATCAGCAAAGGCACTTGGCCAAGAGCTCAGCAGGTGTTCAATGGAGTGACTTCTCTTCCCTTTCTTGTCCTTCTTTCTGATCCTCATTTAACCAACTTGTTTTATCTCCTCCCCAGGCTACTGTACCTTTCACATTGACATTCATGATGGACTCTCTGTGAGTGACACCAAAGACATCAATGATACAGGCGGTGTGGATGACGACCGAGACGTCCTGGCAGGCTCTTTTCAGGAATGGCTCATCCAGAATGTCTCCTTCAAGTACAGTCAGCTTGGTCCTGTTCTGGAGCTCTGTGTGAACACAGGTCAGGTCATTGGAAAGATTTCTGGATCTGGCTGGGAAGTTTTCTGATAAAGGCGATGTTACATAGGTGCTCAAAGAGATTAGAGTGTGGGTATTAGAGTGGAGGGTGTACTACATTCCATAAAAGGAACAAGTAAACAAAAGCACAGAAATCAGCATGTGTAGCAGTTTATTGGGAAAGAGCAAACATCTGTTTCTACCCCATCTTATTCCAGAAAAGTAATGTGAGCAGTGAATTGTCACACATCCGTGAAATATAAGCATTGCTAGAGTCATGGGAGACTCACCAAATTTTTTATGGAGAATAGAGTGATTGTGGAGAGTTGGGTATAAGAGGGAAAGTTTGAATTTAATTCTGTAGGCGATGAGGAATCATGTATAGAATTATGATTTTGGGTCTCCAGCACCATGTCAAAGAAAAACCCTTATTTATGTTGGAATAAGTAGAGAAACAGGCCGGGTGCAGTGGCTCATTCCTGTAATTCCAGCTCTTTGGGACTCTGAGGTGGTGAATCACTTGATTTCTGGAGGTGGAGGTCTGGCTGGAAAACATGGCAAAACCCTGTCTTTACTAAAATTACAAAAATTAGCTGGGCGTGATGGTATGTGCCTATAGTCCCAGCTAATCACAAACCTGAAGCAGGAGGAAGGATGGAGTCTGGGAGGTGGAGGTTGCAGTGAATTGAGATCATGCCACTGCATGCTAGCCTCAGTGGCAGAGAAAGACCCTGTCTCAAAATAATAATAATAATAATAATAATAATAATAATAATAGTAATAATAATAAAAGATAAACAGACGCAGAGTTGTGGCGTAGGAAGTTTACCTTGGCTTGAGGATATAAAACAGACTGGTATAGGGGAAATGAGAAAGCCAGGTGATCAAGAGATTAATCAGAATGTCTGTGCCAAAGTTTAGATGAGGACTGGAACCAGGGTCCAGCAGTGGAAGCAGAGGAGGGGAGAGATGCACTCCAGGTTTGAATTTCAGACCTCACCTTGAAGGTCCTGGTACCTACTGGAGCTGGGATGAGAGGAAAAGGAGACAAAATCACCCTTACAGTTTCCTGCTTGGGCAACTGGGAGGAGAGTGGAGCCATTACTCAGGAATTGCAGATGGGCTTAAATGATTAATTTCATTGAGAAACTTTTATCAGATATCATAAAAAGCAGATAGCAATGCTGAAAATGAGTTAGCCACCAATGAACTAACATCTCAGCTGTCTAATGTCTAGCCAAGGGCAGCGGATGTAACATCCATATCTTCAGGCTCCTCTGAAATCCACAGGTAGTGACGCTGCCGGTAAAGTTGTCACCTGGAATTAGCCCACAAAATGAACACCATGCTACATGGAGCTCAGATAAATACTCTACACTCATTTGTGCTTTATAATCTGCATACGGCTCACAGCTTGCTTATTTCCTTTTACAGCTATCTCGTGAGGTAGGTATTCTGAGTCCCACTTTATTGGTGAGGAAACTGAGGCTCAGAGAGGTTAAGGGACAGATCTAAAGTCAATTTTCTAGTGAAGGCTCAAACCTGCCCATTCCACCTGCCATTTTTGTACCCTGTACCCCAGGTGCAGGAATAGCTGTTTAGAATCAACTTTTCTGAGAAAGAGTAAGAATAAGCCAGTTTAACTGAAAATGCCCACAAAGGCCAAAGAACAGTGAGAGCGAAATTCAGAATGAAAAATTCAAGGCTGGAGAAATTCCTTCCTGGGATACAGGTGGGACCATTTGCTCTTCTGATGCCTCTGCCTTGTTTTGTCTACTCCCAGCCCCTTCCCACTGTCAGGCAACTCCAAGAAGGCCCTGGAATGGTGGAGGCAGGGAAGAGGCTGCTGGGGAGGAGGTGGGTGTCAGCCCGAGAGTGGAATTTTCTCTGGTTGTATTTCCACCTCTACCTTTTCTACTCCCTTCATCTGCTTCTCCTTTGCTGCCGACTTTAGACAGACTGGCTCAAAGGAATTGCCATTTCATAGCAGAAGTCCAAAGCCGATAGAAAATGACTCTTCCCCGGTGAGTTTCCATGGATCTAGAGAGACCAGAAAAGCGCAATTTTTGATGGAGTCTTAGCTCCCTCCTTCTCCAAGGCACTGTGGACTTGGCAAGTGTTTCATGTAGACTAAATTCAGTTGCTTTTGTGTTGTGTGTTGGGCTGGAGGGAGGCTCAGAGAAGCTGCTAGACAAACTACTACTTAAGAGCACAGAAGCTGCACTAGACTGCCTGGATTCAAATCCAGCTTTGCCGTAATCTAACTTGGGACCTTCGACAAGTTGATTAACCTCTCTGTGTCTGTCTCCTCATCTATAAAAAAGGAGGATAATAGTATTACCCATCTCATAGGGTTGTTATGGGAAGTAAATGAGTCAGCACATGCAAAACCTTTAGCACAGTGCCTGGCACAGAAAGAACACTGAAAGGATTCTCTGTTTTTATCTTCATACAGGCCCTGCCCATCCATTATGCTCCCTGCATTTTCACCATAGCAGAACTCTTCCTCTAGACTGAGCATTGCTTTTTCCTGGTATCAGATGTTAGATTGTAAATATTGCTGAGACATAAGGATTACAAACATTTAATATCAGTCATGTGTTAATATCTGTTCACTATTAGAACAGAGAGTGGAGGAAATTGGACATTTAAAGAGGTCAGAGAAGAGTGAAAGAAGAGGAGAGTGTCAAGGGGAGCTTCTGTGTGAACAGGGCAGGACCTTCTAGGCAGCCAGAACCTGCATGAAGAAGATACATAGTTCCCCCAGTCCCCTGGGTTGGGAGGAAAACATGGAATTGGTTTGGGGCACACAGAGAGGCAAAGGGAGAGACTGAAGACCCACCAAGGATTAGCCCGGGGGTCAAGTGATGAAGCTTCTGGAATGAAGCTCTGGTCTGAGCTCTGCTACACATTAATCAGCTGTTCTTGGCAAGTAACTTTATGTTTCTGGAACTTGATGGGTTCATTGTCCAGTTGGAGGTGACCCCTTTTCTACCTTCCTCACAGGGTTATTTGCACAAAGAGTTACTACAGCAAATTCTGCAGTCAATTTATTTGGAGTATTGAACAACAGATACAAATGGTTTTTTTTTAAAAAGGCTATATATGAGAAATATAAATGAGGCATGTTGGCCTCATACTGCCTTTTACTCTGTCTCTGCTCTGTGCCGTGCACTTGTGCATGCTCTCTTTCTCTCTTTCTCTCTCTCTCACTGATGATCTCTCTCACTTTCACTCTCTCTCTCTTGCTGATGCTCTCCCTCACACTATCTTTCTCATTCATTCTCTGTCTTTCTCATTCTCTGTCTCTGACCTTCTTTCCCCCTCATTTTCTTTCTCTGTCTGACACACACACACAATTACACACACATCCGTACCTTCACTTCCTTTTATTTTGCCCTCACTAAAGATACTAAGGAAGCTATAAAATGAAATGAAGCCTGGGGCAGTCTAGACAGGCAGGACCCACTGGTGAGGTCTCCAGGTAAATGATGTCCTTTGTGAATGTCGCACAGCAATCGCCAAGACAAAAAGCTTCAGAACATAAGAGTTGTAGACAAGAAGGAGAACTCATGTGTGACTCTCTAGAAGAGAAGAAAAGGGGCCTTGAGGCTGACATGGCTGCCTCTCAAGTTCTGCGTCAGGGCCAGAATCCAGTCTCTGGACACCCCATCCAGTATCTTTCACACTATACCATTTTATTCTATTTCCTTTCTGATGACTTTAGATGTGTGACTGGCTTTCATTTGGCTACAACTTTCCTTAACTTGCTAGACAAGGTCAACCTCCCCACACCCATGCAGAGTTTAAGATGGAGCCACAGACCCATGACTCAAGTTTACTTACTAGAAAATTCCTCTCTCAATTCTGGTCTGAAGGCCTTGTCCAAGGCCCTGATCTCCTTCAGTTCCTTCTCTTCCACCAACAGGCGGACGATCCTCTGACCCAGAAGCCCTCCTGCTCCTGTCACAAGGCAGCTCCAGCCCATCGTGGCCAATCCAAAGTAGCAGGAAACACTTGCCAGGAAACAGAAGATGCTGGAGAGCAGATCTGATTCTAGCGTGACCCAGAAGAGGGCTAAAAACAAGAGGTAAAATGGTTATACACTCAGCAGATGCCTTATTTTCCTCCACCCCATTTTTTACAAAAATTCCATGACCCCACAACTGCCAGGAGTAGTTGAAAGAAAAGGAGAAAGCTCTAACCGTAACTTAGATTGTTAAAAGCTGGACAGAGGAGTCCAAGTCCTTACTGCCTCATCCCTGGAGGAAGGACTGGAGCTTTATGCTCTGTGGCTTGTGTCTCAGCCCTTATTACCTTGAACTCCTGCCACATACTCATTGCTCCCTCCTCCTCCAGAATCCCTTTTCTCAGAATAATAGTGACCTTTAGGTTATATCTCTAATTCTTCCCAGGAACAGGAAGAGAAATCCAATCTTAAGGCCACAGTGTGATAAAGAGTCTTGGCTTTAGCCTTAACAGAACACTGGTCAGTTGATACCAGCTGTCTGGGATCTGCAATCTGTGAACTTAAACCAAACTGGGAGAAGTCTCCAAGTGCAATGTAAATGTTGTCCTTGTACAGTAAATCCACCTGGAGGGAGATCTATTTTAGCCCATTATCAACTCTCTGAGAGTGTCATTTGAAACGTCACTGCTGTCTTGCAAAGTTTAGAAATTTTCAATGGTGACAGCTCCAATCACTAAGTTTTATGTGAGGTGACTTTCTTTTCCACCCAATATATCCAAAACCTCAATTGCAATTTTTCCCTGGAGAGCTCTGGGTTCCTAATGGAAGAACCTCATTGAAGGAAAGGTATCTAGTGATAACGAATTAATCATATGGCCTGTAATACAAGTGTGGGGATTTGTAGTTGTATGCCCAATGACTCTAATCATAGATATTTGCACTCATCTTACATTTTTGGCTGCAAAACCATTCTTAGCAAATTGTTGAACTGAAGATGCTATGAATGCTTCTGAAACCTATGCCCCAGTCTGCCCAAACATCACTGCCATAAACTCCCCAAGACACTTTTCTCTACTTAAAAAAATAGAGATGTAGTTTTTTTAAGTAGATGTAATCTGGGCATTACAAGGCCCAGATCTTAAGCGTTCAGTGTACACTTAAGTGTTCATTGTCAATGAACCTTGACAGTTATATATGTCCATGTAAGTACCAACGAAAAGAAGACCACCATTTCCTTCACTCCAGAAAGTTTTATCTGCCTGTTCTTAGTCAATTGCCTGCCCTCCCCCGAGTTTACCTGGTAGGCAATTACTTTCTGATTTTTATTCCCACAGAGTTCCCACTTTATTCCTATATTTTCCTAATTTTTTCTTCTAAGATCTTTGTGATTCTGGATATATATTTAAATATAAAATCATTCTGAACTGAAGTTTTGTTCATGGAGTACAGAAAAATTGACCACTGATTGTCTCTATTGTTTGTTCATTTTTCTATTTCATGATTTTCATTATTTTTATTATTGGCTTAAATGTTTATTAACTTTGGGTTTATTTTACTCTTCTTTTTCAGGGTTCTTATGATAAAAGCATAGATAATTGACTTTACTTCTTTGCTCATTTCCACCATAGGCATTTAAAGTTGTAAATTTCTCTCTAAACACTATGTTAGCTGTATCCAACATTTTGATGCATTGGGTTATCATTATTCAGTTACTGACGTTTTGAATTTTTTCTTGTGATGTCTTCTTTGACCCAAGTGTTATTGAGAAGCATGTTGCATGTTTTCTAAAACTGGGGATTTTCTTATTGTTATGTATTTCTAATTAAATATTATTGTGGCCAGAGCATATACTCTGTATGATTTTGATTCTTTGATATATATTGAGATTTGTTTTATGGTCCAGCCTATGGTCTATGTTGGTGGAAATGCCATAAGCACTTCAAAAGAATGCTTTCTGAAGTTGTTGGAAGTCATACTCTACAAATGATTTAGCTTGACTCCCCATTCTGGGTCTTGCCTTTCTCCTGTGTGTAGACATTCACCTTCTACTTGGAACCTGGCTGCCAATGCTTCAAACCCACTTGCCTAGGAAAGGTTGGTCCTGTGATGCAAGGTGTAGCAGCTTGTCTTCTGAAGCTCTCAGAACTAGACACGGGCCCTGGGACTTGTGGAGCACTATCTGAAACCACCCAGGTGCATCACACACCTTTGCCTGCCATATCAGATGCTGGAGTGCACCTTACAGACCCCCATGACCTTCAGGGTGGGACCAAATGTTCCTTCAGCTGTTGAGAGTTCTGGAGGCTCTTAGAGTTCAGGCAGTGTCTCTTGGAGTCTGAGTGGAAGCAATAACTGTAAGCTTTCTTTAAACCAATAAATATTTTGCTTTCTTTAGGAAAGTGAGCAGTAGGACAAAGAGCAAGGCTGCTGGGGGCCACACTACCAACTTTCTGTTTTTAAACAGCTTTACTGAAGTATAATTGACATATTATAACATTCCCATTTTAAGTGTACAGTTCAATTATTTTTAGTAAAATTTTAGACTTGTGTAACCATCATCACAATCCTGTTTTGGAACATTTCTATCTTTCCTAAGAAATCCCTCATGCTTATCATTTGCCACCTCTTATTCCCAGCCCCCAGCTCTAGGCAGCCCTCATGACTTCCTGACTCCACAGATTTGATTTTCTGGACACCATATAACTAGAATCATGTAATATGTGGTCTTTTGCATCTGCCTTCTTTCACATAGCTTAATATACTTATGTGTTTCATCTATGTTGTAGCATGTATCAATATTTCATTCCTTTTAGGTGGCAAATTCTATTAAATTGTATGGATGGCTGCCATTAGTTTATTCATTTATCAGTTGATAGATATTTATGTGTTTCCCCCCCTTTTTTTTTTTTTTTTTTGAGATGGAGTGTCACTCTGTCACCAGGCTGGAGTGCAGTAGCATAATCCCGGCTCACTGCAACCTCCGCCTCCTGGGTTCAAGCGATTCTCCTGCCTCAGCCTCCCGAGTAGCTGGGACTACAGGTGCACGCCACCATGCCCAGCTAATTTTTGTATTTTTAGGAGAGACAAGGTCTCACCATGTTGGCCAGGATGGTCTCGATCTCTTGACCTCATGATCTGCCCACCTTGGCCTCCCAAAGTGCATTATGGATAAAGCTGCTATGAATATTCACATTCATGTATTGTGTAGACATACATTTTTATTTCTTTAGGGTTGACAGGAGTAAAACTGCTAGGTCATATGGTAAGTGCATCTTTAATGTTTTAAGGAACAGCCAAAATGTTTTTGAACATGGCTGCCTGTCCCATCAACAATGCATGAGTATTTCAATTTTCCCACATCATTGTGCTTTCACTTCCTCCAATTGTTATTGTTTTATTTTTAGTATAGCATTCTAGTGGGTAAGAAGTGGTGTCACATTGTAGTTTTGATTTGTATTTCCCTGCTGACTGATGATGCTCACCATCTTTTCTGTACTTTATTGGCCATTCCTACACCTTTTTGGTGAAATGATTATTCAAATATCTTGCTCATTTTAAAATTGGGTTATTTTTCTTTTTGTTGTTTAGTTGTGAGTGCATTTTACATTCTGGATATGAGTCCTTTATCAAATATATGATTTAAATTTTTTTCCTCCAGTCTGTGGCTTATCTTTTCATTTTCTTATTGATGTCTTTTAACATGTAAACATTTTTAGTTTTGATCATGTCTCATTTTTCGACTTTTTTCCTTCTACCAGGAAAATTTGGGCTTTTGCCTAATCCAGTGTCATGTATGTATTAATCTCTGATTTCTTCAAGAAGTGTATAGTTTAGCCCTTACATTTAGGCCTATAATCCATGTTGAGAGAATTTTTGCTTATGTGTGAGTTAATGGCCTAAATTCGTACGACCAATTGATTTTGACAAAAGCAAATTCAATGGAAAAAATGATAGTCTTTCATACATGCAATCCTGAGACAATGAAATTGTCCTCCACATGCTCAGAGAAGGTCAGCATGCTGTGTAAAGTGATACTCATCTGAGTTACCACCTATTGGCATCAGAGTTTGTAAAGAATTTCTCAATATGATGATCACGGGTTAAATAATATGCTGTATTAGGAAAACTCACAAAGATTACTGATCAGCAAAAGAATAGGCAGCATGATTTCCCCATCCTCCTATCTTATGCTGATGCATAAATTGTTAGGAAATTGCTGGGCTAACAATGTGAGTATTCATTCCAGTGTAGGAACACTAATCTCCCTTATTATAACTTTTTATGATGTAAGCACAAGGACACAGGCTTACATCCCTTATTATAACTTTTTATGATGTAAGCACAAGGACACAGGATCCTCAAGGGAGGAATACAGGCTGTTGGCGTGAAACAGTCTGGATTTAGGTGCCAGCTATTCACAAGATTGTCTGCGAAAATCAACTACCCAGCACCTAGAGTCCTTGGGACTCATGCAAAGAGTTTCCCTTTTCTTAGGGGAGAAGACACCCATTCTACAGGGAGCTATATTAGGCACAGTCCCTCATGCTGGAAAAAGGAAAATCCCTCTTCTTGGCCAGCTTATTAAAATTCTGGGTTACTTTAGGATAATTACACCCCCTGTGCTAGTCCTAGAGAGGTCAATTTGTATGTGAGAAGCATATAATAATTTTTAAAGGCACAGGACTAGATGAAATAAGCTAGGGTAATAATATTCATGGATAAAAGGAAAAGTTTCCAGACTGAATCCTGGAATAGATATATCAACATTTAGAGGTTGAAAAGAGGAGGAGGGGCCAGCTAAAGATACTGAGTAGAAGTTGGTGGCAGGAGGAAAATTAGGAGGGGATGGCATTGTAAAAGTCAACTGGAGAAAGTGTTTCAAGAGGAGCGTGGTCCACTATGATGGATGCTGCTGGTGCATCAAATACAATAGGAAGAGAATTGACCATTGGTTTTGGCAACATCCTAAGTAATTTGGTAAGAGCAATTTCCTCGAATATTTGGGTTGAAAGTTCAACTGGAAAGTACAACCCACAATTCATCTGTGCGTTGAGGAGTAGAAGGAAAAAGTGAAGAGAGTGACCACTAAAAAAAAATACCTGTTCATCAATAATTTGTGCCATGAAGATCTCAGTAGAAAGGTGTTACAGCCAGTGGAGTTGAGAGTTTGTTTTTGTTGTGTTGTCTTAAAACTGGACTACTCCTTTATTGATCCTTAGCACCGTGTACAGAGTAGATGTTGAAACATTGTTGAGTGTTTGACTAAATAAAATGTCTATGTCTCATACATCTTTTTATTACCATGAGAATTTTCATAACATCTGACATATAAAGGAACTTAATAAATGTTTATTTAAAAAATGAATGGAAAGATGAGTGAACAATCAAGGACTCTAGAATATCTTAGTCCTTTTGAAACATAGTGCTTATGAACTAATACATAAAAGGAAATAGAAGAGAACAGTGACCACAAAAATGAAAATACTGGAAAGTTTCTCATACTAATGACAGATTGGGACCATTGCCCAGGCCAAAGCTGTTTGCCAAGGAGAAGCAATTTTCTTCCCATTCAGAGGATGGATATGAATAGGTTCCCAGGTATTTGAAGTGTATTTGAAGAGCCAGTTGTCAGAAGTAAGGAAGAATGGGCCATTCCCCCCACCATGCAGGTAGAGCTGGGGCCAGAGCTTTTGGTTTATATGAGCTCAACTTTGCTGTCTTTCCCAGAAGGCCTTCGAAGTGAGGAAGGAGAAGGGTTTAGTAAAATCTCATTTCCATTTTCTACTTACTATGCTGTCTGCCAATTATCTTGGTGGGAGAGGTTACATAGATGCCATTCAACCAGGTGCTCCAGAGGCTGACAATAATGGTATGATAGGCAGCCTCTAAGGTGGCACCATTGATCTCTGCCTCCTGGTATTCATACCTTTGATTTGTTCTTTTTGCTTAGTATTACTTTGGCTATGCAGGCTCTTGTTTGATTTCATATGAATTTTAGGATTGTTTTCTCTAGTTCTGTGAACAATAATGGTGGTATTTTGATGAGAATTGCATTTAATTTGTAGATCGCTTTTTGCAGTCTACAATTTTTTCACGATGCTGATTCTACCCATTCATGAGCATGGGATGTGTTTCCATTTGTTTGAGTCATCTATGATTTCTTTCAGCAGTGTTTTGTTGTTTTCCTTGTAGAGGTCTTTCGCCTACTTGGTTAGGTATATTCCTAAGTATTTTATTATTATTATTATTATTTTGCAGCTATTGTAAAAGGGGTTGAGTTCTTGATTTGGTTCTCAGTTTGGTAGCTGTTAATATATAGCAGAGCTACTGATTTGCATACATTAATTTTGTATCCTGAAATTTTGTGCCAAATTCAGCAAATGATAAAAGGACAAGGCCTTTTATAATTTTCTTAAATTTATTTGAGATTTGTCAGTTCTAGGAGCTTTCTGGAGGAGTCTTTAGGGTTTTGTAGATATACAATCATATTGTCAGCAGACAGCAAGAGTTTGACTTCCTCTTTACCGATTTGGATGCCCTTTCTTTCTTTCTGTTGTCTGACTGCCCTTGCTAGGACTTCCAGTACTGTGTTGAATAGAAGTGGTGAGAGTAGGCATCCTTGTCTTGTTCCAGTTCTCAGAGGGAATGCTTTCAACTTTTCCCCATTCAGTATTTTGTTGGCTGTGGATTTGTCATAGATGGCTTTTATTACATTGAGGTATGTTTCCTGTATGCCAATTTTGCTGAGGGTTTTAGTCATAAGGGGATGTTGAATTTTGTCAAATGCTTTTTTTGTGTTTGTTGAAATGATCATGTGATTTTTTTGTTTTTAATTCTGTTTATGTGGTGTATCACATTTATTGACTTGTGTATGTTAAACCATCCCTGCATCCCTGGTATGAAATGCACTTGACCATGGCGGATTATCTTTTTGATATGCTGTTAGATTCAGTTAGCTAATATGTTGTGAAAGATTTTTGCATCTATGTTAATCAGGGATATTGCTCTGTAGTTTTCTTTTTTTTGTCATGTTCTTTCCTGGTTTTGGTATTAGGGTGACACTAGCTTCATAGAATGGTTTAGGGAGGATTCCCTCTTTCTCAGTCTTGTGGAATAGTGTCAATAGGATTGGTACCAATTCTTCTTTGAGTGTCTTGTAGAAATGCATTGTGAATCCATCTGGTCCTGGACATTTTTTTTGTTGATAATATTTTCATTACCTTTTCATCCTCATTGCTTGTTATTGGTCTGTTCAGGGTTTCGAATTCTTCCCGATTTAAGCTAGGATGATTGTATCTTTCCAGGAATTTATCCATCTCCTCTAGCTTTTTCAGTTTATGCACATTAAAGTGTTCATAGTAGCCTTGAATAATCTTTTGTATTTCTGTGGTGTTGGTTGGAATGTCTCCTGTTTTGTTTCTAGTTGAACTTATTTGGCTCTCTTCCTGGTTAATCTTGCTAATGGTCTATCAATTTTATTTATCTTTTTAAAGATCCACCTTTTTATTTTATTTATCATTTCTATTTTTTGTTTCAATTTTATTTAGTTCTGCTCTGTTCTTGTTTTTTTCTTTCTTCTGCTGGGTTTGGATTTGGTTTGTTCTTGTTTCTCTAGTTCTGTAGGTATGACCTTAGATTATCTATTTGTGCTCTTTCAGATTTTTGATGTAGGCATTTAAGGCTATGAACTTTCTTTTTAGCACTGCCTTTGCTGTATCCCAGAAATTTTGATATGTTATGCCATTATTATCATTTAGTTTGAAGAATTCTTTAATTTTTTTCTTGATTTCATTGTTGACCCAATGATCACTCAGGAGCAGGTTATTTAATTTCCATGTAGTTGCTTGGTTTTGAAGGTTCCTTTTGAAGTTTATTTCCAATTTTAGTCCACTGTGGTCTGAGAGTGTACTTGATATAATCTGAATTTTCTTAAATTTATTGAGATTTGTTTTGCGGCCTATCATATGGTCTGTCTTGGAGAAAGTTCCATGCACTGATGAATAGAATGTATATTCTGAAGTTGTTCGGTAGAATGCTCTGTAAATATATGTTAAGTCCATTTGTTCCAGGGTATAGTTAAATCTATAGTTTCTTTGTTGACTTTTGTTTTGATGACCTGTCTAGTTCTGTCAGTGGGGTATTGAAGTCCCCTACTATTATTGTGTTACTGTCTATCTCACTTCTTAGGTCTAGTAGTAATTGTTTTATAAATTTGGGACCTCCAGTGTTAGCTGCATTTACATTTTGGATTGTGGCATTTATCTGTTGGACAAGGCCTTTTGTCATTATACAATGTCCCTCTTTTCCTTTTTTTAATTGCTGTTGCTTTAAAGTTTGTTTTGTCTGACATAAGAATAGCTACTTTTGCTCACTTTTGGTGTCCATTTGCATGAAATGTCTTTTTCCACCCCTTTACCCTAAGTTTATATGAGTCCTTACGTGTTAGGTCAGTATCTTGAAGGCAGCAGATACTTGGCTGGTGAATTCTTATCCATTCTGCAATACTGTATCTTTTAAGTGAAACATTTAGGCCATTTATATTCAACATTAGTATTGATATTTGAGATACTGTTCCATTCATTATGCTATTTGTTGCCTGTACACCTTGAGGTTCTTTTTATTGTATTTTTGTTTTATAGGTCTTGTGAGATTTATGCTTTAGAGAGGTTCTGTTTAGATGTATTTTCAGGATTTGTCTTAAGATTTAGAGCTTCTTTTACCAGTTTTTGTAGTGGTGGCTTGGTAGTGGTGAATTCTCTCAGCATTTATTTGTCAGAAAAAGATTGTATCTTTCCTTTATTTATGAAGCTTAGTTTTGCTGGATACAAAATTCTTGGCTGATAATTGTGTCGTTTAAGGAGGCTGATGATAGGGCCCCAATCCCTTCTGCTGAGAAATCTGCTGTTAATCTGATAGGTTTTCCTTTATGGGTTTTGCCTATAAGGAAAAAGCACCTGGTGCTTTTGCCTCACAGCTCTTAAGATTCTTTCCTTCATCTTGACTTTAGATAACCTAATGACAGTGTGCCTAGGCAGTGATCTTTTTGCAATGAATTTCCCAGGTGTTCTTTGAGTTTCTTGTATTTGAATGTCTAGGTGTCTAGCAAGACCAGGAAAGTTTTCCTCGATTATTCCCCCAAATAAGTTTTCCAAGCTTTTAGATTTCTCTTCTTTTTCAGGAATGACAGTTATTCTTAGGTTTGGTCATTTAATGTAACCACCAACTTCTTGGAGCCTTTGTTCATTTTCTAAATTCTTTTTTCTTTGTCTTTATTGAATAGGGTTAATTCTAAAACCTTGTCTTTGAGCTCTGAAGTTCTTTCTTCTGCTTGTTCAATTCTATTGCTGAGACTTTCCAGTATATTTTGCATTTCTCTAAGTGTCTTTTATTTCCTGAAGTTGTGATTGTTTTTTATTTATGCTATATATTTTACTGAAGACTTTTCCCCTCATATCTTCTATCTTTTTTTATTTCCTTAAATTGGACTTCACCTTTCTCTGATGCCTCCTTGATTAGCTTAATAATCAACCTTCTGAATTCTTTTTCAGGTAAATCAGGGATTTCTTCTTGGTTCGGATCCATTGCTCATGAGCTGGTATGATTTTTTGGGGGGGTGGGTGGGTTGTTTAAAAACCTTGTTTTGTCATATTACCAGGATTGTTATTCTGGTTCCTTCTCATTTGGGTAGGCTATGTCAGAGGGAAGATCTGGGGCTCAAGGCTGCTGTTCAGATTCTCTGTCCCACAGAGTGTTCCCTTGATGTATATTCTCCCCCTTTTCCTAGGGATGTGACTTCCTGAAAGCTGAAGAATCATGAATGTTATTTCTCTTCTGGATCTAGCTACCCAGCAAGGCCACTAGGCTCTGGGCTGGTACTTGGGGTTGTTTGCACAGAATCCTGGGATGTGAACCGTCTTCAGATCTCTCAGCTGTGGATACCAGCACCTGCTCTGGTGGAGGTAGCAGGAGAGTGAAATGGACTCTGAGAGGGTTCTTAGTTTTGGTTGTTTAATGCACTGTTTTTGTGCTGGTTGACCTCTTGCCAAGAGGTAGCACTTTCAAGAGAGCACCAGCTGTGGTAGTATAGGGAGGATCAGGCAGTGGGCAGGGCCCTAGAACTCCCAAGAAAATATGCCCTTTGTCTTCAACTACCAGGGTAGGTAGGGAAGGACCATCAGGTGGGGACAGGGTTAGGCATGTTTGAGCTCAGACTCTCCTGGGCAGGCTTGTTGCAGCTGCTGGGCTGTAGGGCTGTGGTTCCCAGGTCAATGGAGTTATGTTCCAGGAGGATTATGGCTGCCTCTGCTGTGTCATGCAGGTTGTGAGAGAAGTGGGGGAAATCTAGCAATCACAGGTCTCACCCAGCTCCCACACAACCCAAAAAGCTGCTCTCACTCCCAACATGCCCCCAACCCAACATCACCGAGTTTGTTTCCAGGCAGTGTGTCAGCAGAGCTGAGTCCCTGCACCAGGCTACCAGCCTCCCAGCTGAGAAAGTAAGCCAGGTTTTCACACCTTCCTGCTTGTTGAGTCTGCACATCAGATTCACACCCTCCGTTGAGTTTGTTTGTTTGGAATTGTTACAAAAGTCAGCTGAAGATTTCCTTCTCCCTGTGATCTTTTCCCAGTTCCTCTGGCAGCCCTTCCCAAGGACCCTTTTGAGAAAAGTCAGAAATGGCTTCCCTGGGGACCCAGAGAGTCCACAGGGCTTTTTCCACTGCTTCCTCTACCCCTGTATTTTGCTCAGCTCTCTAAATTGACTCAGCTCCAGGTTAAGATCAAATCCTTCTCCCATGATCTAGACCTTCAGGTTCTCTATTGAGGGTCTGTGTTTGGGAGCATATGATTACCCTTTTCTCACTTTCACACCTTGGGCACTCAGAGTATTTGGGCTCTCTTCCGAGTTCTGCAGGAGCAATCTGCTTTCTTCAGAGAGTCTGCGGGTTCTCTCAGCTTTCCTGGTATATTCCTGCAGTAGTTCTGGAGCTGAAGTTCACGATGCAAGTTTCCACATGCTGCTCTGTCCATCCAAGTGGGAGGAGCAATTCAGTCCTACCTCCCATTGTCCATTTTCCCTCCACTCCAGACATTTATTTTAAGGAATAATTAGTTAATATCAGACCAAGAGGTCATATGGGATATCTCCTTGCACACAAAAAGCTCTACACAAGAGCTATAATATATTAATTGAGCCCTTTACTATGTATCAGGAGCTTTACTATATTACCTCATTTAATTTTTTAAATGGACTTCATTTTCTATAATAGTTTTACCTTCACAACAAAACTGAGGGAAACTGCAGAGAGTTTTCATGTACTCCCTACCCCCACACATACGTAGCCTCCCCCACCATCAACAGCCTGCACCAGAATGGTACCTTTGATACAATCTATTGACCTGCATTGACACATCTTTGTCACTCAAAGTCCACAGTTTACTCTTGGTCTTGCACATTTTGTGAATTTTGACAGATGTATAAAGACATGTAACCACCATTATAGTATCATCTGCCCTAAAAATCCTCTGTGCTCTGCCTATTCATCCTTCTGTTCACTCTAACTCCAACAGCCATTGACCTTTGTACTGTCACCAAGGTTTTTTCTTTTCCAGAATGTATATATTTGGAATAACACTGCATGTAGCCCATTCATATTGGCTTCTTGCATTTAGTATAATACATTTAAGTTTCCTCCGTGTCTTTTTATGGCTTGATAGCGTTTTTCTTTTTTTTAAGCACTGAATAATATTCCATTTTCTGGATGTACCATAGTTTATTTATCCATTCACCTACTGAAGGACAATTTGGCTGCTTCCAAGTTTTGATAATCATGAATAAAACTTCTATGAAAATCTAATCTAAAAGTAGGCTTTGGTGTGGAAATAGATTTCCAAATTATTTCTGTAAATGCCATGGAGCATGATTGCTGGATCATATGGTAAGAACATATTTAGTTTTATAAGGAACAACTGGTACCAGCCACTGCAAAAATATGCCAAACTGTAAAGACCATCAAGGTTAGGAAGGAACTGCATCAACTAATGAGCAAAGTAACGAGCTAACATCATAATGACAGGATCAAATTCACGTATAACAATACTAACCTTAAATGTAAATGGGCTAAATGCTCCAATTAAAAGGCACAGTCTGGCAAATTGGATAAAGAGTCAAGATCCATCAGTGTACTGTATTCAGGAAACCCATCTCATGTGCAGAGACACACATAGGCTCAAGATAAAGGGATGGAAGAAGATCTACTAAGCAAATGGAAAACAAAAAAAGCCAGGGGTTGCAATTCTAGTCTCTGATAAAACAGCCTTTAAAGCAACAAAGATCAGAAGAGACAAAGAAGGCCATTACATAATGGTAAAGTGATCAATTCAGCAAGAAGAGCTAACTATCCTAAATATACATGCACCCAATACAGGAGCACCCAGATTCATAAAGCAAGTCCTTAGTTACCTACAAAGAGACTTAGACTCCCACACAATAATAATGGGAGACTTTAACACCCCACTGTCAACATTAGACAGATCAATGAGACAGAAAGTTAACAAGGATATCCAGGAGTTGAACTCAGCTCTGCACATAGCAGACCCAATAGACATCTACAGAACTCTCCACCCCAAATCAACAGAATATACATTCTTTTCAGCACCACACCACACCTATTCCAAAATTGACCACATACTTGGAAGTAAAGCACTCCTCAGCAAATGTGAAAGAACAGAAATTATAACAAACTCTCTCTCAGACCACAGTGCAATCAAACTACAACTCAGGATTAAAAAACTCACTCAAAACCGCTCAACTACATGGAAACTGAACAACCTGCTCCTGAATGACTACTGGGTATATAACGAAATGAAGGCAGAAATAAAGATGTTCTTTGAAACCAATGAGAACAAAGACATGACATACCAGAATCTCTGGGACACATTCAAATCAGTGTGTAGAGGGAAATTTATGGCACTAAATGCCCACAAGAGAAAGCAAGAAAGATCTAAAATTGACACCCTAACATCACAATTAAAAGAACTAGAGAAGCAAGAGCAAACACATTCAAAAGCTAGCAGAAGGCAAGAAATAACTAAGATCAGAGCAGAACTGAAGGAGATAGAGACACAAAAAACCCTTCAAAAAATCAATGAATCCAGGAGCTGGTTTTTTGAAAAGATCAACAAAATTGATAGACCACTAGCAAAACTAATAAAGAAGAAAAGAGAGAAGAATCAAATAGAGGCAACAAAAAATGACAAAAGGGATATCACCACCAATCCCACAGAAATACAAACTACCATCAGAGAATACTATAAACACCTCTATGCAAATAAACTAGAAAATCTAGAAGAAATGGATAAATTCCTTGAGACATACACTCTCCCAAGACTAAACCAGGAAGAAGTTGAATCTCTGAATAGAACAATAACAGGCTCTGAAATTGAAGCAATAATCAATAGCTTACCAACCAAAAAAAGTCCAGGACCAGATGGATTCACAGCCGAATTCTACCAGAGGTACAAGGAGGAGCTGGTACCATTCCTTCTGAAATTATTCCAATCAATAGAAAAAGAGGGAATCCTCCCTAACTCATTTTTTGAGGCCAGCATCATCCTGATACCAAAGCTGGGCAGAGACACAACAAAAAAAAGAGAATTTTAGACCAATATCCTTGATGAACATTGATGCAAAAATCCTCAATAAAATACAGGCAAACCGAATCCAGCAACACTTCAAAAAGCTTATCCACCATGATCAAGTGGGCTTCATCCCTGGGATGCAAGGCTTGTTCAACATATGCAAATCAATGAACATAATCCAGCATATAAACAGAACCAAAGACAAAAACCACATGATTATCTCAATAGATGCAGAAAAGGCCTTTGACAAAATTCAACAGCAGTTCATGCTAAAAACTTTCAACAAATTAGGTATTGATGGGACATATCTCAAAATAATAAGAGCTATCTATGATAAACCCACAGCCAATATCATACTAAATGGACAAAAACTGGAAGCATTCCCTTTGAAAACTGGCACAAGACAAGGATGCCCTCTCTCACCACTCCTATTCAACATAGTGTTGGAATTTCTGGCCAGGGCGATCAGGCAGGAGAAGGGAATAAAGGGTATTCAATTAGGAAAAAAGGAAGTCAAATTGTCCCTGTTTGCAGATGACATGATTGTATATCTAGAAAACCCCATCGTCTCAGCCCAAAATCTCCTTAAGCTGATAAGCAACTTCAGCAAAGTCTCAGGATACAAAATCAATGTGCAAAAATCACAAGCATTCTTATACACCAATGACAGACAAGCAGAGAGCCAAATCATGAGTGAACTCCCATTCACAATTGCTTCAAAGAGAATAAAATACCTAGGAATCCAACTTACAAGGGATATGAAGGACCTCCTCAAGGAGAACTACAAACCACTGCTCAATGAAATAAAAGAGGATAAAAACAAATGGAATAACATTCCATGCTCATGGGTAGGAAGAATCAATATCGTGAAAATGGCCATGCTGCGCAAGGTAATTTATAGATTCAATGCCATCCCCATTAAGCTACCAATGACTTTCTTCACAGAATTGGAAAAAACTACTTTAAAGTTTATATGGAACCAAAAAAGAGCCCGCATTGCCAAGTCAATCCTAAGCCAGAAGAATAAAGCTGGATGCATCATGCTACCTGACTTCAAACTATACTACAAGGCTACAGTAATCAAAACAGCATGGTACTGTTACCAAAACAGAGATATAGATCAATGGAACAGAACAGAGCCCTCAGAAATAATGCTGCATATCTACAACTATCTGATCTTTGACAAACTGACAAAAAGAAGAAATTCCCTATTTAATAAATGGTGCTGGGAAAACCGGCTAGCCATGTGTAGAAAGCTGAAACTGGATCCCTTCCTTACACCTTATACAAAAATTAATTCAAGATGGATTAAAGACTTACATGTTAGACCTAAAACCATAAAAACCCTAGAAGAAAATCTAGGCAATACCATTCAGGACATAGGCATGGGCAAGGACTTCATGTCTAAAACACCAAAAGCAATGGCAACAAAAGCCAAAATTGACAAATGTGATCTAATTAAACTAAAGAGCTTCTGCACAGCAAAAGAAACCACCATCAGCGTGAACAGGCAACCTACAAAATGGGAGAAAATTTTTGCAACCTACTCATCTGACAGAGGGCTAATATCCAGAATCTACAATGAACTCAAACAAATTTACAAGAAAAAAAAAATCCCATCAAAAAGTGGGCAAAGGATATGAACAGACACTTCTCAAAAGAAGACATTTATGCAGCCAAAAAACACATGAAAAAATGCTCATCATCACTGGCCACCAGAGAAATGCAAATCAAAACCACAATGAGATACCATCTCACACCAGTTAGAATGGCGATCATTAAAAAGTCAGGAAACAACAGGTGCTGGAGAGGATGTGGAGAAATAGGAACACATTTACACTATTGGTGGGACTGTAAACTAGTTCAACCATTGTGGAAGTCGGTGTGGCAATTCCTCAGGGATCTAGAACTAGCAATACCATTTGACCCAGCTGTCCCATTACTGGGTATATACCCAAAGGATTATAAATCATGCTGCTATAAAGACACATGCACACGTATGTTTATTGTGGCACTATTCACAATAGCAAAGACTTGGAACCAACACAAATGTCCAACAATGATAGACTGGATTAAGAAAATGTGGTACATATATAACATGAAATACTATGCAGCCATAAAAAACGATGAGTTCATGTCCTTTGTAGGGACATGGATGAAACTGGAAACCATCATTCTCAGCAAACTATCACAAGGACAAAAAACCAAACACCTCATGTTCTCACTCATAGGTGAGAATTGAACAATGAGAACACATGGACACAGGAAAGGGAACATCACACACCAGGGCCTGTAGTGAGGTGGGGGGAGGCGGGAGGGATAGCATTAGGAGATATACCTAATGCTAAATGCTGAGTTAGTGGGTGCAGCACACCAACATGGCACATGTGTACATATGTAACAAACCTGCACATTGTGCACATGTACCCTAAAACTTAAAATATAATAATAATAATAATAATAATAAAAAGAAACTGCCAAACTGCCTTACAAAGTTTCTGTACCATTTTGCATCCCACTAGCAATGGATGAGCATTCTTGATGCTCCACATTCTTGCTAGCATTTGGTGTTGACAGTGTTGCGGATTTTGCCATTCTAATGGGTGTGCAGTGTTATCTCATTTTTGTTTTAGTTTGCAATTCTCTAATAACATATGGTGTTGAATATCTTTTCATATGCTTTTTTGTAATCAATATATATTCTTTTGTTAGGTGTCTGTTCAGGTGTTTTGCCATCTTAAATCAGATTGCATTCCAAATGTAAGACATTTTTAGGAGTTAAGAGATTGCTTCTGAGATTTCATATGCATCTCTTCAGTTTACTGTGGGTATTCATTTTTCCATGTTTCTGAGCAGTAGAGAACAGCCTTTTGGCATTATCTTGATAACATTCTGGCTCATTTCCCTTATAATTTTGGATCTAGCCCTCTGAGCCCAGACAAACTTAAAAAATTACACACTTGTATCCAGGAGCACAGCTATCACCAGGTAGATGTATACAGAGAACTTCTACTATATTCTCTTATAAAGTAAGCTAACATAATTATCTATATACCACATTGCTTTAATACCATATGCTCATGTGATTTGTTTCACTCTTACCCCAAACCTATCTGTAATGTCTCCCACAAGTCCTCAGCTGATGATTTCAGGGTTGAAGAGATGACCTTAAGCAGACAATTATGCCTGCTTGAAGTACCTGTAATAAAAGAAACTTTGGGAAATTTTGCAACATGATCACTAGCCAACATGAAAGCATGAAAAAAAAATGATTTACGAGACTGTGATTGGGTGTTTGGAGGGGTGGATGTTATCCTACTTATGTTTTCTATAATTTCAAGTTTTATCTTCAAGGCTTTATTTGTTTACTTAACCACAAAAAAAATTTAGTACTGAGATGTTCTTATCTTTTTCTGATGTGAGGAGAATCATGAGACTGTAGTTATAAACTTAACACAAATGGAACGAGGCTGAGAAAGTGGTATCTGACAAAGAGTTCTATGATATAGAAGTGAAATTCCAGAGAGTAAAGTTTTAGAAAGGGCGCCAAGTCCCACTGTCTCTGTGGCTGATTTCTGATGGAGGACAAGGGTATGAGTGCAGGGGAACAAGCCAGAGGAGAGCAAAGTCTGTTTAGGTTTGGTCATATGCTAGTGAGTCAGCTCTTTCATGAGTTTGCCCACGGTCTGAGGCAAACTTGGGGACCCCTGGGTAAGAGAAGATTTCTTAGACTTTAATCTCTGCCATTAGTTTAGCTCTTTAGTACTTTATTGAGAAAGCCTCCATCTATCCACTAAAACTATCCAATGTGACCAAAATAAAGGTTTCTCCTTTCTCATTTACTGTGGAAGAACTGGAGTAGTCAATATTACTTTGTTTCCAGGGTCCCTAAGTCTCTTATCTGAAAACTCTCTTTCTGCTACTTTTCTTGGAGGTCAGTGCATTGCACAGAATAACATTAGCCAATGGGTCATAAAATCCTGTAACATCCTAGGTCATGAGAATGAATATTTTAGGCTTTCTTTTGCTCCTCTGTTCTGTATTGTCTCTGGCCTTGGCAGTGTGACTCAAAGTAAGAGATATTCCCAAAGTCCATTGCAGCAGTGCAGGAGTTAGCCTACACCAAAATCACCCTTGTCCCATATTCTTTCTTGATCTCATGAAATTGTATGGTCTGAAGGTGTTACCTCCAAATTCATATGTTGAAACTTAATTGCCAATGTGATAGTATTTACAGCTGGGGTCATTAGGAAGTGATTAACATACGAGGACAAGGCCCTCATGAATGGGATTAGTGACCTTATAAAAGGGCTTGAGGGAACTAGGTGGCCCCTTCCATTCCTCTGCCATGTGAGGACACAGTATCCATCTCCTGCAGAGGATGCAGCAACAAGAAGCCATCTTGGAAGGAGACTCTGGGCTTTTACCAGACTTACCAGCCTCCAGAATGTGAGATATAAGTTTCTGTTGTTTATAAATGATCTGATCTCATATATTTTGTTATACTAGCACAAACAGACTAAATCATGAAGCTTCCATTTTTTACAAGTCACATGTTGCTATGCAAATCAGGGTGTTGAAGGTCATCTACAAGGCCCATGGTCATCTAGGTCTCCTGTCCCATAATGCAACTGTGACTTGCTGTGTCATCCAGACAGTCATCCCTAGATATGTGCTTTCTTAGTATGTCCCTAAACTTTCAGCACAAGCACTCCATCCTGGCTGCCAGATTAAAGACCTCTCCTTGACCTCAAATTATCAGCCCACCAATGCAGCAGCCAATTTGACATCTGAGTAAAAAGTTAAGGCCTAACACTGGGATCATGGTCAATTTCCCTTTTCTTTTTATCAACCCATTAACAATTACATCTAATTTAGCCTTCTGAGCCCCTTTTCAATGACCATGATTCTCCAAAGTATCCGATGCTCTTCCAAGTATTCTAGCAACATCTGCTTTTTTTCTTTTCTTCTGATTTCTCTATGCTGCACTATTTAATAGATAGTATGATTTGTGTTGGGGCATATTTTATAAGTATAGCTCTTCTGTCCACAGTGCCAACTTCCACAGTTATTTCATGGATATATATAGGATGTGCAAAATTTTATAATCCACTGGCTGTTTCAGTCTTTTCTGATTTGCCCTTTAAGATCTTTTGCTCTGAGAAGAATCAAAGGGTCTTCTTTGAGTCACACACTTTATGAACTTTTTTTTTTAAAAGGGACTGCTGATTTGAAAGTTTGGGTGTTCACTTCTCCTGAATTCTGGGTTCTGAATTGCAGTTATAGGCAAGCAGGTTGTATGACCTTACTTCATTTTCCCTTTTCTAAATATGTGGGTGGTGGACATCCTATGCATATATTTGGCTTAAGCAAATAATCCTTAAAAGTTATTACCAGGGAGACTGCTGGGGGACTGCATTCTCTTTTGGTGTTTTCCATGCTAAAGTTCCTTTGACCCAGCCCTTGGCTCTGTGGGTTGATCTGGGCAAAAGTGGACCTGTACTATGGCGTGGTTTCATGCAGGGAAGTGTCCAGTCAAGGAATGATAGAAGACTTTTCAGGTCTATTGGCTTAGGTAGTGAACCATTCTGCTGGATTCCATCCTAACTCACAGTTTTCCTCCTCTGACTGCTATAATTCTCCAGATGTGCTGATGTAGTTTGATCCAGCTTTGCCTTCCTGGATTAATTTATTTAATAAATATGTATGGGGCCCTCTATGACATTGGACATGATTATAGGCTTTTTGGAACGTAGCAGGAAGCAAGACAGTCTAAGGTCCCTATGCAGGTACAGATAAACAATAAAGTAGACAACTGATAAGTTAGTTGCAGGTTGTGGTAACAGCTAGGAGGGGAGAAACAGTGTGATGTGATGAGTGAAGCAGATTGTTTTTGGGAGAGGATGGTCAGGGATGTCTCATCTCATCAGGGCGGTGACAGTTCAGCTGAGATCTTCATGCCAACAGACAGCCAATCATGAGAAGGTGAGGAACACCATTTTATGAAAAGGGAATGATAAATGTGAAGATCCAGAGGCAAGAAAGTTTTGATTGTTTATGGAATAGAAGGGAGGCCAATCTGGCTGTGGCATTATGAGTAAAAGGGAGAGTGATGAGGAAATGCGTTGGAAGGATGAGCAGATCATGCAGTGCCCGAGAGAGCTAGAGATCAGTTTAGAGTGGAATGGGAAGGTATAGAAAGGTTTTAAATAGGTGAGACATAGGATTTGATTTTACTTTTAAAAACTCTTTCAGGCTGTTGTATGGAGAACAGTGTGGCAAGCAGCAGGAGAGATGATGGGGAAGCCGTTGCTGAAGCTATTAGTTTAGACTTAGATTTTTTTTCTCTAACCTTCTTCTTCTATTTTTTTTTTTGTTTTGTTGTTGTTGTTTGAGATGGGGTCTTGCACTGTCACCCAGAACACTGGAATGCAGTGGCATGATCCTCAACTTCCCAGACCAAGTGATTCTCCTACCTCAGCCTCCTGAGTGGCTAGAACCATAGCTGCACACCAGCACACCCGGCTAGGTTTTTAACGAATTTTTAAATTTTGCAGAGGTATCCCTTTGTTGCCCACGAAAGCCTCAAAATTCTACGCTCAATTGATCCTCCTGCCTCAGCTTCCCAGAGTACTGGGATTATAGGCGTGCGCCTTCATGCCCAGCCATCTCTAACCTTCTTGATGTCTTCAAGTGCCAGATCTTATTCAGCTGAGTATCCCTGCTCTAGAAATCTATTCTAGCTGACTACTGGTCTCAGGAGGTTTTATTCTGATAGGTCATTTATATATTTTCCAACTATCCTTTATCTATCCCTCTATCCATCCATCTATCCCAGAAATGTTCATTGAGATGTTCCTATATGCCAAGTCCAGAATCAAGCATACAGTTTCTTGTCTGGAGCCATTCATAGTCTATTTGTGGAGAAAGACATGCAAATAAAGAAATATGACCAGGTGTAATAAGGGTTGTAATATTGGAATGTGCAAAGTACAATAGGAAGGACAGAGAAAATAGCCTGGGTTAATATTCGATGATAGTTGAAAGTTGAACAATGCCTTGAAAAGTTAATAGGAATTTTCCAAACAATAAGTATAGTATATATATGAGTATATATATGAGTATATATATATACACATATGAGTATATATATATATAAGTATATATATATGAGTATATATATATGAGTATATACATATGAGTATATATATATGAGTGTGTATATATATGAGTATATATATATATATATATATATGAGTACATATGTATATATACTCATTAAGTATGAAACACTACTATTTCTTAAACTCCTACTAGGTGCTAAGCATTGTGTTCTGAACTTCAAATACATCATCTTACTCTAACTTTTTCCCAACCTACTGGCTGAGGGAGTATAATCCCCATTTTATACACCAGGACTCAGAAACACAGAGAGATCAGAAAACTTGCCCAAGTCACGTAGCTTGCCAGCAGTAGTCCTGACTGTCAAACCCATGTCTGTGTGGCTCCAAAGTCCATGTCCTTAACTATTTCCCTATTTTCTACAGATAGGATTATGTTTTTATTGGAAAAATGCCTTGTATATACAGCTCCTCAGTCCAGAGTGCAAAGTTAGATAGTCATTTCATAGAGTTGTATAGAGTATGCAAAAAATATCACCCACTAGTGGTTCCAGTCATTAATGATCTGTCCTTTTGAGATCTTTTACTTCAGAGGAAGATTTAGGCAAGAGAGCAACATATAATAGTCAGTGATACAAAGAAGGGCATGGAACATTTGGGGAACACAGGGGTTTGGAGGGCCTGAAGCACAGGGGTGGTGGTATTAGAAATGTGGGAAATATGGGCCATGAGCCTCCGGACAGAATGGGGTCCAGGAAGGACAGCATCACACACTGTGCTGTGAGTTTGTGATCCTCCTGTGGGCAACCTCAGCAGTCTGGTTATTGGCCCTTTTTTCTTACAGCCTGGAAAACTGGACCAAGTTTCGATTGATCTCAGCGACCGACCGGCAGCCTAAAAGAACAATGTGGTTACAAGCTCATTTTTGTCAAACACAAGCAACTCACCTCATCATGGGTAAGGGGTGATGAAGGGGAGCAAGTCTGACTTGATCTTTGTGCTCACTCTTATAAAATGGTTTACATACAGAATGAATAACGTAATTCTGTTTGCATTGGGTATTATTCTGTGAACCTGAGCCCAGGTCATCTCTGAACATGGCCATGTCAAAATGTCAGGGTAAACATGTAAAAACCCTATTTTAGCATTTTCTAAATCAACTCTTGTGTGCAATAGATGTCTTTGATCTTTATCTTGGTTCTGATAAGGCTCAGGGATATAGGAAGTATCTTTTCGGGAGGAATATGACACACAGATAGCAAAAGAGATGGGGTGAGTATTCCACATGACAATTGCCTTCTAAAGGAAAGTTCTGTCAAAGGAAAAGACTCTTCTTTAGAAGAAGATATTAATTAATATGTAAAATTATGACTGTAGCTCAGATTGGACATAAGGATTGAAGAGAGTAACTCCAGATAAGTAAAAGAAGGGAGAAAGAGAAGCTGGCATGATGTTATGGGGCTGGGGAGTTGTGGGCTTGAGTAGGCAATGAGAAGTCCCTGGTGATGAGAAGGCTGAAAGAATGCAATAACAGGCTGCGTAACGTTTAACTGGGAGTTCTTTCCATATTTATGATGTGTGCACCATAACTTTGGCAAAATGTATTATTCACAAAAATATACTAATGAGAGGGTCTTTTCCTAAAAGTGGAAGCATAGAAAAGAGTTGAGTTTCATGCCTGGGTTGACTGGAGTGGACAGAAACAGCAGGCATGGGATATGTCAATAGTCCGTAAATTGAACGAATTCAACAGAAGCAAGAATTCAGAGCCAGAGGTGACACTCCCCAGAGCTGTCAATGATCTTGAGGACAGCTCTGGTTTCCACTGTGCAGAGAATAGTGCTTAATCTTTGTCTTGAAAGTTGCCTGCCTGTCCTATCTTTTGGACAGCTACCACATCAGGAAAGGGTCTGCTAGAGGGAAGGACTGCTGCTCCTATTCTTTAGCCATCCTGCTTTAAGTTCCAAATCAGGGAAAACATGTTAACTTACCTGTAAGGGCCATGGAAGTGTGGAACTCATTTGTTAAAATGTTCAAAACTTCCTTAACACCATGTTCACCCTGCTCCCGAGGCAGACAGACAGAGACACAAAGAGACATAAAGGAACATTCTGACCATCCACTAGTATAAATTCTAGATGTAGTCAGAGCTATAATGGGAAAGATGGGGATTATCTGTGAAGTGAGAATTACCTTGGGAATAAAGGAAAGCACAGAGACAAAGATAGGGGATGAAAGCTATTGAACATTTGCAATGGGCTTCAGAAGAAGCATGGAGATGCAGCTTAGGTGTAACTATCCTTTAGGAATCATTTTGAAAATGTCTAAGCTTGGAAAATGAACCACAGGAAAGCACAGAAATGAATGAGAAGCTCTGTATCTTCTTGCTGGTTTGCTTTGCCACTCTCACCTTGCAGGCAAGGCCCCATAGGATTGGTCTCCCAAGAAAAATGCACTTAGCTCCAAGGGCCAGAGCCTTCAGCACATCATTGCCAGTTCGGACCCCGCCATCCAGGTAGACTTCAATTTTCCCCTTTACAGCAGCCACCACTTCTGTCAAAGCATCAATCTGAAAAGGAGATACACATGGGCTGGAGGGCTTTCTATTTTGACTCTCAGACTTGGTCTTCCTGGCATATGACCAGGAAAACCAAGCTGAGGAGACGCCCTTGACAATTTCTTCCCCTCCCATGCTTGAGGCTGCTAGCGCTGATCAACTGCAGCGGCAGTCACATTCCTGAGGCCCTCCTGCCTTGACTTTCTGCTTTGACTCCAGTCTAGCTTCTCTCTGACTCACTTAACTGTCTTACAAGTTGGAAGAACTGCTTGGTTATTCTTTCCATCCTAAAAGGGACATTTTCCACTTATAATGTTTACTTCAACTTTCTTCTTTTCAAACATTTTGACTTTTGATTTTCTTCTACTCTCTCTGTTTCTAGGGTGGCACAACTAGAAAGGCTCTCCACTGCAAAGGCACTAAGTCTTTTTGGCAAGACAAGTACACTTGACCATGGCCTGCATGTCTGGATTGCATCCTGACTTGGGAAACTGGGTTGAACATTATTTCTCATGCACCACTTGACCAACTTGTCCCTGACTTCCTCATGGCGTATCTGAGAAAATGAGATAGGACTAAAGTACAACACGGTAAAACTAAAGTTTGAGCCTTTGACAGACAAAATAAAAACATCTTATCATCTTGGCCTGATTTTCCTAAGGAACTTTGTCTCTTATGTTGCCTCTTCAATTCCAGGGAACAGGCAAATAGGCCTTGAGCACACAAGGTGCCCCAGGCCGATCTATGCTTCTAGGCACCTACAAGTCTGTAAAGAGGAGTGACAAACAGGCCCCTTATGGATCAAGGCGGAAGATCCTTGGGGAGGGAGTTCTGGAACACCCTCAGGGTTTTTGTCTGTGCTTCTCTGAGGGATGGCCTGAGAAGAAGAGTCAAAACTGGGCCCTATGAGGCCTTCTGCTGCCAAAGGAATCCATTAGCATTCTACCTGAATGGGATACTTTGGCTGAGACTGAACAGTATAAGAAAATAGTGAGGAAATAATTTTCTACTTTAACTTATAGGTGGGGGCGGGGAATTGAATATGTTTTGAACTTACATGTAATAACTAGAGAGAATTCACATTCTAATAAGAGGCATTTTTTATAGTCCCAGCATGGTATTATTTGGAGTATTTTTATAATGTTGTGAAAGAGGTGGGAACTTCTATGAGGAACTTTGAAATCACCTGATTTCAAACTATAGTATCTGAGTTTTTGGCACTCCCCTAGAGTCTGTGCCTGAGGTCAGTGTCCCACTCCCTGCAGGTTGTTGCCAGTGCTATAAAAGGTAAGGATTTTGAGAAAAGTTCCCACCTCTATGAGGTTTCATATCTAACATTGTTCTTGTACTTCCTCCTAGGACCAGGGGAAAGGATAAGTCAGCTGTTGTCCCCAGAAGACTCTAATGAATGTCCTGTTCTGTCCTATTAAAAATTAACTCTAAAGCCTCACCCTAAGGTAAAATTCACTCCCTATTTTATTTCACAATTATTATCAACTCCACTGCATAGTATGGCTCACTAGAAGAGTTTGTACAAATGTATTTCTCTTTCACAACATCATAAAAATATTCCAGCTGGGCACAGTGGCTCATGCCTATAATTCCAGCACTTTGGGAGGCTGAGGCGGGTGAACCACCTGAGGTGAGGAGTTCGAGACCAGCCTGGCCAACATGGTGAAATCCCATCTCTACTAAAAATGCAAATAACCAGGCGTGGTGGCCAGTGCCTGTAATCCCAGCTACTTGGGAGGCTAAGGCAGGAGAATTGCTTGAACCTGGGAGGTGGAGGTTGTAGTGAGCTGAGACTGCGCCATTGCCCTCCAGCGTGGGTGACAAGAGTGAAACTACAAATAAAAAAAAATAAATCCAAATAATACCATGCTGGGACTATAAAAATGTCTTTTATTTGGACATGAATTCTCTCTCGTTACTAATAGTCACCAAAACAGCATGGAACTGGTATAAAAATAGGCACATGGACCAATGGAACAGAATAGAGAACCCAGAAATAAATCCAAATACTTACAGCCAACTGATCTTTGGTGAAGCAAACAAAAACATAAAGTAGGGAAAGGATACTATATTTAACAATGCTGCTGGGATAATTGGCTAGCCACATGTAGGACAATGAAACTGGATCATCATCTCTCACTTTATATAAAAATCAACTCAAGATGGATCAAGGACTTAATTCTAAGACCTGAAACTATAAAAATTCTAGAATATAACATAGGAAAAACCCTTCCAGATATTGGCTTAGGCAAGGATTTTATGACCACGAACCCAAAAGCAAATACAGTAAAAACAAAGATAAATAGCTGGCACTTAATTAAACTAAGGAGCTTTTGTATGGCAGAGGAACAGTCTGCAGAGTAAACAGACAACCCACAGAGTAGAAGAAAACCTTCAAAATCTATACATCTGACAAAAGACTAACAACCAGAATCTACGAGGAACTCAAACAAATTAACAAGAAAAAAAAAAAAAAATCTCATCAAAAAGTGAGCTAAGGACACGAATAGATAATTCTCAAAATAAAATATACAAATAGCCAACAAACATATGAAAAAGTGCTCAACATCACTAATGATTAGGGAAATGCAAATCAAAATTACAATGCAATACTTCCTTACTGCTACAAGAATGGCCATAATCAAAAAATAATAGATGTTCATGTGGATGCAGTGAACAGGGAACACTTCTACACTGCTGGTGGGAATGTGAGCTAGTACAACTATTATGGAAAACAGTGTGGAGATTCCTTATAGAACTAAAAGTAGAACTACCATTTGATCCAGCAATCCCACTACCAGGTATCTACCCAGGGGAAAAGAAGTCATTATATGAAAATGATACTTGCACGCATGTTTATAGCAGCAGAATTAACAATTGCAAAAATGTGGAACCCACCCAAATGCCCATCAATCAATGAGTGGATAAAGAAACTGTGGTGTATATATATATATATATATATATATATATATGATGAAATACTACTCAGCCATAAGAAGGAATGAATTAATGGCATTCGCAGCAACCTGGATGAGATTGGAGAGTGTTATTCTAAGTGAAGTAATTCAGGAATGGAAAACCAAACATCATATATTCTCACTCATAAGTGGGAGCTAAGCTATGAGGATGCAAAGGCATAAGAGTGACACCATGTACTTTGGGGACTAAGGGAGAAAGGGTGTGAAGGGGGTGGGAATAAAAGACTACAAATAGGGTGCAGTGTATACTGCTCAGGTGATGGTTGCACCAAAATCTCACAAATCACCACTAAAGAACTTACTCATGTAGCAGACACCACCTGTTCCTTAATAACCTGTGGAAATAATTTTTTTAAAAAAACTCAGATAAATGATGTTTGAACACAATGTTTTAAAAAAACAAATGGCAAACTCTGACCTGTGAGCTGGAAGTTTGTTTTTATAAATAAATAGACCTGGGGCTAGGATTAAGGTGAGGCAAGTGAGGCAGGGTTATACAAGCACAGGGTCAGGTTTCACCTGAAGCAAAACCCTCACGAGACTCACACTGATATTTGTGCTGTCTCCAAGTGAACTTGAGTTTGGATGTGAAGCCAAATGGCTTGGGAGAATATCAAGTTGATTAGCACAATAAGATAGGAGAAATTCTCCTCTCCCTGGCCCCTACCTTAGCCAATACTCATTCTCTAGTGGGGAAGCACAATGGGAGAATTAGTCTTCCTCTTTGTCTACTCATTACTCAGTTATTCCAAAAGAACAAGACCAGCTAAGTTGATTAATGAGAGCCTGACACCTATTGTATGATGTATTTTATTAGCTTTCTTTCAAAAGCCTATATTCTACTGTTTGCTGCTTGTTGGTAATGGGCTCTTCATTGCCTTCTGCTCCTATTTAGGCATAGTTGGGATGACCCAGGGCATGCTATGCTCTTTTGCTTTCTCTGTTTTGCTAAATACTGGATGGCTTGTAGGCATCCTGGCAGGGGTTGGGTGAGAGAGCTCAGTGTGTGCTCAGCCCAACCACTTTCTCCTAAGTTTGCAGGTCAATAGGTGAGATGAAAAGCAGGAGACCCAACCACTTCGGTTCAGCTCTTACCAGAGAGACACAGTGAAGGGTGACCCCTGCTCTCCACGTGGGCTTGCATTCCACTGCCTTTAGCAGTTAGAGCTGGTGCAGAGGAGGAGGTGAGTGGCTGGCTCTTAGGCTTCCAAGCATCACGTGTCTTGGAATGTACCAACCAGCTAGTGCAAATTTCTAATTCCTGGAATTTATCTTAAAGAAGTACTTGAGATTGTGCTATGGATTCAGTCACTGATGTGTTGTTTAAAATAGGGAAAGATTAGAGGCAATACAGATGTTCTACAATGGAGGTTGGTTATATAGTTGTCTGTTCATACTACATACCATTAAAAATAAGAGGAGCATATATACTGAAACAAAAAGTTGCTCTTAATATAATGCTAAGTAAAAGAAAAAAACACAATATTATTTATACTTTTCTTAAACACCAAAAATTGTATTTGCATTAAGAAGATGTTAACAGTGACCAAAATGTTGACGTTAGTGATAGTGATAAAATTAGTGTTAATTTTTATCTTTTGCTTATGTATGTTTTCTAATTTATCTGCAGTGAACATGTTTTATTTATATAAGTGTCAATGAAACTGAAGAGGAAAAAACCTCATTTCTCTTTCTTAAAACAAGTCAAGCAGCAATAGAACATTTGAAAAAATATAACTCAATGAAAACAAATCAACAACAAATTCCCATGTAAAGATTCTTTCCCTGCCTTACTTTCTCTCACTTTCTTGCCCTCAAACTTCATTTATAATGAACATAAATTTATGAGTTAAGGGAAAAAATTATGGACTTTTATAGATTTTAGCAAAAGACACATCAGGGTGTTTTTAGAGTTTTGCCATGAAACGTGTTTACTTTAGAACATCTGTCTAATCAAATTCAACATTAATTATTTATTATCTTAAGTGAACTAAAGATAAGTTATTTAACATCACTAAACTACAGTATCCCCATTTGCAAATCAGGGATAATAACACCCATCTTGCAGCATTGGCATGAGACTTAGAGATGCTATATGTAAAGGTTGAAAAAACAGCTTAGCACACAGTAGGCTACTAATAATAATTAACAGTCCTTAAAATTCACAGATACATACCAACACATGTGGTACAGAGGAGTGAAATATGCTCAGATTTCACAGAGTCCCTTGATGTGGACACACTCACACATACACACACAGCACTCACAAACACACCCTTCTCTGAAGTAATCCTACTTACTGAAGCAAGAACCTCATCAAGCTGCCTCCCACCATGGTTGGAAACAATGATACCCTGGACATTGTGCTTCACAGCTAACTCTGCATCCTCTTTTGTCAAAATCCCTTTCAGGATGATGGGCAATCGAGTTATGCTCTGAAACCAGGAGAGATCATTCCAGCAGAGAGAAGTGCTGATAGGAGTCATCTGGAAATAAGGTATTGCATTTCCCTATAGGAAATAAAAAGGGAACTTAGTCCTGAGCTCTCACAAGGCTACTTGATGCATTCCAAAGATGAGACACATTTAGAGAGCTGCCATTTATAAACTGGAAGGAGGAAGAACAGGGCTGGGCATGGTGGCTCATGCCTGTAATCCCAGCACTTTGTGGGGCTGAGGCGGAAGGATCTTTTGAGCCTAGTAGTTTGAGACAAGCATGGGCAACACACAGAGACCCTGCTGCTGCTCCTCTAAAAAAATAAATCGTGGTGCATGCCTGTAGTCCCAGCTACTCGGGAGGCTGAAGTGGGAGGATCGCTTGGGCTCAGGAGGTCTAGACTGCAGTGAGTAGTGATGGCGCCACCACATACTAGCCTGGCTGACAGAGTGAGACCTTGTCTCAAAAACAAACAAACAAACAAACAACAAAGAAAACAAAAAGAAACAGGAGCAACAAAACCCAACAACGTTTCTAGCTCCTTTGTCTAACAAACTTTGTATAAAAGAATTTCTACTTCAATTGCTTATCATTGACCATGAATCATGTTGTTGTCAGTAATTGTGCTAGGATCTGGGGACACAAAGACAAATAAGACAAAGTTTCTACTTTAAAAAATTCAGAGTTTAGTATATAAGATGGATAAGCAAAAGCATTTATTGGTCAATGTGATATGTTACGGTTGAGGCATACCCAGGATAAGAACTAAGCAATACTAAATCAGTTATTACCCAATATTTACTCTTGGCTCACCATGTACATCAAACATTTATAAATCTCAATGTGCTTCTGGAATTTGAATAAGGATTTTGGAGCACCTCAAGGCCAATCTGTGATTAATGAGAACTGTTGAGTTACTTGGCTTGGTGTCACAGTTGCCCACTGGTTGAAAAGGCTGGCTTTAGTATCTCTACTATAGCCAGGGATTCCCACTTTATCATGGCTGTCTCTCTCTGAGGCACTTCTTGCCATTTAATTGTAGGATTTTAATGGGGAAGGTCCCCTTTGTAGTCACCTAGTTCAGAGATTACAAACAAATGTGCTATAGCATCCTGGTGCTCCACAAATGAGCTCTATGTGTGCAGAGATATTGATTCCTCAGTTTCAAGGCAGTAAGGTAGAACCTGGCCTGTCTAGACTGTCTGGCCAGTCACTTTGGTCATGAACATCCCCTTTGGAGAGTCAGTTTGTCTATGTATGCCATCCAAAATTAGCATTTTCTGAGTGTGTCATAAAGTAGAAAATGTTACATGAACTTTTTTAGTTTACTCTCCAGTTCGTGCAAAAATATTTTCCGTGGCTTTCCTATTTCTCAGCATCCAGCTCTGGCCAGAACACTTCTGGTGACAAGTTGGGCAGCTCCAAGGGTGAGAACATTTGGTCTTATGTTGATTGTGCTTGTCTGGAAACTCTAGGGAGCAGGAACCATATCTGCTTTTTGAAACTGCTTTATCCGCAGTGTCTGGCACAGAGCAGGTGTTCGATAAATGCCTGTGGAAAGAAAGAATGGAGGAAAGGAGAAAAGAGGGAAGGAAATTTGCCTCTTGTAATGCCTGTCCATCGAATTTGGTATCTTTCTTACCTTTTTAGGTGATTGAAGATCTGTTAGTGTTAAGTTCCTCCTCAACTGGTTTCGAATGTCATGTCGCCTGTTGCCACATACAGGTGTATCCAAAGTTATTACCAAAGCTTTGAAACCTAGGGATTCTACCCTCTGGATCAACTGTTTGTTCAGCTGCAGGTCTGGATGCACATAGAGTTGGAACCATCGGAGGCCTTCGGGAGCTGCAATGACAATGTCTTCAAGGCTACAGCTGGCAAATGTGCTGGTGATGTAGCAGATACCAGCCGCTTGGGCAGCTGTAAAGCAAAGGACATGACTCAGGCTGGAGGGCAGAGGCCTCTGGACTGGGCTGAAAACCTTGGGAGTCTGTGTAGCCTCTGGCCATCTTGCCCCATGAATGCAGATAAAGCTTAATTTCATTCTGCTTCCTTGTAAGAAAGGGATGGAAGGCAATTTGATCAGGCTGAGAGACCTAAACCTTTTTGGGTTCTCCTCTGTATAACCTGTCTTACAAACCCTCTACTCGATAACAAAATATTTCCAGCTAAAGATGCCATGCAATCTCCAGAATCATGTTGGTTGTGTTATAGCCTTCAGACAGGCAACTGGGCCTCTTATGAACTCCTTAATGAAGCAGAAGAGAATTAGAGAGGGCAGAGGATGAGGGAATGTAGTTCCAGTGGAGAATCCTGAACTTCATGGTGGAAAAAGCATAGCATATGAAATTAGAAGAATGCTAGTTCTACCCCTTCTTTGCTGTGTGGCATTGAGTCTCTCATTTTCTTTATCTGTAAAATAGGGAAAATAATAATACATGTCTTTAGGATTGTTGGGAGACTGAATAAGATACTAGCTATGGCAGCATTCTTTACATTGCAAAGTGGTGTACTGCATAGATACCAGTGCTAATGAAGTTGATGGTGATGACGTTCATATGGCTGCTGCTGACTGGCAGATTTCCCATTTCCTACTTTATTCATTTCAATGAAATCTCCAACAGGTTAATGTCACTGTCCCACTATAACTCATGGGCAGAGAATTTGGGCTAATCAAAAATTAACATTTTCAATTTTTCATGTCAACAGGAGATACCCCATTCTTTCATCCTACCCCCAAACAACACATTCAACCATGATGACTTAGTAAACTAGTCACATTCATATAGGATATTAATATCTCAACCTAGCTAGACCTGGTCCCTAGACCCCATCAAGATGGATGTCACATTCAGCTCTAGAATCCTTGAATCCATAGCTTCCTTCATCATGGAGTCAAAGGAAAAGACCTCAGGGAAGCGCTGAGAAATTCACAAAAACAGATGTGACTTAGAGTGAAGATTACGAAAGAGTCCCAAGAGCATTTTCAGCCCCATCTCTCCTTTTCTATTTATTATTATTATTATTATTATTGGCGGTGGTGGTGGTGGTGGTGGTGGTGGAGAATGTGGGATGAGAATTAGGTTGACTGGGAAGGAGATGTAACCCAACAATAAAATCTTTGTCAAACAAGATGACAAGGTCAATTGAAGAGAAGGAAAATGGAATAGTTGGGCAACAGCAGCTTCCAGGGCCTTGTGTTAGGACCTAATGTCGTGATTCTCTCCTCATCCTAAATTCAGAGTCTGCCATTCAGCCCTAGCCCTGGCCCATCAGGGGCCAAAGAGGGCCCTAGCCTTGGGGCTGCGTTAAGCATCCCTTTCCCTACAGATGGTGTGAGCCAGAAGGGCCAGCACCCCTGTTCTGAGGGATGACTTGGTTAAATTTTAGCACCTTCTTATTCATCTGTAAACCCCCTTGCACTCTAACTATTCTTTATTATGGAAAATGAATGTTTTCTCAATCTTAGGTTACACAAACGTAGCTTTAAGCATTCCCTTTCCTGCCTTCCTTAGTGTTAACCAGATTATGTTCCTAAGGCCCTTCTAGAGAGAATCTTGGAGCCTCTGCCACTGCTCTGAGGGACACCTCCTCCCGGAAAGGAGCCTCGAGGTGGGGATGGTTCATACCTCTTGCTGTGCTCATTTCCCCATCAGGCCAGACAAGGCAGTGGAACCCTGTGGGTGCGATACAAATAGGGGCACTGATCTCCTCCCCTTGGATTGTGGTTCTGGTGTCCACCTCAGACACATCTCTCAGGTACCGCGGACGGAGGCGAATTCTGTGCCGGACAACAAAGAGATCTTCTGTTGGTGAGATGATTCTGCAGCAGGGAGGCGTTGTCTGGGGTGGACCCCCCTGATTCCTGATACAAGTCTAAACCAGACAGGGTCCTGTGGAACCTTGGTGGGTTCAGTTGGCTGAGAGCTGAGTAACCTATGTTGATCCAGGAGGAGACTTATCTCCAGAAAGCCGCTTCCAACACCTCATTCCCCATTTCCCAACCTTCTCTGAACCACTTTGTGCATACCAAGTCCACACTATTCCTGCTTTGCTCTGTCAGAAGTCTGTGTCTTTGAGTCATGCCTCCCAGACTACACTGCAGCACTTGGATGGTTTGGTTCATCATAACAAGGACTAAAAAGAAAAGAATAGGTAGGAAGAGGTTCCAGTCTCTTTTCCTCTCAGGTTAGGCCCAAGTCTCCAGAAAGTAAGAAAAGGTCACTGAATGAGAACAAATCCCAGGGAGTGATTGAGGCTTTTGTGATAGAGGCTAGTTAGTTTGAAGATTTGACTTAAACACTGCTTTAGAAGAAGGTAGGAGAATTTACAAATAATAAATATGCAAAACACACTTTTTAAATAAATGCATACTTAGCCTCAGGTGTCTAAGATTTTCATTGTTTATACAATATTATTATTTTTGCACATAAACTTAGAAAAATTTTCTGAAAATTCTTAATTGTGCAAATTTGAGTAAGGTAGCCTCAGTCACTTCATCTGAAATAGGAATAATAATCCAAATTTCCTAATAGTTTTGTGAAGACAGACTGAAATAAATGATGTAAGGTGCCTCGTATAGTGCTAACTAAGTATGAAAATACAGAATATAGGGCTCCCTTTTATACCATTTTTCAGTTTTCTCCTGACCTCTGTATCACAGGAATCAGCAAGCTTTTTCTATAAAGGGCCAGAGAGTAAATATTTGAGGCTTTGTGGGCCATGTAATCTTTGTCACAGTTATTCAACACTGCTCTTGAAGTGCAAAAGCAGCCATAAACAATAGTAAATGGCTGAGCATGGTTGTGTTAAAATAAAACTTTATTTATGGACACCAAAATTTGAACTTCATATAATTTTTATGTATTACAAATTATTCTTCTTTTGACTCCCCACCCTCAGCCATTCAAAAATGAAAAACCATCGTTAGCTCATGGACCATACAAAAATAAGTGGCGGGTCAGCCTCTGCCTGTGGACTGCTGTTGGTTGACCGATGCTCCATCTCCTACTTTTTCAGACCAACTCTTCTCCCCTGACTCAATCTCTTATTATCTTTGAGACTCCTTGGATCTCCATATTTTCTCCAAACCTGAGTGTTCTCTCCTGTCTTCCATTTTCTTCTCCAAGCCAGAGTTTAGGAACTCAGGAGATCTAGGCCTCCCAGCAGGCCCATCCTCCCTGCCTAGGGAACTGGTCATTCTGGGACTCTTGTTCTATCTTGTCAGGTTGCAAAGTTGCTGAGATGAAGGAGAATGACTCACTTATGCTGGCTATAACAGAAATTCCCTCTTTTTCCATCTTCCCATCAGCCCTCCCTCCCCTGCCCTAACAAACCAAAACAACAACAAAATCATCCACATTATTAGGTCTTGAGTGATCTGTGTTTTTTGGAGGCAGAAACCAGGACTACTACTGTCCAAGTTGCTCTCCACCAGTGCACCTTAACCTAACAATAGACAGGCTACAGAAGACCACACCTTTTAAATGCTGCAATGTTGTCATCCCGCGTGATGCTGTCATCTGCTCCACCTTCAATAAAATCCCGAGTTGACTTAGACAGCTGCTCTCGCGCATGGGCCTGAAAGTCTGTCAAACACACCAAGGACATTTCTGGACCTTCCAAGGAGAAAACAAAACCAAACCAAACCCAGTGAGAACACTTCAGATGCAGAAAAGGAAATGAAGGGGAAGCTGCAGTATGAAATTGTTTGGATTCAACATTGGTCTCCCTGTATTCTTATCTTAACAGAGTTATTGCTAAAGCCAGTGATCCCTAAGCCAGAAGTCAGAGAGTAATCGTCCACCCTTCCATTCTCCCATTCCCATTCCCATTCCCAAATCCTGATTATTTGGCCTTCTGAGTATTTCTTATATCTTCTCCTCCACTGTACACACACCACCTTAGACCTAGTTGAGGCCCCACCACTTCTTAAAAGCTTATTACAAAAAATTCTTATTTTTGTATCTTGCCTTCACATTCACTCCACATCTTGTCTTCCATCAGCTTCCTGGGATCTTCCTAAAGTTCAAGGCTGATCATGCCTGCCTCTTGTCTTTCAATGTGCCCACGTCATGGCATTCCCAGCTTTCTAGGCCCTGGATTTTCACTGCCTCACCAGCTTCATTTCTTGGTGAACTGATGCTACTATCTGGTAGTTCCCAGGAATCTCAATGTTTGAATTGTCTGGAGCTGTGGATTACAGAGTGGGGAAAGGACAAGACAAAGTTTACTTTGTAATTCTTGGCTGGGTCGCTGAACATGTTGCTTAATATTATTAGGAGGCTCAAGGGTCACCATCTACCTTTTTCCTATTTTTGCTAATTTGGGTACCTGAGAAACAATGTATGTTGGCTCCATTTATTCCCATCTTCAATTTGAGCCCTATAAACGCAGAGCTTGGTACTTTTGATACAACACCCTGAAAGAGGAAAGAGGACAGGGCTTGGGGGTAATGAATAAATCTCTCCAGTAGAAACAGGGCAGTAGAAACAGCAGCAGAGACGCTGAAGACACTAGTTGCTTTCAGTTACAGCATGTAGAGCTCCTGCATGAGAGGATTCCAGAAGGAAAAACAGAGAAACCTGAAGTTTCTAAGCTCCAGCCAACTCCCAGGCAGTTGGCAGCCATGTGAAAATTAACCAAAGGTTTTGGGTGGAAACTGAATGGCTTTTAAGTCATTATCTAAAGGAAGAAGATAGGCCGCAGTAACTAGGGCTTCAACCAGGAATGGGTTAGTTCCTCTAATGGACAAAGGGGACACAGAGGCCAGATGAGATGTGAGGTGCTGGGAATCTTGGCTGGAGCAGGGATGGGGCAGAACTTGCTTGAGGATACCTCAAGTCAAGCCAGGATCTGTCAAGCCAGATTCTGTTGAAGTCAAACAGAGAAGTAGCCTTAGCACGTACTTAAGGGCCAAGCAGGAAGAAATTATATGACAGACAGGAAACAGAGCCCCCAGGAAGTGCATTGGGCTCTAGATGGAGGCTACGAGGAGTAATTTGGAGCCCAGCCATAGCACCTTTTATAGAAAAAGTAGTCTGCCAGTGAGTGAGGAGAGAACATTGAGGTATGGAGTTGAGTCTGACAAATTACTACAACCATATCTAATTTAGCTCATTCTTACTCCACCCTTCAAAGGGTTAATAAACCTTAGTCAAATGAATTAATCATTGCAAGTACCAATTATATCACAGTTGCTTATTTACAACTCTGTGTGCATAAAAGCATAAAAGAACTAATATATGATGCCTGGGAATTTTATTCTTCCAGAGATCTGCTTGCAATATTGGACCTTGGTTGGTGTCTGGGAACTTGGATTTCAACAGGGTTCCCAGTGTTCCCTGATAAGAGTGCCTCCCTGTGTATAAACTGTTTGTATAAACAATGTGGTTTATGATGAACATTTGCTTCTCCTCTGGGACTCTAGAATTTTGGTATGGGCTAGGCAGAGGGTGACCATATGACCAGCCTCCAACATGAAACTCTGGGCATTGAATCTCTACTGACCTGCTCAGGTAGGTAACATTTTACATGTGTCATCACATCTTGTTGCTGGGGGAATTAACTGCATCCCGCATGAGTCCACTGGCAGAGGACTCATGGAAGCTTACCCCTGGTTTCCTCCAGATTTTGCTGCCAGAGCCATTTTTCCCTTTGCTAAGTTTGCTTTGCATCCTTTCAGTAATAAAGCATAGCCTCGACTATTTGTTCCTCCTAATGAAGAACCAAACCTGGGACCCCCAACACACTTTGTATTCCCAGGCATTAGGATAGTACATGGCACTGAGTTGCTGCTTACAAATGTTCATTACTTGAATTTAACATTCCCCTGCCTGTCATTTATCTTCATTATTGGATGAGAATTCTCCACCAGGTTTCAACTCCTGATATCTCAATAAATACACATATCCTATACATTACACACTCATAGAAAGGCTGTTCTACACAATTCTAGCATATAAATGCCACAAACATTATGTCTAATCCAGAAGAAATGGCTCATGCTCACTCAGAGTCATGTGTCTAGAATAGTGTCAGTTATGTGATTTGAAAGCTGCTTGGACATAAAGAATCAACCCTAGCATCTTATATATAACAAACACTATTTTATCTCATTTCGATACCTCTTCTAATTTTTCCTTAGACTCTTTTCTATCTACAGCTTTTTCTCAGTGTCCCTGTGAAGAAGACAGAGAAGGTATTAGTCTTCCTACTTTGCATTTAAAGAGACTGAGGCCTCAGAAATAAAATAACTTGTGAAAGATCAGTGATATGGTTTGGCTGTTTCCCCACCCAAATATCTTCTTGAATTATAGCTCCTATAATCCCCACATGTCATGGGAGGGGCCTGGTGGGAGGTAATTGAATCATGGGGCTGGATTTTCCAGTGCTGTTCTTGTGAGAGTGAATGAGTCTCATGAGATCTGATGGGTTTATTTATTTATTTATTTTGAGATGGAGTCTCACTCTGTCGCCCAGGCTGGAGTGCAGTTGGTTCTGGACTCATGTGTTCTGGTAGCTTCTAAAGATAGACATTCTCTATTTTCAATTTAACGTAAAGAACAAAATAGTTGGTTCTCATAAATTGCTTGCTATATTTAAGAGAATTTTCTAGGTTTAAAAATACAATTATGCATTTTTTTCTTTTTATAATGTATGTAAAGCTTAGCATGATCTCAGCTCACTGTAACTTCTGTCTCCCCAGTTCAAGCAATTCTTCTGCCTCAGCCTCCTGAGTAGCTGGAATTACAGGCATGTGCCACCACACCCAGCTCATTTTTGTATTTTTAGTAGAAACGGGGTTTCACCATGTTGGCCAGGCTGGTCTCAAACTCCTGACCTCAGGTGATCCACCCACCTTGGCCTCCCAAAGTGCTGGGATTACAGCCATGAGCCACCATGCCTGGCCGAGCTGATGGTTTTATAAAGGGCAGTTCCCTGCATGTGCTCTCTTACCTGCTGCCATTTAAAACATGCCTTTGCTCCTCCTTCACCTTTCACCATGATTGTGAGGCCTCCCCAACCATGTGGAACTGGAAGTCCATTAAGCCTGTTTTTCTTTATAAATTATCTAGTCTGAAGTATTTCTTTTACAGTATGAAAATGGACTAATACAGTAAATTGGTACCTGGTAGTGGGACGCTGCTATAAAGATACCCGAAAATGTGGAAGTGACTTTGGAACTGAATAATAGGCAGAGGTTGGAACAGTTTGGAGGGCTTAGAAGAAGACAGGAAGATGTGGGAAAGTTTGGAACTTCCTAGAGACATCTTGAATGGCTTTGACTAAAATTTTGATAGTAATATGGACAATGAAGTCCAGGCTGAGGTGGTCTCAGATGGAGATGAGGAACTTGTTGGCAACTAGAATGAAGGTGACTCTTGCTATGTTTTAGTAAGGAGACTGGCAGTATTTTGCCCCTCCCTTAGAGATCTGTGGAACTTTGAACTTGAGAAAGATGATTTAGAGTATCTGGCAGAAGAAATTTCTAAGCAGCAAAGCATTCAAGAGGTGACTTGGGGGCTGTTAACAGCATTCAGTTTTATGTATTCAAAAATATATGGTTTAAAATTGAAACTTATTTTTAAAAGGGGAGCAGAGCATAATAAAAGTCTGGAAAATTTGCAGCCTGATGATGTGATGATAGAAAAGAAAAACCAATTTTCTGAGGAGAAATTCAAGCTGGCTGCAGAAATTTGCATATGTAACGAGGAGCCAAATGTTAATTGCCAAGACAATGGGGAAAATGATTCCAGGGCATATCAGACATCTTCTCTGCAGACCCTCCCATCATAGGACTGTAGGCCTAAGATGCAGGGCACCAGGGCCTTGCTGCTTTGTGCAGTCTCAGGACTGGTTGCCCTGTGTTCCAGCCATGGCTAAAAGGGGCCAAAGTACAGCTCAGATTGTAGCTTCAGAGGGTGCAAGCCTCAAAGCTTGGCAGCTTCCACATGGTGTTGGGCATGTGGATGTGCAGAAGATAAGAACTGAGATTTGGGAAGTTCTGCCTAGATTTCAGAGGATGTATAGAAACACTTGGATGTCCAGGCAGAAATCTGCTTAAAGGGGCAGAGCCCTAATGGAGAACCTCTGCTAGGACAGTGCAGCAGGAAAATGTAGGGTTGGAGCCTTCACACAGAGTCCCCACTGGGGCACTGCCTAGTGGAGCTGTGAGAAGAGGGCCATCATCCTCCAGACTCCAGAATGGTAGATCCACTGACAGCTTGCACTGTGCACGTGGAAAAGCCACAGACACTCAACATTAGCCTGTGGAAGCAGCCAGAAGAGAGGCTGTACCCTGAAAAGCCACAGAGGCAGAGCTGCCCAAGACCATGGGAACCCACCTCTTGCATCAGTGTGACCTGGATGTGAGATATGGAGTCAAAAAGATCATTTTGGAGCTTTAAGATTTGACTGCTCTGCTGGATTTTAGACTTGCATGGGGCCGTAGCACCTTTGATTTGTCTAATTTCTCCCATTTGGAATGGCGGTATTTACCCAATGCCTGTATCCCCATTGTATCTAGGAAGTAACTAACTTGCTTTTGATTTTACAGGCTCATAGGTAGAAGGGACTTGCCTTGTCTCAGATGAGACTTTGGACTGTGAATTTTTGAGTTAATGCTGAAATTAGTTATGACTTTGAGGAACTGTTGGGAAGGCATGATTGGTTTTGAAATGTGAGGACATGAGATTTGTGAGGGGCCAGGAGTGGAGTGATATGGTTTGGCTGTGTCCCCAACCAAACCTCATCTTGAATTTTAGCTCCCATAATCCCCACATGTCATAGGAGGGTCCTGGTGGGAGGTAATTGAATCATGGGGGAGCGGGTTTCACCATGCTGTTCTCATGATAGTGAAAAAGTCTCATGAGATCCGATGGTCTTATAAAGGGCAGTTCCCCTGCACACACTCTCTTGCCTGCCACCATGTAAGACTTGCCTTTGCTCCTCCTTTGCCTTCTGCCATAATTGTGAGGCCCCTTCAGCTATGTGGAACTGGGAGTCCATTAAACCTTTTTTTCTTTATAAGTTACCCAGTCTCAGGTATTTCTTCATAGCACTATGAAAATGGACTAATACAATCAGGTAGTAAGTTATTATGAGAGATGGTTCTGAACTCATGTGTCCTGGTAGCTTCTAAAGATAGACATTCTCATTTTCAATTTCAGGTAAAGAACACAATAGTTGGTTCTCATAAATGACTTGCCATATTGAACTCGAGATAATTTTGTAGGTTGAAAAATACAATTATATATTTTTAATATAATATATGTAAATCTTAGTAGTCTATTATTTTGGTTAGAGGTTTAATATAAGGTTTATAATTAAAGAAAAGGATACCTTCCTTGTTCAAAGCTTTTCCTAAATTTGGAAGTGAAGAACTTAGCACAATATATTTGTATATACTTTCTTTCAATTTGATCCCTACCAGCCTTGAAGCCACCAGAAATTAAAGGGAAGATTCAAGTAATCTAATGGTTTTCTTGTATTCCCACTTTATTTTGTCTTCTTGTATTCCCATTTTATTTTGTCTCCATTTCAATGTTTTTTCTTTTTTCCTTTTTTATTCCTACTGCCCAAGAAGAAGAGACAGAGGAGAAAAGAATAAAATAGCAAATTGACCAATTGCCAGCTATTGTTCTAGAAATTTTAGCTCATTTTAGCTCCTTGAACCTCTTTAGGCTTTTTGTCTGATAAAACAGTGAGGTAAAATTAGCAGACCAGTGACAAAGAGGAGGAAATCTGAGGGCAAGGACATTCAGGAGTACCTGTTGCTAACAATCTGAAGTTCAAACTCTCCTGACTGAGGGAAGGAGGAAGGAAGTAGAGAAGCTGGCAGGCTTTTCAAGGAAGACGTGGTTTTCTTTAATATTGCAATCTGATTTAACACCAGACAGATAAAAAGTTGTCTTCCTTTGAAGATTTTGTATGATTCATATGATTCATGTTGGTGTTGCTTTAGGAACTCAGGGTTATCACAGCTTATATTTGTATGGAAACCCCCTACACAGTCTGTGGGAAATCTCAGCGTGAAAATTGCAGGGTAGGCTGTGGAGATACAACGGGGGAGAAAAGTCAGCCTCTGATGACTCACTTTAAGGTACACTTGCTTGGTGCTATAGGATGGTGTCCTTCCAGAACCTCTGGCCTAGTTCTTTAGGAACTTATGCCAAGTTTCCCAATGGAATGTCAGATAATATCAAGGCTACATTTTACGGGCCTAGTTTGAGAGATTAGACTGTTCAAAGTTGGCTGAAAATGCTGTAATCAGTCTTCCCCTCAAGGATAGTGGATACAAAGGGTATAGCCATCACCATGGCATTGTCAACAACAGCACTGTCAGGGGAGAGGCTGAAGCTAGAGGAGACCCTGAGAATGAAAGAGGTGATGGGAGAGGAGAAGGGTCCCAGAGCTGATGGAGACTAGGAGAGCCATGTGCAGATGGCAGTGTTGGGTTCAGGGAAGACATGAATCAATGGCACTGGAAAATGCTCCTGTGACTGAGGCAGATGAGCCCCCAGCATGGGGAAGAGAGGGCAGGGGGAAGAATTTGGATGCCCAGGAACAGCAGGTCAGCCCTCAGAGTAAAAAGGGAACTGAGTGTTTCTAACATTGCAGTGATCTGAGGAATCAAGGATGGCATTTGTATGGGAGTGAGGGGAAAAGAAGCCAGTCCAGTTCAGATCTGGCAAGGATTAATTCCTGGTGCCTGTCAGCCCAGAATCAGCTCTGGCTTCTTCCCTGAGCTCTCACACATTGTGAATCAAGGATGCAGGAGCCTTCTGAACCATAATGGCCCTTTTTTTGTTTGTTTTATTCTGATTTATATAATAATCTCTCCTTTTTAGGCTGCCACTCCTCAACCACTCTCATTAGCCTTTTTTTGTTTCTACTAATGAAAATTCCCTTCTCAACCTGTAAGCATGTTCTACCATGAGGAGTATGATGCTTGAGTTCTTCAGAGTGGCTTCTTTAGTCATGATAGGGAGTGACTCATATCTTTGCTTTACTCTAGGAGCTTTGTGTGTCACGGATTGAAAGAGTTTTTGAGATTTGCCGTGGTGGGGCATGTTTATGTTAAGGACATGCTCACTCTGAAGTTATTGTGACCTAATTAGGCAATTACCTACCATTGTCCTGCCTCCCACACATCCTGCCTATTGAGGATTGGAAGACTATGAGAATAACTTGCTTGATGGAGCCAAGAAGGACCCTAGAGAGACAGAGAGATGTGCACAAGTTTGGCAGCACAGCTAATAAATGAACTCAGGTCTTCTGTCTCTGCATTTAGGGTTCTTTCTGAAATACGATATGACTCTTGAAATTGCTTCTGGATAGCCTGGCAATATAACTTAGAATTAGCTTCTCCTTACATGAGAATTAGCTTCTCAGCACAGACCCAAGATTTCTAGAGACTCAACTCATCTACACTAGATTTTATCATTCCACCTTCACCTCTACTCCTTCTGACCCTGCTTAGCCATGCCAGTAAAAGGAGCTCCACTTGAAGTTGGAATACGGAATAAACTTTTGCTTCATCCAGTCAGTGGAGTGGTGTGTGTGGCAGCCTGAGAGGCAGGCTGCTTCAAGAGAGATAGCTACTAACACTTATTTGAACAGTGGCAGGCTACATGTCTTCGCTCCAAGTCTCAGTTTCCTCATTTGAGAAAATATACATTTTTGTGTATTTCAGCTTAATCCATGATAGATTTGAAGCCACCTGAAATTAAAAGCTGAGCTGAGGTCCTTCAAGTACTCATATTCTGTGCTTTCTTTGCCCATAAACACAGGGAGCTGTTTAGATGAGGTCATATGAACATTCTAGTTCAGCATTTACTTCATGGCAATAAAGTATAGAACAGGGAACCAGCACAATATTTAGACATATTTGCCAACAACAAACAGCTGGGTGCTCAAGCCTGCCTTTGCTCCTCCTCCCCAGCCTGGAGGTCTTTCTTTTCAAGAACTTTTCTGGTCCCGTGGCACCACCTTATGGTTTCAGTGGATAACTACTTGACCAGTCTTGTCACTATTCCCTTTTACAAGAGGTACGGCCTGTCACACCAGCTGTTTTTCCTGTTCTCAGACCAGGTAATTGAAATCCGTTTTACTACACAGATGTGCCTCTTCCTCCTTTCTCGATTTCTCCAAACTATTGAGTGCCTTTCTCAGGGAAATCTTTCTCACGCCTTCTTCTCTTTTCCTAATCTCTCCCATCTCATTTCCTTTTTCATTTGCAAACCAAAAATAATTGTGCTATGTAGTCCCTTATGTCAAGAAGAACAAAGTGAAACAATTTTGAAGTCGCATTAGACCTAGCAAAGAACTTCAAAAACCTTTGAAAATACCCTCAAAGGCATCTTAACATTTCTTACTTACATTTCCACTGAATTATCTCTTCCTCTAATTAAGCCTACTTTTCTTCATCAGTTGCATATACAAGAAATTTTTAAAAATGATTTATTACACAGTTTTCTTAGTTTTCAGTTTTGGTTAATGACCAGCAATACAATAACATTGCTTTACAGTAATTTGCATTGCAAATATGCCAGATCTTCTGCTATTTTGTGTATCAAGTGGGTATTTTCAGTCACCTGGGAATCCAACCGCTATTTTAATAGCATTCTTTTGTGGGAAAATCTGTTCTGAGTTTCAAACAAATGCCCTCCAAGTAGAGTTTTGGAACCCAGCCATATTGTAAACTGTGTGCTGTCCATAGAGCGTTGAACATAGTTTAGGGCATACTGGGAGACATTGATCCAAATGTTTATATAGTGTTTTGAAAGATAAGGACTTTCTTATTCTTTCAAACAGTGGAATAATTTGATTATGCAAAGAGCCCTGGAGGCAGCATGATGGTTCCTTAATATGAATAATAATAACGACAATAATATTGCAACCATTTTTCAAGTACTCCATGATGTACCATGCACTGTGTAAATTGCTTTACATGCATGACTGTTTTAATCCTTGTGGAAATGTTCAACACAAATATTATCATCCCCATTTCACGGGTGAGAAACCTGAAGTTCAAGAGGTTAAAATACTTTGTTCAATATTACATATCTAGTAATGTGTCACGATTCCAGTGGCCTGGCTCTTAAGCACTATAGAAAGAAGAAAATGGGCACAGCCAAGTGTGGTTTATGGAATGACAGAGTTGGCACGGACCTTAGAGGATTAAAATGTCATGGACATATGCAACTTTGCTTTCTTCCCTCAAAAAATCATAACTCAATCAGAAAGTTAAAAAAAATCTTAATTATTCAGCCAATCACTAAAAAATAACTTCTTATGTTTAAATCTGTCTTAACAGTCTACAGAGCACTCTTCTATACGTTATTCCATTTGGTGCTTACAACAATCCAGTGGGCAATCAGAGAGTGTATGTATGAGCCCCATGTTATAGATAAAAACATTAAAGCTCGGATAATTCACGTGAGTATCCAAGCTAATGCAACAGAAATGGCAAAGCCTGACCTGGAATCCTTCTGACTTGTTTCCAATGTCTTTGAGCCAGTATGGAGTGTTACTGGTATGGGGGAGACATTTAAGTCTCTGTTCTGAATGGTCAGAGAGTTGCATAAAATGAGCTTGGTCAATTCCCACAAAATCCAGGCCATTGGGAAAGGAGTTCTATGTGACACTGTGAGATCACTGCACCTGCCTCTTCATCTGCTCAACAAGGATAGAATGTGCAAAACAGACATCAGAATTCACACAAAGCTCCAAAACAGGCTCTGACGTCTACTCTGTCCACTAGTGACTTCAGGTCTTGCAGGTGTACCTATATCTCACAGTGGCAATCACTGGGTTGTAGCAGGAGAGAGAGGAGAAAAGGCAGAGCAGTTGGGGATGGAAGAGCCCAGCTATGGAGTGCAGTTTTTTCTCTCTTTGCCTTCCTCCTGGCTTCTCTGTCTACGGCAACTACCCAGACTGTGTTTCTGAAGGCCATTGCTTTCCACCGATCAACTGTGCCCAAGGAACTAATGACTGAGGGAGTCAGTGGAGTAGAGAAGACAGACTATATTATAAGCTTTGGCACTTGGCAAACATAGGCTGAAATCTCAGCTCTACTACTGGCTCACCACGGTTCTGTGCAAAATTTATTTGTTAAAGGAGAATATTAACATCCATCCCATAGGGCTGCCATGAGGACTAAGCAGTATGGCCCCTTTGAAATTTCTAGAACAGTGCCTTGTATAGACTAGATTGTTAATAAAGGCAGCTCCATGTTCATTATTCCTCCTGTTGATGACATGTGTGATTTCATCTGAGGCTCTGGAAGTGGAAAGCTGCTTCAGGATTTGAGTATTTCTGTCATAGTATAATTTAAACCCTCTGTCAGATTTACTCATTAGTTTATCCAAGAAGGTTTATTGACACACACTCTCAGCCAGGGTGGCGGAGGCATATACTGCTCCCCACATGCTTAACATTTCGCTGTTGCTTAAATACAGGCATGGCTCTGTGACTAGTTCTTCTGGCCAATGGCCTGGGAGTGGGAATAGCAGGTGTGAATTCTAGGCCAAGGATTGAAGAGCTGGTATGTGACCCTCCAGCTTTGTTTCCTCCTCTACAGCGATCCTCCATCCTCAAGAAGGCAAAGCTGTAAGAGAAAGGCCACTTGGATTCCCAAAACGCCATTTGGAAAAGGGTAGCCCTGGAGATCAGCTGATATTGTGTAAGGAAGAAATAAATATTTATGTGTTATCTCACTAAGTTGTTAAGGTTTATTCTTTACTATAACATAGCCTGATTTAACATAATATATCAAAGTATTATGCTAAACACTAGAGATATGGGGGGGGACCTTTATCACATCAGTTTCTGCTCTCAAGAAGCTTACAGTCGAAGAAGACAGACTTTCATAGCTCATCATTTGATAGCTGATACGATTTAGAGTACAACAGGAGTCCCTTTGAGGGGAGAGTTACCTGGGAATTTGGCAATATTCCCATTACCTCTCAAATGATATACCACAAGTGATGTTCCACTCAATCTATTCTAGACAAGCTCCAATTCTCATCTATCTTTAAATTAGGTTATTACTGTCTATCTCATAGGGATCTTGTGAGAATTGAAGGATCTTGTAAAATGCAGAATATAGTAGTAGTTAAGAATAAAAGTTTGCGGATTTTGCTTCCTGCTAATGGACGCTTTATTCTGTTCCATTGATCTGTTATCTATCTTTATACCAGTACCTCCCTGTCTTCATTAGCGTTCTTGGCAGTTCTCCGCAGGTTGATCTGTAGATTCAACTTAACACAATCAGAGGCTCTTCATTAGTGGGACTTTGTAACCCATTTGTTCCAAATAAGCTTATTGCTCAAAGGAACTACATTGTTTGAGACACATTAACTTCTTTACTTTTTTAGGAGCATAGCCATGTCACTGTTTTCTTTTGCTTGTGGCCGGGAAGCAGTGGTCAGAATACTAAATATATCCCTGAAGGCAATAGCAATACCTTTTAGGTTTTCAGAACGCTGTCAAGTGAAAACATTTTAACCCATTTTTCCTCCTATGGACACCCACGAATATTCCACCATACAATTCTAAGACTCAACTTCCTAGACTTAACCTTCTCTGTCTGTATCCTTTTTGAAACCAAATCTTCCTTTGCCCATGCCCTCTGAGTTCCCTAACACCTGTCTCCCTAGGACCATCTTTGCCAAGGTCCTTGCCTTGCAAACTCATAGTTGGCTTCCACGATATCTTCCATTCCCATCCTATCTGGCACTTCATCACCCTTCTCAGTTCCAAGCACACAGAACACACTCAATGACAAACCTTATTCTAATGTCTTCCAGTCCTCAGGGAAAGAAGTGTTTAGACGCAGCCACTCAAAGCCTGGCTCACTGCCGGAGGTGTTAGGAAACACACCACATCACTACCCACAGTTCAGGCTAAAGAAGAGGCTGAAGTCTCAAAGTTAATCTTTTAATGAAAACATCCAGCTTAGCAGTAAATAAGCAACTAGGCCAGAGCAAGGTTGACTTTGAAAGAATTTTGCTGACTTTGCAAATTTACTTCAAAATTAAGTGAAGTTTATTACAAAATTAAACTTCAAAGTGAAGTTGTAATTTCCTACCTGAAATCACCCATTCCCTACCTCTAAATTCAAACTTGATGTTGTCCTCTGCTCATCACAGATTGTTAGAGGTAGGGAGTGGATGATTTCAGGTAGGAAATTACAAAAGTCCCCGGGTTGGAGGAGGGGCTTTTTGTGGTGATGGGGTTGGGGTGGGAGAAGAGCAAGCACAGCCTGGGAGCCCATGGGCAGGACAGCAGTGGGGACCCAGGCCAGGACGGTCCGAGCTTTGGGGATTTTGGAGGGTGCATAGTGTAGAGCCCTCCCTGCCCACAGAACTGTTCTGGGGAAGTAATTATGTCTAGATTAATATGGGAGTCAGGGAGAACCAGTGAAATTTTTGAGTGGAAAATTATTCAGGAATGTAGAAGAAATGCTAGGAAAAGCAAACTTAAAAGTACATGGAAAAATAGAATTAATTTCTCCAGAAGAGTTCTGTAGGGGTCCCAGAAAGGTCACTAATTTGTCCAGGTCTGTTCGTCTCCACTCCTCCCCCAGCTCTTGCCACTGCTCCTTAGTATTGCCACAGCTCACGTGTGTGATGCGCTTACGACGTGCCAGACACACTACACGCATTACTTCATTTGATCTTCACGGAAGGTCAATCTTTTCAAGATTGTCTCTTTTTCAGAAGAGAAAATGAGATTAACGAACATGCCCAAAGCCTTTCAGCAGTAAAGAGCAGAATTGGGATTTGAACCTAGCCTGTAGCCAACACACGGAGCAGAGGAGGCCGAAATCCTGAGCTGTACCGATGACCATAGCAGTGGGGTTTGCCTTTCCTTTAGAACCTGTAGTTAGAGAGCAAAATGATGAATTTACCACTGACTTGTCATACCATCTCCACTCAAGGCTCATTGGCTATTTATTTGGAGGGTAATCCCTACCTGCTATCTAGCCACTAGAGGACAGTATTACCTCAAAAATGCTTTCAAAAGTAGCCAAAATCTGGGTTCTGGAAATTTCTTTTCCATAGCAATTTTCACAATCTCCATAATCAGCCTCTAGGCCATGTCCTCGGTCAGCTCTCACAACACCTGGCCTGCTCACAGTCCCCTGATCCAGACCCTCCCTTGCTGTTTTCCAGACTCCGACTCTGTCTCTCCCTTCCAGAAGGAAGCCTGGTGATGAGCACACACTGGAACATGGTGCTCAAGCTCCAAACTGCAGCCACTCACTCACTAACATCCACATGTTACTTAAATTCTCTGTGCCTCAGTTTCCTCATAATACCTCCCACACTGTAATGAGAAGTAAGTGAGTTAATACTTAAAAGATGCTGGCAGTAGATAGAAAGAACAGTAGAGCTTCTCATGAGAGATTCTCAAGTTTGAAATAATGACCTTCTTGGAGACCTTTTAAATCTGATGATTGCACTGAGTTAAAGAACATCATCTCTACAAGGTAACACACTCTAATATCAGCCTCTAATGTTTGCACCTAAGTGAACTAATCTCAAATAGGGGATATAGGGCCACAGGCAGAGCTATTTGAGGCAGCATTTTTGCAGCACCTCTTGAATTCCAGAGAATGGGTCCATGGATAAGACAGACCAGCTTTGGACCCACCAGCAGGCTTGGAGAATGTTTCAGGATGAGGTTATGAAAAGATATTGGTTTTATTCAGGTGGTCATAGGGTACCCATTGAGCAATATGCCTGCTTATTTTGGATGAAGAGAAATGTCGGGTCATTCTTGAGCTGTCATGACCTAGTCTCTTAGAAAGCAAATGTAGTTTCACAGTAGAATAGAATGCCAAAATTCTTCTTAATGGAGGGGATTAAAAACATGCTAAGTCCTCCTGATCACTGTGGTCCTGTCCTAATCCAGCCATCTATTTTTCCTGAGGTAATTCTGGAAGTCAGGATGAGCCCAGGACTTTGCAGTCTGTGCTCAAGCCCATCAGGGTTAAAGATGAACACTTTGGTGCTGTGGTCAGGTTAATATTAGGTTGGTGCAAAAGTAACCGTGGTTTTGCTATTGAAAGTAATTAATGCAAACTTGGGTCATTGCAAACTGAAGCCAAACCAGTCATAGATGGCTAAGTCAAACTAAAGACAGTTTGCGTATTTCTGCAGCCACCAAGCCCCTTATAGGCTGTGAACCTCTTTGTAATGGCTACCCGGTGGATGGGGGCAGCTCTGCAGAGTCAGTTACTGGAAGAGATGGGAAGAAAACCTGAAAGAGAGCCTGCTGAAGACCTTAGTCCAAGGCCAATGACTTCTGTCATAGGGCTGCATTGTTTGTGTTCGCTTTATAGGGTCTAAAGTAGGAAGGAAGTGTGTCCCTCTAGCTGCTGAGCTTGCTACATAGATCAGATCTGACTGGAGGAAGCGGGGTTTCTGGATGTGAAGATGAGTTAGGTAGCTAGAGCTGGGATTGTACACCTTCCCAAGATCATGGAGAAAGTCAGTTGCTGGGCACAGGAAAAACAATCAGGATTTCAGAATCTGCTGGGTATCCGGGGTTGAGGACATGGGTGCCTATGTGTGAAATGCTGTGGGATCCACTGTCAACAGCCTGTTGATGTGAGAGTCCCTGGCATCTTGGAGACAGTGTGTATTCTTCAAGGCATTTATGTTGATCCAGGATCAAACACAACTTACTGTGAGTTAGGTGGCTTCAGCAGGAGAGAAAGTTTCTTCTACTCAGAAAGCAACAATGTGCTCCCTAAAGTCACCTAATATTGTAACATCCTCTGTGCTCAGACACTCAGCACCCTGTGCCGAGCAATGATAAGGCATGTAAACGGCCTAGCATTGCCCTTAGTACCAATAAATGCTCAAGAAATGGTTGCATTATTTTCAATAATAGTAATTAATAACACTTACAGAGCATTTACTATGTGCCAAGCAGTGTATTAAGGGTTTAGCAGTTCTTCACTCATTAGGTGGGGATCATTTTTATCTCTGTTTTACAGATATGGAGGTGGAGGCCAGGCATTCCGGAATTCAAAGCCAGGCATTCTGGCCCCAGAGTCCACATTTAACTATTGTGCTTTTAATTAATACTGCAAAGAGTTGCCAATAGGAGACCAGAGGAGGGCAAGATGGCTTCTGGCTAGGGTGACCAGGGAACACTGCCAGAATGACAGATATTTCAGCTGGCCCTTTCACATAAATTGAACTATATTTTCTTCTACTAGCCCTAGTCCTTGGGTCTGAAACTGAGCCCACAGGTCCTGCTGTTACATGAACTGGGGTATGGGTATATAGCCAAGGCCTCAGGCCTGCTGAACCAAGAGTTTATTCAGCAGGGAGTGGGAAGCCAGTAGTTAAGCTGGTAAGGAACTCTTCAAGACTCTCTGAGTCTTCAAGAAAGTTCTAACAGCCCACTGGGGGACTTTTGCCTCTGCCTACATCAAAACACATTTTTTAAAAAGCTTCTGCTTTGTACTTGCTGTTCCTTCATTCTGGAACATACTAATCATTCCTCATCCTTAGGACTCAGTTGATGTGTTTCTCCATCCATGAAACCTTCCTCAGTGCCACTGGGCAGAGCTGGCTGTGTGTGTGTGTGTGTGTGTGTGTGTGTGTGTGAGAGAGAGAGAGAGAGAGAGAGAGAGAGAGGGAGAAACTTGTCACACGGTATTGCGGCTTGTCATTACAGTGTGGCTTTTTCAGGACTTTGAGTTCCTTGAGGCCAGGAGCCATGTTGTATTCATTCTTGAATCCCACTGCCCGGCCCAGAGCCTGGTACATAGTAGGTGCATGATGATTGTTTATTGTGGAATTAGAGAACAGATTTTAAAACTTGAATTCTCAAAGAAGGAGGGGCAGGATGCAGTCAGCATTACTCATTCCCATCTCTGCCCAGTCTCACCCTGCTCTCTCTGCTTTCTACCATGGTCTCCTCTGGAAGGGTATGGCCAACTTAATGCAAAGGTCAGGGCATCTTTGGTTCTTGGACTGATGTTTACATTTTTGAACTCTCAAGGACGTTGACATATCCAGCAGCTGAACTCCAAGTGAGCACACCAGCTTATGTTGGTACAATCAGCTTCACTGGGGGTAGCTTTATTATATTATAAAAGTCTAGTGAGACCCTCAGTCCCTTCCTCATATGGGCACCACTGACTCCCATTTAGAGCCTAATATGGTTTAGCTGTGTCCTCACCCAAATCTCAACTTGAATTGTATCTCCCAGAATTCCCAACAACCCAAGGTTGCATTAATTACTTTTAATGGCAAAACCACTGTTACTTTTGCACCAACCTAATATTAACCTATTGTGGGAGGGACCCATGGGGAGGTAATTGAATCATGGGGCCAGTCTTTCCTGTGCTATTCTCATGATAGTCAATAAGTCTCATGAGATCTGATGGATTTATCAGAGTTTCTGCTTTTGCTTCTTCCTCATTTTCTCTTGCTGCCCGCATGTAAGAAGAAGTGCCTTTTGCCTCCCGCCATGATCCTGAGGACTCCCCAGCCATGTGGAACTGTAAGTCCAATTAAACCTCTTTTCTTCCCAGTCTCGGATATGACTTTATCAACAGCATGAAAATAGACTAATACAATAAATAGGTGCCAGTAGAGTGGAGCATTATTGAAAAGATACCCAAACATCTGGAAGCGACTTTGGAACTGGGTAACAGGCAGAGATTGGAACAGTTTGGAGGGCTCAGAAGAAGACAGGAAAATGTGGGAACTTCCTAGAGACTTGTTGAATAGCTTTACCCAAAATGCTGATAGCAATATGGACAATAAGGTCCAGGCTGAGGTGGTCTCAGGTGGAGATGAGGAACTTGTTGGGAACTCAAGTAAAGGTGACTGTTGTTATGTTTTAACAGAGAGACGAGTGGCATTTTGCCCCTGCCCTAGAGATTTGTGGAACTTTGAAATTGAGAGAGATGATTTAGGGTATCTTGTGGAAGAAATTTCTAAGCAGCAAAGCGTTCAAAAGGTGACTTGGGTATTGTTAAAAACATTTCATTTTTAAATGGAAACAGAGCATAAACGTTCAGAAAACTTGCAGCCTGATAATGCAGGAGAAAAAAGAATTTTTTTTTTGAGGAGAAATTCAAGCCCGCTGCAGAAATTTGCATAAGTATCAAGGAGCCTAATGTTAATCCCCAAGACCACAGGAAAATGTCTCCAGGCCGTCAGAGACCTTCACGGCAGCCTCTCCCATCAGAGGCCCGAAAGCCCAGGAGGAAAAAGTGGTTGCATGAGTGGGGTCCAGGGTCCCCATGCTGTGTGCAGCCTGCGGACTTGGTGACCTGTGTCACAGCTGCTCCAGCTGTGGCTGAAAGAGGCCAAAGTACAGCTCAGGCTGTGGCTTCAGAAGATGGAAGAAAGCCCCAAGCCTTGGCAGCCTGCGGGTGCACGGAAGTCAAGAATTGAGGTCTGGAAACCTCCACGTAGATATCAGATGTATAGAAATGCCTGGATGCCCAGGCAAATGTTTGCTGCAGGGGTAGCATTTAAGGCTTGAAGCATAAAAGAAAGAAATAGAAGAGAAGGCAGGAGTGGAAACAGAACATAGTTATGATCTTCCAGTAGCTGAAATCATCTTAGGTTTCATTTTTTTAAATTAGAATATAATTCACACACTGTAAAACACATCCATTTTAAGTGTACAGCTCTTCAAGTTTCTGCAAGACAGGCATCAAGTTACCACCACATTCAAGATAATTGAACATTTTCATCATTACAGAACGTTTCCTTGTCTTTTCCCAGTCAATGCTGTTTCACCCACAGAGGTAGTCACTGTTCTGACTTTTTGCATCATCACATAGAATTTCAAATTGTTGCTCTGGAATTTCAAATTATTGGAATCAATTAAATGTTTATTTATGACTCTTTTTGTTCAACATGCTCTTTTGAGTCAACTGTGTTTTGCTTGCATGAGTATTTCACTGTTTTTTTCCATTGCTCAGCATTGTTCTATTGTATGAATTTAATCCACATTTGTTTTATCCATTCACCTGTTGGTGGGCATTCTAATGGTTTCCAGTTTGGGGGGCTATTATGAATAAAACCACTGTGAATATTCTTACACAATTTTTTGTGACTATATTTTATTTCTCCGAGATAAATGCTTCATAGTAAAGTTGATGAGTAACAAGGCAGGTGTATTTTTAACTATAAGAAAAAGTAGTCCCATTTTACATTTCTACCTTTAAAGTATACAAGTTCTAGTTATTTTACTTCACTTAGGCTTCATTCTAATAGCGCATAGTCACTAATTAGAGAGAACATATAACCATAATACTGGTTTCTACAAACCTGTTTCACAGGGTCTTCTGCTTCTCAGGAGATGCTTCACCCTTGAATGATCCTGATAGAAGAAGGGTTTTCCACTCACTGGGACCTTCAGTCCAGCATGCACATTTGGGAAGATTGTTCAAAGAGCAATGAGCGAGGAAGGCAGAACAGCTCAGCCCACTATGCAGGGTCAAAACCAACAAGAAATTTGATGCAGATGATAGAGCCACATCACCATCGTATCCAGGAATGGCTTTGTAACAACTCACTATTCCACCCCTGAAAGTAATCAGAGAATTTATTTACAATCTGTTAGCTAATTGTTCCCATACTGAGCACAGATCTTAACTAAATGACCTTAACTAAGTGACATTTAAATTTCTGCTCTCTGATATGAAAGTTACCATGCTCATATTTGGGTAGTAGGGTTTAATTTAATTTGCCTAAGATTGCAGCTGATTTCTGAGATCCCAAAAACAAATTTGATGCACATATCACAAGATATTATGTAAATGCTGAGAAGACAGGGACTTTCCAGGCAGAAGAGGGATGATGCACATCAGCTGTACAGCATCCAGCAAGTTGCATCCCTGCCGCTGGCGTCAGGGGACTCAAAGCCAAAGTGAGAACAGTAATTCCTGTTTCTAGCCACCTACTGCCTAGGATGGGGGTGAGAGTCAAATATGAAACAGTTGCATTCACATCCTACCAAGAGCTTGACCAAATCTGGGTTTAACTTTCAAATCTGGGTTTAACTTTCAAATCTGGGTTTAACTTTCCAAATCTGGGTTTTCATCCTCATGAAATAAAGATAACAGTATGTGCCTTACAGAGTTGTTATAGGAATTAGGTAGTGTAGATAAAGCACCATCACAGTGGGTGCACAATAAACAAAAGCCTAAATATTAAGTAGGCTTGTTGTCTGAGTTATACAAGGGTGCCATTTACCAAACACATATTCACTCAGCTGACAACCAGTCTTTCGTAAGTGCCTACTCTGAAAGAGGTACATTGTTTATTCTGTTGATAAATCTCACACAGTGACAGCAACACTACCTGGACTGTGATTTGTAACCCAAGTTTCAGCCTCCCAAATGTTCCTGATCCTCTTGTCATATGGGGCCACCTTCTCTTCAGTATTAAAAAGCAAACTGGCTCTAGCTCCCATATCACATAGAATTTGAAATTCCTATTCCTCCCTTTCCATATTTCCATGGATTCTCAGAGGATGGACACTTCTTTTAGATACTTCATAAGTTCCAGCTTCTGCTGAATTATTGATCTCTGTTTATGTCTTGCCTCCTGTAGCTGCATTCTTTTATTCATTCTCCATGGACCCAAATGTAAAACATATTTCCTTTCCTCATTGATTAAGGTTATTTCCTTTTATCTCTTATCACATACAAATAATCAGCCTGGTCTATTGTTATTTATCTGAATCAAGGTTTTATTCTAGTGTCCAGTATTTCTGCTGTTTCATTTTCCTGCACTTCTTGTACAGAGTGTCTTCTGATATTATTATTATTATTTTCAGACAGGGTTTTACTCTATCACCCAGGCTGGAGTACAGAGGCACCATCTCAGCTTACTGCAGCCTTGACCTCTCAGGCTCAACAGATCCTCCCACTTCAGCCTCCTGACTAGCTGGGGCTACAGGCGCGCGCCACCACATCCGGGTAATTTTTTTTTTTTTTTTTGGTAGAGATGGGGCCCCACTTTGCTGTCCAGCCTTGGTTCAAAACTCCTAGGTTCAAATGGTCCTCCTGTCTCAGCCTCCTAAAGTTCTGGGATTACAGGTATGGTGTTATTATTATTTTTTTAATTCAAACTATTATTTTAAGTAGGTGCAAGCATGTGACCCAATTATGTCCTCTGGTCTGTTTATGTGTGAATATATACATATTGAGTTGCATATTTTTATCACAGAGTACTATGTTTTCACCTGTCTATTACAGTTAGGATAGTATATTGTTTGTTTTTTTGAGACACAGTCATACTCTGTCACCAGGGTGGAGTGCCATGGCATGATCTCAGCTCACTGCAATCTCTGCCTCCCAGGTTCAAGGGATTCTCCTGCCTCAGCCTCCCGAGTAGCTGAGATTACAGGTGCACGCCACCACACCCAGCTAATTTTTGTATTTTTAATAGAGACAGGGTTTCACCATGTTGGCCAGGATGGTCTCAATCTCTGACCTCGTGATCTGCCCACCTTGGCCTCCCAAAGTGCTGGAATTATAGGCGTGAGCCACCACGCCTGGCCTATTGATTTTTATAATAATGTGCAGAGGTAGGTTAAACTATGAATTTAATCTTAGGATGGTAAAGGGGCAACAATTACACCTGTATTATAAAAAGAACTGTTGGTCTGATGATGTCGGGAACCTCTGTGAAGGGTGTTGTACGGGTGAACTGGAGAAACAGCTTTACATTCCTATGGCTTCTCTTTGTGCCATGTGCACTCAGCAGAAACCATGCTTTGCATACCCATACGATCATTCTGTTTTTCACTTTCAGTACAGTATTCAATAAATTACATGAGACATTCAACCCTTTATTATAAAATAGCTACTATTAGAGAATAAGCAATGCGGCTGGACCACACTTATTCCAAAAAATATGCAAGGTGCTTAGGGAGAGAACCTGTCAGCATAGTTAGAGTGGGAGCACCTCATTCAAATATCACATGCATAGTGTCATTTAACCTTCAGAACAACATCTTGTGGTAGGTGCTATGGGTTTTACAGCTGAGGAAGCAGGAGGCCAGAAAGGATAAGAAGCTCACTCAAGATCATGCAGCCAGGAAGGTGCCAGCCTCAGTTTTCACTGAGATTCTAGCACTTTTGGCCTAGTGTTCAAATTCAACGAAATTAAACACATTCTAAACATTCTCATACACTTGTTTCTAGTACCTCAATAGACAAATGATTGGGAAAGAAGATAATAAAACTGAGATTATAATATGCATTGTTTTATATAACTCCTTGAATACCTTAATTTTAATACAATAACTAGTTCTCCCACCACGAGGTTTTAAACGTTAGGAGCAGAGGATGGTTTTGAGCCATCAGTCTCTGAGTTAGGGCCCCAGCACTTCCCAGGCACCATTCTGCAGCATGGCTACTTATCAAATAATAGTGATGATGATAATTAAATAATAATATACCAACTTTTAGCAGTCTTATACCCTAATACAAAAGATTCAGCTGTGGCCTCTACCTACTGAGAGCAGAACTACTATCAGTGTAATAGCCTTCTGCTTCAAAGAGGAGGATGCTTACAGCCTTGTTGTTTATGTGGAAGCAGAAGAACCTGGAGCATCCTAAGGTGAGCTATTCATTCAGTGAGCTCATACTGGGTGCCTCTTGTGTGCCAGGCACTCTTGCAGGTATCGTCTACACTCTTGGCACTATAGCACTCAGTGATTCCTCAGCACCTCCTGGGAATGTCAAACTCACTAACTTGACATTTAGGATTCTTCAACATCTAGCCCCGGCTTGCCTGTAGGGGCTGCCACACATGTCCCTGCATGCACAGTTCTGGATGATTCAGCATCATTGGCTGCCTGCATGGACACTCCTCACTGCTTCCTGGAATCCCTCCCTAAGCCATGCACTCAAACATCTCTGAAAGCGGGGGCCATTCTTCCGTCAAGGATTACATGTACAAAGCTCTCTCATATGCAGAATTCTTCTATGGTACTTAGTTCTTCTGGCTTTGGCAAAGCCTCTGGGAAACCAAATGTAGAAAAGTTGTGCAAAGTCTGTTGAAACTGTCACAAACAACATGAGTTGCTACAAACTCTAGGAGCAGCTAACATCAACAAGAATTTAGTAAGTACTAGTTTGGAAAATTAATAATTCAGCAAATGAATGATTTTACAAAACTGATTTTTAGCTACCTTATTTTTAGCCAATTGGGTTTTGTAAATTTGCTTTTAGCTTCCCCATTCCTAACACTTCAATCTTCCTACCCCCCCTAAAATGTCACTGCTCATTAGTGACCCATCTTGCCAGGAGACTTCTTGGATGTTGGGGACCCAAAGCCTCATATAATAACAGAGTATTTGTTTGGCTGAGGTCTGCATTCCTATGATTCCTTAGAAACTTGGACCATATAGAAAAGGTTGCAGCCACTGTCAGCAGCCAATATAATTCTCTCTGCTACTCACTAGCTAGGTGACCCTTGTAAGCCACCAGCTCCTCTGAGCCTTGATTTCTTCATTTGTAATAGGAGAATAATACTGTGTATATTTGAAGGGCTCTTATGAAGATTCAATAGGATAATGTGTGTGGATATCCTAAGGCAGTGCTTGGTATATAGATGCATTTCCGGGTTGGCTTTCAGCTCCTCCCTACTGAGACTTCACACCCCATTGGCTCTTCAGCTGCGTGAGGCCTCAGGCTCTCAGTCTTCCCTGTGTGTTTTATTCCTTCTCCCCAGCAAAGCCTTTCTGACCCAGATCCCACCTTCTCACAGCTCTGTTCCTAGAACTGATGAAATAATTCAATCTAAGGTGAGGTGAAATTCAATAGACATTGCTATCATGTGTTATTTTGTTAGACACTATAGGTTGCATACACCAAATTTATCCCCCAATCCCCATCCTTCTCCAACTTCTTCCTTGGTAGTAGAACCCTGAATTTTTTTTTTTTTTTTAAGATGGAGTCTTGCTCTGTCGCCCAGGCTGGAGTGCAGTAGTGCGATCTGAGCTCACTGCAACCTCTGCCTCCCAGGTTTGAGCGATTCTACTGCTTCAGCCTCCCCAGTAACTGGGACTAGAGGCATGTGCCACCACTCCCAGATAATTTTTTGTATTTTTAGTAGGGTTTCACTGTGTTAGCCAGGATGGTCTCGATCTCCTGACCTCGTGATCCGCCCACCTCGGCCTCCCAAAGTGCTGGGATTACAGGCATGAGCCACCACACCCGGCCAGAACCTGATTTTTTTTCAGGTATTCACCTTCTTCCACTGAACCATGTGTTTGGAAAAGTTGATCCCATTACTCAAGTGCCTGCTTAGAAAAGTTGATCCCATTACTCAAGGGTAAAAACTGATTAGTCTTCATCATGGGAAGCCTATTTCTATGCCAGTGCCTGGTTAAGGGATGGGCATGGTACTCTGTTCCACCAATGAATACAAGGGGATGTCTGCCTGGGAGCTTCTGAGAAAGATTTCCTTGTTCCTACCTACAAAGGGCCATCCCTAGAGACTGCCATGTCTGCAGGTAACAGCAGGCTCATGACTGTGAGGAGGGTTCACTGGGGTTGGGAGTTTAAAAAGTAAAGTAGAGGTTCAAAAGAAAGTCTTCAAAGACTTTCCTCCCCATCTAATTAGGAATAAATAGTAACTTCTCTTAGGAGCAAAATTTATTCAAAGACCTGTGCTAACATTCTTAAATATCTGCTAGCTGTAACAAAGAAATCAATGTACTTTATGTTCTTAGCTCCCACAATTTAGCCTAAATATTTACCCTGGCATGCTTATACTGGTCCAAGCAAGCATTAGGTCATACCTGTTCCTATTCCTTATTTGAAGGTGTTTTTACCTTTCTCAGCATTCCACAAGTTACTTCCTCCTTCCTTTGTTATCCTCTGCCTTTGCCTCTTTTGAAAAGTTCTAAGTTGCTAGCCGATCAGGACAAATACAGAATGTGAGGTCCCCTTCCAGACAACAGACACCGGACACAGCAGTAGCGTGGACGCGTAAAGTTATAAATGACCCTGTCTCCTTTGTTCAGTGTACTCTTGTGGCAAAACTGCTGGCGAGTGTACCCTTTCTGCAGAAAGTAAAAATGGCCTTGCTGAGGTAGTTAAAATTTATGTTCAAGTGCTATTTCTTTACAGCACTGGGGAAGAAGCATTTCTAACAGGAGCCTGCATGCTGAGGATGGCAGAGGAAAAAGACAGAGCCATACTGAGCCCTTGGAGATGCCACTGAGGAGCTACGCTAACCAATCCTGGAGGCACCATAACCTAGGACTTCTTCTTATACAAGGTAATAAGTACCCTTGACATCCATGTGAGTCAGGTTTCCTGTGACTTTGGCTAAAAGCAACTTGTAAGGCACTAGGTGTGAGTGTGAAAGATAAAGAGATGAATATGGCAGAACATTGGTTCTCAGTGAGTATAAAATCTATGGCAAAAGGCAGGGAAGTACATTAAAAATTCTGAGAAGCATTTAAGTACAGGCATGGAAAAAGCAGAGTGGAGGCAGATAGAGTGGCGTGTTGGTTATAATTCGACCACAAAATGAACATGTAGATCCATAGTCTTCTTTTCCAAAGTGTGACTGAGGCCAGGCATGGTGGCTTATGCTGTAATCCTGCCACCTCAGGAGGCTACAGTGGAAGAATTGCTTGAGTCCAGGAGTTCAAGACCAGCCTGAGCAATGTGGCAAGACCTCGTCTCTACAAAAAACAAAAATAAAAATTAGACCAATGTCGTGGTGCACTCCTGTAGTTCCAGCTGCTTGGGAGGCTGAGGTAGGCGGATACATTGAGCCAGGGAGGTCAAGCCTGCAGTGAGCCATGTCCATGCCATAGCACTTCAGTCTGGGTGACAGAGCAAGACCCTGTCTCCAAACAAAATAAAAGAAAACAAAAACAAAAAAGTGAAGCTGCTTAGTATGTTTTTCTGACATGCTAAACAATGACATGATGACCTGGGTCTTGAAGCTGTTAAACTGGCAAGTGGCTGGTGGTAGGGCAGTTGGAATTGAGCAGTGTCCAGCAAGGCAGTCACTGGAGGAAAGAACCCCATAGTTTCAAAAACTGGTGCCACCAAAGAACTGAGACTCATGGACAGGATACCATGTGGTGAGCATGCTTGCAGTTCAAAGTCATCCCTAAATCCAGGGTTTAATTCTTACTTCTCATCTTGGGCTGTCAATAGCATCTGAGATAGGTTGTCATTACCTTCTGGAAACGCTTCTTCAGTTGGCCTTTAGGACATAATTATCTCTTGGTTCTCCTCTCACCTCACTGGCTGCTCTTTCTCAGTCTCCTCTGCTGATCCCTCCTCATTTTCCTGACTTCTCAACTTTGGAGTGGCCCAGGATTCAACCCTGCAAGTTTCTTCATCTTAGCAGATGGGAAGTCTATGCTTCTAGTTGCACAGGACACTTTAGTCAGGCCTATCCCAACACCCTGCCAAAGCAAGATGAACTGACCTTTGATCTGTCCCACACATGCCCTCAGGGAGATGGGGTCTTTCTGTGGCTGTTCACCCTAACCCTGTTTCACCTGGCTGCATTGCTAGAGAAGAAGTGGTTTAGAATTGTGATGATGTGTGAAGAAGGAGTCACTTAAACCAAGTGATATCAGTATCATAAGGAGCATATTTAATCTCCCCTCCTCCCCATCCCTTTCAACCTCTCCTTTTCTGTTCCATGTCTGTTCTGTTGTGACCTGTATGTGGGCTCCTTTTATAAAGATTACAAGTTCATCTCTGAGTTCCTACAACACCCAGACTATTTCCTTGAGCAGAATAATTAAATAATTAGATAGAGAACTTTTTATTTAAACATCCGTTCTTACTTAGGGAATCCCAGCCTGAATATTTTATTTTGGTGAAAATGACAAAAGGGGCTTGGATAAAATGACTGAACCATGTCAGTCTTTTGTGCAGAGGCATAAATGTGAAGAGGAAAGAGATGAGAAGGCACATATATGACTTCTTTTCCTGACTCTATCTGTTTCCACATTTGGGAAAATCTCCCCACAATTTCCTGCCTTTATTTTTGTTTATCATGAAAAATGAAACTAAGTTTAAGATGGGTCAGGATCTCACATACCAAGTAAACAGGAAATCAGAATTAGAATGCTTGGTGTTTGTGAGTGAGGGCAGTGAGAGAGCTAGTGCTTACCTTTCCTTTCTTTCTTTTTTAATTATGAAAATCACAAAGTAAGATAAAAATCTTTGCTCCTTGTCTTCTTACCACTGAAGATCTTTAACATTATCCTAGTGGTTGCTTGCTGAAGCTCTGCAAGGAGAAAGATTAGTTTTAAAAACTGATACAGGGTCCACAATTCCATATGTAAAAGGATTTAAGGATCACCAAACAGGAGTGGGCCCCAAAGCTTCACTGAGCCCTGATGAATGAATAGAACCACATTATAAGGTTCTCCAGAGAGTAGGCAAAAGTTACCAATTGTTTTCCTGAAATATATCAACAAGAATGCAGGCCTAATTAACAAACCTCAAGGTTGATTTTTCTTGCTGCCTTTTTCTCTGAAAGACAAATAATAAATGAATAAGGCTGAAAGTAAATGAGAACCATATTGGGAAAGTGAAGCCTAGTCAAACTTTTGGCTGGGCTGGTTGCGAGGAGCTAAAGTTCTTTAATCATCTCACTGGAGATGTAGCCAAAAAATGCAATTTGAAACACACGCACACAGACACACACACACACAGACACACGCACACAAACACACACACACATCAACACACACATCTAACTTATTTCCACACCCACACCCTCCCCCCTTTTTACTGTAGATGAATCAAGATGGTGGAGACAGGACATGATGAGAACCATTCCTGCTCTCCACCTATTTTATAAAAGGCTTTGACAATCAGTAATCTTTGCTGCCTTGGTTTGGGGAATCCATCTATGAATTCTTATAGTATAAATGTTCACTGTGCACCGTGCATTGGCTACAAGAAGCTAATAAGCAACTGGATTTGGTAATGAATTGGGAATATGCTAAGATGACAACCTATTTAAAATCCAGATTCTTCTAACAGATAATTTTTCTAGAGGATAAATTTGTTTGGGCTTAAAAGAATACTACTATCAGCCAGGTGTGGTAGCTTGAGCCTGTAATCCCAGCACTTTGGGAGGCAGAGGTGGGCAGATCACCTGAGGTCAGGAGTTTGAGACCAACCTGGCCAACATGGAGAAACCCTGTCTCTACTGAAAATACAAAAAGTAGCTGGGCATGGTGGCACGCATCTGTAATCCTAGCTACTCTGGAGGCTGAGGCAGGAAAATTGCTTGAACCCAGGTGGCGGAGGTTGCAGTGAGCTAAGTTCGCACCACTGCACTCCAGCCTGGGCAACAGAGAGAGACTCCGTCTTAAAAAAAAAAAAAAAAAAAAAAAAAGAATACTACATCTGAAGGTGGGAATGGAATGAGAAATGACAACTATATTATAATTGAGGTAGTTTCTTATTAGTTGACAAATTGACAAAACACAGAGAGGTTTTTCTTTTGTCAGGGTCAGTCAGGTCAATTTTATACAGAGGCAGAACTAATAGTTGAATATGGTGGTGTGATTTCAGGATGGTTTAGTATACACTCCATTCCACTCTACTTCACAGTACTTCAGAGTTTAAGGCTTGAAAAATTGCTATTGTCTTTGCTAACAGAGGGCCAGAAGGCATATCTATCTGGCTTAATGGAAGTTGGATGGGTGAGATGTGGACTTTTCAAACGAGGCCTCACTTAGATTGACATTAAATAAATTTGGCATATTGTAAGAATATTTTTACTCAACTTATGATGTTTCCTTTTGTTAAAGGGAGCTCATTGAGCGTTACTCCTGTCCTCCTCCTCTCCATTGCTCACCCTTCCAGGGTGAATGGATTATCTTACCTGACTGTTACATCTGGGCATGCTCGGCTCCATGTTCCTTCCTATTGGGAGTGAGTTGCTCACAGAGAGAAAGCGTTTTAGTTTGCTCTTCTAGGGGAGGGTTTTTCTTTATTGGGGTTCAGTACAGGCAGGCCAACTTGGCTAACAGATTGCCACATCCTCCAACCTGGCCTCTACCAGAAACAAAGGATATTTTGGTTTTCCGTTTGCCAGTCCTTTTTCAATTTGTACAGAACACAGGCAAAGAGGAGAGCTATTTATTGGGATTCCTTAGACCCTAACATGGTTTAAGAATCAAGCAAACTGAATGGAGAACTTGAAAATTTTAGTTCTGATCCTAGTTCTGTCTTTCCTTAGGTGTTTGAATTTTGGGGAGACATATAACATTTCTCTGCTTCATTTTTCTTAAATGTAAAACAAGTTCATAAAATCACTACCCTACAATTATACAGCAGTTTCCCTTTATCTGTGGAGCATACATATTAAGACCTCCCAGTGGATGCCTAAAACTGCAGATAGTACCAAACCCTATATATACTATGTTTTTCCATCTGGTAACTGAGACAGCTGCTAAGTGACTAACAGGTGGGTAGCATGTACAGAATGGATATGCTGAACAAAGGCATGATTCACATCATGGGCAGGATGGACTGGGTGGCATGAGATTTAATCACATTAGTTAGAATGACATGCAATCTAAAACTTAGGAATTGTTCATTTCTGAAATTTTCCATTTACTATTTTCAGACTGTAGTTGACCACAGGTAGCTGAAACAGTGGACTGCGAATAAGGGGGGACTATTGTATGTGTAGTAGAGTGCCACACCATGACACATGTATATAATACAGTGTATTGTTGGAGACTTTTTTCTAGACAGAGAAGCTTTCAAGGCTCTATAAAGGCATAGCCTGAAAAATACCTGTGAGTTACATAAGAATTGGCTGATCAGATTATCATTTCTGGAAGAAGGATATAAATAGACTTTCTGATATTTGAGCCTTCACAAACTTGCCTATCTCCTTGGGAAGGGAAGCTCTGGCAAGGGGCTACGACGTTTTTGCAAAACGATCAAGAGGGCTTCTGGGAAAACAGGAGCTGAGATCTCAGTCCTGTGTTCCAAGGACCAAAGTTATAATGATCCATAGGAGGTAGGCTAGGGGAGCCCCTAACCAAGGCCAGGGATAGGGAAGACCAATAAACTCCCTGAAAACTAAATTATATTGAGGAAAGGGGGAATCATGATGGCCTGGGCTCAACACAGAGTGATAGTCCATGGACCAATTAACAGTGACCACACTAATGCTGTAAAACAAACAACCACAAAATATCAGTGGCAAAACCAATAAACACTATTTTGCTAAGGAGTCTTGTAGGTGACTAAGGGTTGGCTGATATTTGCTAGGCTCAGCAGCAAGGCTCTGATGATTTCCAATAGGCTCATTCAAATGTGTGCGGGTTTGCTGGAGCTCAGTCGATCTAGGCTGTCCTTCACTGCAGTGGCTCAGCTGAGTTCTGCAGTCAAATATACATGAGGCTTCTTAAGGCTCAGCCATAGAACTAACACACTATTTTCAACTTTTTCTATTGGCCAAGGCAAGTCACATGGCCAAATCCAAATTTAAGAGTGGGAAAATATATTCTGCCCCTCCCTGCTATCCTTGTTTTGAGACAGGGTCTCACTCTATTGCCCAGGCTGGAGTGCAGTGGATGGTTACAGCTAACTGCAGCCTTGACCTCCTAGGCTCAATTGATCTTCCCACCTCAGCCTCCTGAGTAGCTGGGATTACAGGTGCATGCCACCATGTCTGGCTAATTTTTGTATTTTCTGTAGAGATGAGGTCTCACTATGTTGCCCAGTCTGGTCTTAAACTCTTGGGCTCAAGCAATCCTTTCGCCTTAGCCTCTCGAAGTGTTGGGATTATAGGCATGAGCCACCACAACTAGCCACTCTGCCCCTTTAGTAGAGAAACTTCAAAGTTATGTGGCAAAGGACATGGATATAAGGAGGGATGGAGAACTGACTAAAGATGCAATCTGTCAGAGTAGAGGAGGGTAGTTTTGGGCACACATAATAAGGTTCATAGTGAGAGGTCCTCCAGACACAAGCACCTAGGCACCAATGTTTGTGCTGTTAAAGGAAAAACTTCAGCTGAATTACATTTAATGGAGTTTAATTGAGCAATGAACAATTCGTGAATTTGGCAGCCCCCAGAATCACAGCAGATTCAGAGAGACTACAGGGATGCCCCACGGTCAGAACAAATTTATAGACAAAAAAGGAAAGTGATGTATAGAAATCAGAAGTGAGGTACAGGCACAGCTGGATTCATTACAGGTTGGCATTTGCCTTACTTGAGCACAGTTTGAACACTTAGCAGTGTAGGAGTGGTTGAAGTATGGCCACTGGGAGTGGTCAAGACTCAGCTATTATTACAGGTGCACACTCCTAAGTTTTCAATCTTGTCTGCCTATTAAGCTAGGTTACAGTTCATCCACAAGGACTGAAATATAGAAGTACAGAGTCCTTCTCAGGCCATATTTACTTTGCTTTAACAGTGCTCTGGAGAATGATGGCCGAGTAAGGAAATGTGAGCTTAAAAGGGTTGTAATCATTGCATGGAGAACTACAGTGACCTAAGCAAGGCCATCTTAACATCAGAAGCCAAGGGTAGCTGTCAACTTCTGTGGGCCTACAGTGATTAGTGGATCTGGAAAATGTTCAATTCTTTCACTAGAAGATAATGTGTAGTAAGTTCTTGGAACTCTTGGACAATCTGAGGGTATGATTGAGAGGCGGGAGAGAAGAATTCAAAAATAAGATTCTCGATTTCCTGATAATACATGCATAAGCTATGAGTTGTTCAAATAAGTTTAGCCTAAAGCTGCCTCCTTACATATTTTAAGTTCAACCTAAAGGTTTCTCTATACATTATGAACTCTCATAAGTGAAGGTGTAAACAGACCGTAGCCTACACTTGTGCCAGTCACTGAGTTTTGGCCAATGAAATGTGGCCAACTATTTGAACTGTGTTCAAATAAGGCAAACGCTGAGCTATAACCAATCCAGCTTTTTGTGCCTCATTTCTATTTTCCATATGTCACCTTCCTTTTTTTCTGTCCATAAATCTTCTTCCACCATGTGCTGTGCTGGAGTCTTAAAGCCTATTCTGACTCAGGAGGCTGACTGATTTGGGAATCATTCATTTCTCAATTAAACTCCTTTAAATTTAATTCAGCTGAGGTTTTTCTTTTATCAGGGTTAAATGGAAAATTTAATAGAGAGATAGTTAAATATGCACCCTGAGTTAGTGATACAGACAATTTCATGTACAAATGAAAACCACTCACAAATGAATCCCCCTCATCTATCGCTGCCACTCTCCTCTTTTTCCTTTCATTCTCCTTTTTCTTTCTGATTTTCCAAAGTTTATAGTTATAGATATTGAAGACAGTGTCAAGATTTGGTGAAAGGAAAATATCTTGGGCCCCTTCAAGCTGGGCACTACTCAGGGCACTACTGTCTCCCACTCTATTCAAAGTCGCCCCTCTGCTCACAGAGATAGATGCATATTCTGATTGCCTCCTTTGGAAAGACTTATTAGGAAATCAAAAGATGCAATCATTTGTCTCTTACCTACCTGTGACCCGTAAGCCCCCAAGGTTGGACGGGGGAGGGCCTTGCTGGATGGAACTAATGTACTTCTTACATATGTTGGTTGATGTGTCATGTTGCCCTAAAATGTATAAAACCAAGCTGTGCCCCGATCACCTTGGGCACATGTCATCAGGACTTCCTGAAGCTGTATGAGGAACTGGCACATCCTCAGTCTTGGCAAAATAAACTTTCTAAATTAACTGAGACCTGTCTCAGATTTTCTGGGTTCACATTTTGGTAACCATGGGGGATTCTGAGTGGAGATGCCCCTGACCTTTCACAAATCTCCTGTCAGTGCTTGGTACCAGCACAAACTAACTTTATGGCTCAAACCAATAGGACAATCTGCTGAGGTCTGAGTGCACCCCCTCCAGAGAATCCCTGATCTCCCAAAATTTGGTTGAGATCTAAAGTTTATTTTGCTGTACAACTCCTCTTTGTTTTTTGGAGTTTTACTTGCTTCCAACACAAGGAAGGCAAGTTTTTCCTGCTTCCATGATGATGGAAGGCAGGTAACTCCTTTATGGAGTTTGAGCTGGCTTCCAACAAGGAAGATGAGTGTTTTTGTTTTGTTTTTTTCCCTTCTTCTAGGATGCTAGAGAGCAGTCTTCAGCCTGAGACCCATCTCTAGGTAAGTAACTGAATTGGAGCTTGTCTTGGTTAAAATTAAGGTTAACAACAAGCTGGTCTTAATTTCTCCTTACCATTAGAGGGCTCAGTGATCATATTGTTGGGGTTTTTGTTGTTGTTTGTTCCTGTCTAAAGTTGTTGTTTAAGGATCCTAATTGTAGTGTGGAGAGGCATTCTAAAGGGTCTTCACTATTGCTTTTTCTCCCTAATTTAATCTTAATTTGGTTTGTCTGTGTGCATTTGCATGAGGAACTGAACTGTTGTTTTCATATGTTAATGAGAGACTGAGCTTTCTCAGCTCTGAAGGAAAGGGCATTTTGCTCCTCCCAGTCAAAGGGTGTCCCTGGGTGACCAAGGCCTCATGGGAGTTGACTCCTCCATGATGTGAAGTAGCCCTGCAGGGAAATCCCCACAAAAATTAATTTTAAAAATGGCTCATCCAGGAAATGCATATAAGGGCTGATCACCCAGCGTTTTGAGCCCTCTATGAGGTCATAGACCTTTGGAGAGAGAAACTGAGACATGTAAAAGGGTGGAAATAACTCAGTGGTGACACACTGTGGGGTCCTGCCCACAAGCAGCACATATTGATCCACCACACAAAAACCCTAGACCATAGCTCAGTTCCTCCTTTTTTTTTAAAAAAAAAAGGCAGGAAACAATCTAAGAATGAGGAGAAAACAAGGAGAATGACCCCCTTTTGAGCACTCCATAGGTTTTATGGCACCTCTACTAGCCAAAGTTTATGTAAAATGGAAATAATATGGTCTTTGTGCACATTTACATTAAGAAAAAAGAGCCCTAAGGTCGACCTGCAAACTATGGAGTTCCTAAGTCCTATTTTTCTCTGTTTTTTCTTTTCTGCCTGCTCTAAATCTGCTGTTATATTTCCATTAAGATAAAAACCACTGTTTAGACCCAAGAAGTTCTTTTTGCAAGCTGGTAAATTTGTATTTATCTCATGGCTAAAAGTTCTGAAGTAAAAGCTGTAGGAACTTCGTGTGTGTGTGTGTACGTGTGTATGTATATATTTAAAAGGCCTTTATAAATTATATAATCCAAACTTTTTCTCTCTGCATCTTACCATGTAAATTTTGCTATTTGACTTTCACATGAACAGCTTCCTTTAATATGCAAATTTAGGCTATTTAGCTGACAACCGCCCAGGGTGGTAAAACAGGTTATCAAGAATCTGAAATTCTAAGATAGGAAAAAAAAAAGTTTTTATGAATCTATAAAATGTACTTTTATCGGCATGCCTAATATGTCTCTGTATTTATGTGTGTGTACACAATGTTTCACTACTAAAAAAAAAAAGAGCTCTAATTAATTGGCTTAAAAAAAATAAAAGTGCCTAAATCAGATACTAAAAAAGCAAAGACTAGTCAAATACTTTTTCAAGTTTATGTGACTTAAGTAAAATCTTTAATAAATAAGCTGGCTTTAAAATTACTGGTAAAGTAATATGAAAAATGTCTTAAGAATTGCCAGCATACATTTTTTATTTGCATTTATTAGTCAAGCAATTTCATTCTCATCCCTGCCAAATACTACAAGGTGTCAAAATTTGGCACAGGGGTTACAAAACTATAAACCCAGCCCCAAACAGAATGATCTTTGCTTTTGTAATTTTTAATAAATAAGACATTGATATTGGTTTAATGAAAATAGCTGCATCTTAAATTTAGTAAGATTACTATGAATTCTAATCTTGTGGCTTTAGGCAGTCTAGTCCACAGGCAATAAGGATGTTTGTTTTGGGTAAGGACTGTTTGTTTCAAAGCTAAAGTATAAACTAACTTCCTCCTAAATTTAATTTGGCCTGTGCCTACAAATGAACAAGGATAGCTTGGAGGTTAACAGCAAGATGTAGTCAATTAGGTCAAATCTTTTTTTCACTGTCTTTGTTATAATTTTGAAATGGTGGTTTTATCACTTTAAATCATGACTATCACAATTTTCATAAATAATCTAGGTAAAAAATTAAAACAAAATAATTAGGTAAATGTAATGGGATAAACACCTGTAGACAAACTGGTCATAATTTAGAATATAAAGTTATATTAAATTAAATAATAGATACTTTTTTTTGGGGTATTTTCCAATAAACATATATTGTAGGAAAACATTCTTGCTAAAAAAAAAAAAGGGGGTGTCCTTTTTTAAGAGAATGTTGAATAAGTTTTGTCTAATTCAAAGCTTAAAGGTTGTATATAAAACAAAATAAAAAGAACCAGAAAATAAAAAGAGATGTAAAGAAAGTCATAACAAGAAAGAGGTTCGTTTTGTGATAAGAAAACTTAAAGAGAAATAATTTTATATGAGAAAGAATCTTGTATGGTAAATGCAGTTTTAAAATAAAATAATTAAATAACTGGTTGTTTAAGAAAGAGAGATGTCCAGGACAAACCGGAAAGTCCAAGCATTTCATGAAAGGTCTGCATAAGTCATAATAAGAGTCTTTATATTTAAAAAAAAACTTTAATATGATCCAGCTGTCATATTGTCATTAAGTTTTGGTTTGCTTAGGAAAAGAAAATGAGACAACTTTTTTTTAAATTAAGGTTATTACATCCATGTATCTTCCTGTACGTACTTTTAAAGCCCCTGTGATATTGAGTTACAGGGTTTTGACTCCTGGGTCTAAAAAGGACACCAAGTCCTGCTAAATCTTAAACACTGACAGCAATTAAAGCCTCATCTTCAGGCCCAATAGAAGATGCCAATCAAAATAAAATGCATTCCTGACACATGGGGCAATAAATTAAAGCTATTCAACTCCTCAAGGCCCAGGCACTATTGAGGGAGAGGTGGACACATAAGATTGTAAGGGTTGATTTTGAAAGATTAAATAAGTTCTGTTTCTCTATAAGTTAATCATTAATGTTAAAGGCATACTTCTGCAAGACCAACACATGGACCCCTGTGTCAGATTAACAAGGGTTTCTTGAAGCATTAACCAACAACTATATAAAGGTTATAAAGGTTATAAAAGGCTTATGGAAGCTATATCTTACAGTCAAGATTAAAATTTTACAGATTATTTATAAAATTTTGAAAAAATTAATTGGCTTCATACTGTTTTTATTAGGGCTTATTGTTTGGAAAATTAAGCCTTCTCTCTCAAAGAATAAAGACTTTTGTCTGTGTTTTTTTTTAAATCTTTGAGTTAGCACTTTGGTTAAATGAATGACTTATTTTACTATGACCTGTGACCCTATTTTATGATATCAAATGTTTAAAACCTTTGATGTTTGACAAACTGTCCAAAATCAAATTATAAATTATGTCTTTTTATGACCTAATTAATTCTTTAAGATATTAGGTTCCCTAAAGTCCAAAAAATACCACATAATTTGGCTTATTTGGTACAAAAATTACACAGGAAGCATTGTCAAATATGAAATGGTATTTGGTTCCCTTTGGGCTATATTTGTACAAATAGTTACTGTTAATAGTTCCAAAATTATAGGAAACTCCTATAATTCTGATATAACTTAGTGTACATTATCAGTAATAATCATAATTGTTATGTTAAAATTATTGTGTGCTACAGAGGTAACAAATTTCCTTGTCAATTGTGTCTTTGACTGTGGCTGCCCTAAAAGTTTTTGTCATCCATGGACAATTGTTGTTTTGGTCCTATTTAGAAGGTGGTTTTATAGCACCTGTAGTCCCAGCTACTTGGGAGGCTGAGGCAGGAGAATGGTGTGAACCTGGGAGGCGGAGCTTGCAGTGAGCAGAGATCATGCCACTGCACTCCAGCCTGGGTGACAGAGAGAGACTCTGTCTCAAAAAAAAAATAAATAAATAAGGTGGTTCTATAATCAGCTATAAAACTCTAACAGGTGCTCTTGAATGCGGGTTTCTGATAACTTTGGAGACTGTGTATCAAAATAGAGGAAAAACTTTCAGGACTCATGGACAGCTAAAATGTTCATGAATATCAAGAAGAACAGGAATATACTACATGGACTGAACTAATCTTTTTGACTTTTTTGCTTAAAACGTTTGCTGATCCTTTGTTTTGTTTTTCAGAGTCTTAATACCTTTATTTTATGCTATTGACAGCTTCTAACAACTCAGTATACTCCTATGAACAAAATTTGGAGCATATTTGTTTCTCTCTACCTGATTTCTTCAGACTGTGGAAACTATTTGTGAGTATTTTTAACTTATGGCAATACAGTTATTTGCATAAGTGCAATAAGAATCTGTTTTCATTTGTAACAGGAAACAACTGGAGAAACGTTATTTCACCAAGGCTTTGACTGGAATGTTGTGCTTTTTTTTAAGGAATCAAACTTGACTTATGGATCCAATAAAGCCCTTGGAAAAACTGGCCTCATATTTTGTGTAAACAGTCCCCGTACAGGGTTTCTGACTTGTGGTAAGTAATGAATGTCACCTTCCGACAGGCCCAGAAGCCCCAGGTTTATCTTGAAACCTCAAGAGGAGAGGAAATTCACCCAATTCATAGATATTTGATGACAAAATCCATGCCTGGTTTGGCTTTAAAAAGTCTCATCTGAGATTCTTCTTATGAACAAGTTTCATCAAAGCCAATTTAAAAGCCTATGTTTTATATATATATATATATATATATATATATATATATATATACACATACATATACATACACACACACATATATATATAATTGCCACATTATATGCAAATAATTAGGCCAAGTATAATAAAGCAAACCTGTTCTGCCATAATTTGTCTTCAGTACAAATGGGAAGTTGGAGAGAGAAAAATTATGTTTCAAAACTATAGTACCCCTGTTGTTAGATTGTGGTCTTGCCTAATGTTTTTTTTCAAGTTTTATTATTTTCTACAGTTTGAACTGAATTCTAATTTTTCTTGGCTACAAGTCTTCAAAATAATGTTTTCAATTATTTTTCCTTCTTTTTTTTCAAGTTTTCCTAATTTGGAATCACTGAAAACTAAGTTTTGCTTTCTTAAAACCCTGTGAACTGAAGCCAGACAACTTAAACTTCAGAAGAAAATAACAGCAACCTATTTGCATACATAAGCCACTTGCATACCTGCCTACTAATGTATGGACTTCAGAGTAATGTGGCTGATATACATTTTTCCAGGATTGTTCTTTTGTTTATTGTTGTTTTTCTCCCTTCTTCCCCCAATTTTCTCTTCATAGGACATGAGACTTCACAGCCTGCTAAAAATAAGCTTTTGGGACCTACCCATTTAGGAATAAACAGTCCTAGCCTTGAGAGATCAGATGAAATCTGAGGCCAGAGACTCATTTTCTTCTAAAATGCTTTCTCCAAAAGATTTTTAAATAGAAAAGAGGGGAAATGTGAAAGGAAAATGTCTTCAGCCCCTTCAAGCTGGGAACTCTCAGTACAAATCTGTCTCTCATTCTATTCAAAGTCATTTCTCTGCTCAGAGATAGATGCATATTCTGATTGCCTTCTTTGGAAAGACTTACCAGAAACTCAAAAGAATGCAACCATCTGTCTCTCACCTACCTGTGACCTGGAAGCCCATAGGGTAAAGGGGGCTTGCTTTGAGTTGTCTCTACTTTTCTGAATGGAATGAATGTACTTCTTACATTTATTGATTGATGTCTCATGTTTCCCTAAAATGTATAAAACCAATCTGTGCCCCGGCCACCCTGGGCATGTGTTGTCAGGACTTCCTAAGGCTATGTCACAGGTGCATCCTCAACTTTGGCAAATAAACTTTCTAAATTAACTGAGACCTCTCTCAGATTTTCTGGGTTCACTATTCCTACTTGGAAAATTGTCGATATTGTGAATGAGGGGGATTTGAAGTATCATTGTTTCTCTCCCTCCCCAAAATCAGTTTTGGAATTACCCTTTCTCTCTCATTTCCAAAGATTAGGTATGAAATGAAAATGTAACCCCCAAGGCTGCATCCAATCAGGGCAATGATTTTTTGATTTTTGTCTCTTGTTCAGGTGAGGAATCCCTTTTTCTTATAGCACTATGGGCAATCTGATGATAGGAAAACAGTGGTGCTGGTTTTGAAACTGCCTTTGCAAAATTATAACTGAGGAAATTATAACAGTGAAAGAAATCAGACCTGACTGACTCTATCTTGCTTCCAACCCTTAAGCTGTCATTCATTCCTGGGCATAGGTGGAACTAACTTTGGGAAGGATTTCAATTCACGGTTTGACTCTGAAACAAAATTGATAACAGCCCTTTCCCGAAAAGACCCCCTTCTTGTCTGAGGCCCAGTCTGCCGTTGCAGGACTAACAAATTAGCTACAAGATTGGAAATTACAATTTAGGGCTCATGCAGCCTCTGGCTCCAAGAGTCTGAACCTCCCCAAATTGCTCCTGGGGGTAACATCACTATTGTAAAACCTAAATTCAACACTTGAGATATTTTGCAGACCCTGCACTCGATGAATCAGCTGACACCTCCCAGGCCTGTTATCTGGCCCAACTAGTTCTGCCATTACACCCAGGAATAGAAGACATTAAGAAAACCTAACTTCAACCCACTATGATTCCATCTCCATCCTGACCAACCAGCAGTCCCCACTTTCCAAGCCCCTACCTACAAAATTCTTTAAAAACTCTGATCCCCAAATGCTCGGCGAGACTGATTTGAGTAATAATAAAACTCTGGTCTCCCACATAGCCGGCTCTGCATGAATTACTCTTTCTCCATTGCAATTCCCCTGTCTTGATAAATCGGTTCTGTCTAGGTAGCAGGCAAGGTGAACGCATTGTGCAGTTACAGTTGGCTATGTGTTTAGAGGAGGATGATTTGAGAACAAGAGATATTCTGCTGGGTACAGTGCTCCCCCTTCCCCAAACATGTGAGGTCAGCCAGCATATCTCTTCCACATTCTCACACTGTCCAAAGTCTGAAGTCACATAGGTAATGGGCAAACATGTTTAATGAGTAAAGAAAGAACTGCTGGTCTTACAGACCTTTTAAAGGGCTTGCCCCAACAAGTTCAATAGTCTTGTTTGCTCTCCAGGGCCTGTGAAGCCCTCTTAGCCTACCCTACCTGCTCATCTCTACTAAAGGAAAGGACAGCTTTGAAAGCTGAAGTCTATTTATCAGGAGTTAGTGCTTTTATGCACACCTGTAAAGAAGGAGGGGAAAGGAATTCAGTGCTTTGGGAATATCAATATGCTTTTGTGTAGAGAGGATATGTAGATGTGGCTTGCAGAGTCCAATTAACAAGACTGAGGTCTGGTATAAAGAAAGTGATTTAATCCAAAGCCAGTTTAGGGGAAAAAGTACAGGCTTCCTGCCTAAGGGTACCACTTTTCTTGTGGGGCAGAAACCAGGTACTTTTAAAGGGGAAGGCACACAGGGGAGGAAGTCAGCAGGTAGGAGGGCATCCAAGTGCTAGCTCTGGTGCTTTATCTACTGAGCTGTAGAACTGGTGACTGCTGGTGCCTTTGTGGGCAGGACTAGGCCAAAAACTCCCCAGGTGGGAGAGAGTTTTTGTAGTGGGACTTTGGGTTGTAAATCAACTGTTTTCTCTTGAGGCTTTCTCCTGGTGGGTAACAGTTCCTTTCTGGAGTATCTAAGCACATAGATAAACTTGCCTTATAGGGAGTGTCTGGTGAAGGGGAGGAAAAAGACTATATTTGCATTTCTAAAGGGCCAAGTAGGAAGTGGCTTAAAAGACAAAGGTACAAATGGTGTATTGGAAAATCTCTCCCCTCCAATCCCAGGAATGTATGTTTTGGATTCATATAGATGCAGATACAAATCTTGGCTTTGTTGATGATTAAAACTGACCAGGGGTAGATAACTGAGTCTCTTCCATTTCACATAGTGGGGACAGTAATGAATACCTCATAAATTTATTATGATTAGATGACATGATATGTATAAAGTACTTGGCATAAAACAATAGCTAATATAGCAACTAGTCATTCACAAAACACAGATAAAGGTAGGCAAAAAAAGTACCTTTCTTTACTCTTCTTGTTTTTGGCCTTACCCTCTATCTTGAATACTCATTACATTGAAAGAGAAAAGTTAATGTAATTGTTTGTTATTATTATTATTTGAGACAGAGTCTTGCCCTGTTGCCCAGTTTGGAGTGCAGTGGTGCAACCTTGGCTCATTGCAACCTCCACTCCCCAGGCTCAAGGCATTCTTTTCCCTCTGCCTTCCAAGCAGCTGAGATTACAGGGGCATGCCACCAAACCTGGCTAATTTTTCTATATTTTTTTGGTAGAGACAAGGTTTCACCATATTGGCCAGGCTGGTCTCTAACTCCTGACCTCAAGTGATCCTCCCACCTTGGCCTCCCAAAGTGCTGAGATTACAGGCATAAGCCACCATGCCCAGACCAAAAATAATTATTAACATTGTACTTTAGGGTTCAGGGTAAACCCAGTAAATTCACCATTTTCCCAGTCATTATGGGCAATTATTATTTAATATAACCAAGTTACAGTCAAGAGTTTCTTCTCCCACTTTCTCCTTATCCTTGGTTGGTCTTCGTTTTAATAGGAAGAGGACCTTCAGCCACTAATGTCTGGCTCTTCTCACACTTGACCAACATAGCGTTGGGTGACAGGGGAGGAGGTAGGCTTGACACCTTCTTCTCAGCCTCAGTTTGTCTTGGTGCTTTGTTAACCTAGTGCTTCAGATGTACCCTGTCCTGTATCCACCCAAGTTACCCTCCCATTTACCAGCAACCCTCCAATATGCAGCTGTGTTCTCCTAGAATCTAAGCAGTCCTGTCCTCGCTGGGCTGCATTTTTCTGATACGATGTTCCCTTGTGCTGGCCCCAAGACCCCATAGGCTTGCCCCAAACCAGATAGCTTTTGTGTCTCACTCAAGGTCTTGGGTGTTTTCATATGGCCATTCACACCCCTTCAAGGGTATAGGAAACACAGGGTGGCCTCTGGCTTCATTATGTCAGGACACCATTTCCTCCCCACTGTTGATCTATAACAACAGGTCAGGCTTGCATCTTTCTGGATTTCATGCAGGGAGCAAGACACAGTCCTCTCCATTCTCAAATCCCAAAATTTAAAAGGGGTTTCTTTGTGTATTCCCACCAGACACATCTGCATCTGTCATCTGACCATGAGAGGAAAGATTGGAAAAATACACAACTTCTACACTGCATCAGATCCTCATATTTCCTCTTCAACTCTCTTCTCTCTACCCAGCTTAGAGAGTGTTATCTATTGGGCTTGGTAGCGGAGGAGGATGCAGATGAAGGGAGGGCAGGAAAAAATGAATGCTGCTGGCTCATAGCTCTATTCAGATGTTTTCTGTCTTATTTCTGGATAATGCCTTCTGAAGTCAAGGAATTTGGTGTTCCTGCTCCCTGTTTCTGCAGTATCTGGATTATGGGCAGCTATTCAGGGCACAGATGAATAATGTGTGTGAAAATATGTGTGGGGAATGTGTTCATTAATACTACATATTAGTCCATACCTAGTTTGCTATCACTGCTGAAGCAACTGGTTGGTCTTTGTTCCAGTAGGTAGCGCACTGTCCAGTGATCCTCAAGAGGAGGGGTTTTATTTTCTAAAAAGGCATCTACGGATGAAGAAGAGCATTGACCGTGGTGGGAGATGACCTGGGTGGAGTACAGACACTGCCTCTTCATTGCTACATTGCTAGGTGACCTTGAACATTTAATCCCTTTGAGCCCAGGTTTTCTCATTTTAAATTAGGGCAAGGGTCACAATAATACCTTTCTTTCAATGCTGTTAAAAAATTAAGTAAAGCCCATTAAAATTGCAAGTACAGTTTTTCTAAATCTCCCATACAACTTAATTATCTTACTACTGAAGGCTGCACATATAAAATGGGAAGTGAAAAGTTAACTGTCCTCCCAGATATTTTGGTAAGAATACTAAGGTGATAATGATACCAACATAAATAAGTAATTAACAAGAATAGTTCTATAGATTTCTGGTGTTTAAAGTTACCTCAAATAGGATTTCAAAAACATTAGCAAATCTTGATGTAGTCTGTATTATGGACTTGACACTTTTCTGAGCATTTCAGATATATTATTTCATTTAATTCCATGCTAAGCAGTATAATCTTAGAGAAAATTTAGCTTTGACTTGAAATTTGACAAAATCATTTATATGTCTGCCATGGACTGAATTTTGTCCACCCAAAATTCACATGCTAAAGTCCTAGCCCACGATATGATGGTTTTTGGAAGTGGAGCCTCTGGGAGGTAATTAGTGTTACATGAAGTCCTGAGAGTGGGGCCTTCATGATGGGACTGGTGCCCTTATGAGAAGAGACACCAGTGTTTGCTCTCTCTTGTGCTGTCTCTCTCCCTGCGATGTGAGGTTGCAGCATGTTGGTGCTGTCTACAAGCCAGGAAGACACCCTCACCAGAAACCAACCATGCTGACACTTTGATCTTGGACTTCCAGCTTCCAACACTGTGAGAAAATAAATTTATATTGTTTAAGCCACCTAGGCTAGTATTTTTTGTGGCAGCCCAAACTGACTAATACAATAATCTTAATGCTCTCTTTCTCTATGGTTGGTTCTGTCTGCATTGGCCCTGGGCAACATCTGTTGATAGAACTTTGCTTCACTGTAATTGAAAAAGCAAGCAAACATGTATCAACATCTGTAAACGTTTTCATTCAGTCCACCATGGAACTGAAATACATCCCATGTTTACCATGCCTTTATCCTCTTTTCCACCCACCTTCAACCAACACAGTTATTTCTAGAAAGAATTTGGGCAAGCTTCTGCCTTTGTTCAAATATGCATGTGGCCAAGAGGTATTTTTCCTCCATTTTTTTTTGAAAGAAACCTAATGAGTTCTTTTCTCATCCTATTAAATTATAAATTCCTTGAAAACAGTATCATTCTTGTTATTGAGTGATATGCAAATTATAGTGTATTTGTATCTCTTGGACACTCAACACATGTCTGTTAAATTGTGTCAAATTTTTTAAAAGGGGACCTCAGATCAGTTTTGGCTTAGAAGAATGGTGGAGTTGGGAGGGGGGTGAGTCCAAACCCGAGGCCTTGAGAACAAAATGCAGGGAAAACCAAAGCGCAAACAACAAGGCCAAGTCCCAGGGCAAGAGAAGCAGCCTGAAATAAGGAGTCATTTGAAATTGGAGGGGAGTGGGAGCCACTCTAGAATGCAGAGAGGAGGCCTGCCACAGCTGCTAAAAGTATTGCTACTGTCCCTAGGCTTCCTGATAGGTCAGCTGGAGCATGGGACATGCCACTCACATATACAAGGCTGTTTATGTACAGGCTGGGGCCTGACATTTCATTTTTGTATTCATCCTCATGCCGTTCTTTCAAGGGAGGTTCCGTCTTATCTTGGTTTGTTTATAAACATCCAGCCCAGCAGTCCCCTGCACACTGTAAGGGTTAAATCTTTGTTGACATGGATTGCAAGTCATTGTCCACGGGGCTTGGGTGGGGAGGGAAGCTGGGATTAGCCTGGAGCCTCCGTAGAAGATCTGCTTCATCCTAACTTACATTCAGAACAGTAAACAATTCTTAGAATGCATTTCACAAGTGCAACACACTCATTTTAGTGTCCTGGATATGGTCCAGGGAATTGTAATCTAAATTCTCCATTTCATATGGTCATGTTTCTAACATTGCCCAGAAAGGTCATTCCTGGGTTGCAATGGATTGAGAGGCAGGAAATAAGAACTCAATCTTGGCCCCACCACCAAATCATTCTGTTGTTCTAGGTCCTTGAGCAAGCTGTCTCCTGACTCTGCTCTCAGTTACTCCATCTGGGAAACGGGAATAACAAACTCCCTGTCGAAAACATGAAGATGAATTAGAGATAGTATTTTTAAAGTGATTTCCCAGCTAGAAAGAGAATGCTGCATATTTCATAGATGCTCCCAGGGACAAAATCACACACATGTAGTAGTCATTTTCTTTCCTCTGGAATTGAGAAAATATAGAACTTGAACTGGGAAATTCATTGTTCTAATGTTTGAGAGGGTGTGGATAGTAATCTTAAAAAATCAGCCAGTCACAGCTGATGTTGAGAAAGGGTAAACCACTAGTGGAATCAATTGGCTTTAGATGGAGGCAGCGAAACCTCCAATCAAATAGCTCACTAAATCCTAGTCTTGGCTCTGGCTCAAATCCCCTCACTAGAGTCTTAAAGTATGATGGGAAGCTTCTGGCGTTATACCTGGCACGGCACCACCCTGGGGTCCAGCTGGCCTTATAAAACTCTTTCACTCATACACAAGGCTGCTCCTGTTCACCATGCAGGGAAGGCACCCACTGTGTGCTCTCCTGGTGGATGCAGGTGGTAGCCAAGGTGGAAAGTCACGTTGACCCTCCAAAGCATAGGGCTTGGTACCTTGTGGGCACTCGGAGATCTCTGTCCTGGAAATGAATGAATGAAGGTACTTGTTCCATGCAGCTGAAAGTTTGGGCAGCTTTCCTTACCCTCTCCTGGAAGAAGACACAAGTCTGTGCACACTAAAGGGACATTTGGTGGGCACCCAAAGCTTGAGAGAGGTTGGCAGTAACAAAACTAACACCTATGTAATACCTGCTGAACGTGCCAGGCATAATTAGAAGCATTTTTAAGTTTTTAACGTGTTTAATCTTCATAATAATCCCATGAGGTATGCTCTGTGATTATTATTCCCATTTTACAGATAAAGTCAAGGCCCAAAGGAGTTCTGTAACTTGCCTAATGGTTAGGATGCTGGATGATCTGAATGCAGGCAGCCTGACTTTGGATCTCACCACCTTAACCACTCAATTATAGTGTACTTCAATGACCTATGACTCCTACCACAGGAGCAGACTTTGGGAGAAGATACCACTTGGTGTACTGTGCCACCGTCCCAGCATGAGACCAGAGCAGTTCTCAGTTTCCTGACACACTTGGGTAGGTTGGGCCTGGTGTTTCTGTTTCCTAATGGGGACACTGAGATGGAGAGCAGTTGTGTGTCTCACTCATAGTCACCAGGTTAACTGCGGCAGATCAGGAATCGGGTCTCCTGGTCCCTGCCATGCCGCTTGGGGCTCTGCAGCTCAGCCATTTGTGCCAGAGACACTCACCTAGCATACTTCTCAGCCCCGTCCCCACCAGACTCCTTTGCCCACGGCCAAAAATAGTGGCCATGCCTGACCAATCAACTGATAAGACACCTGCTTTGTGTGAAGGACTTTGGGCACTGGAATAAAAAGCCAGAAATGGAAGACTTTGAGGAACATTTAATCCAACCTCTCCTTTTGTGTCTGGAATTGGTGGGTTCTTGGTCTCACTGACTTCAAGAATGAAGCAGGGGACCCTCGCGCTGAGTGTTACAGTTCTTAAAGGCAGCGTGTCCAGAATTTGTTCCTTCTGATGTTCGGATGTGTTCGGAGTTTCTTCCTTGTGGTGGGTTCCTGGTCTCGCTGACTCAGGAGTGAAGCTGCATACCTTTGCTGTGACTGCTACAGCTCTTTTTTTTTTTTTTTTTTGAGACGGAGTTTCGCTCTGTCGCCCAGGCTGAAGTGCAGTGGCGCGATCTCGACTCACTGCAAGCTCCGCCTCCCGGGTTCACGCCATTCTCCTGCCTCAGCCTCCCGTGTAGCTGGGACTACAGGCGTGCGCCACCATGCCCAGCTAATTTTTTTTGTATTTTTAGTAGAGACGGGGTTTCACCGTGTTAGCCAGGATGGTCTCGATCTCCTGACCTCGTGATCCGCCCGTCTCGGCCTCCCAAAGTGCTGGGATTACAGGCGTGAGCCACCGTGCCCGGCCGTGACTGCTACAGCTCTTAAGGCGGCGCGTCTGGAATTGTTTGTTCCTCCCGGTGGGTTCGTGGTCTCGCTGGCTTCAGGAGTGAAGCTGCAGACCTTCCCAGTGAGTGTTACAGCTCATAAAGGTAGTGTAGACCCAATGAGTGAACAGCAGCAACATTTTTTGCAAAGAGCCAAAGAACAAAACTTCCACACTGCGGCAGGTGAGGCGAGAGGGTTGTGCCTGCTGGCTGGGGCAGCCTGCTTTTATTCTCTTATCTGGCCCCACCCACATCCTGCTGATTGGTCCATTTTACAGAGAGCCGATTGGTCTGTTTTACAGAGAGCTGAATGGTCCGTTTTGACAGGGTGCTGATTGGTGCGTTTACAATCCCTGAGCTAGACACAAAGGTTCTCCTAGTCCCCATCAGAGTAGCCAGATACAGAGTGTCCATTGGTGCATTCACAAACCCTGAGCTAGACACAGGGTGCTGATTGGTGTGTTTACAAACCTTGAGCTAGATACAGAGTGCCGACTGGTGTATTTACAATCCCTTAGCTAGACACAAAAGTTCTCCACATCCCCACTAGATTAGCTAGATACAGAGTGTCTACACCAAGGTTCTCCAAGTCCCCACCAGACTCAGGAGCCCAGCTGGCTTCACCCAGTGGATCCGGTACCGGTGCCGCAGGTGGAGCTGCCTGCCAGTCCCGTGCCATGCGCCCGCACTCCTCAGCCCTTGGGTGGTTGAGGGACTGGGAGCGGTGGAGCAGGGGGCGGTGCTCCTCGGGGAGGCTCCAGCCACACAGGAGCCCACGGCGGGAGGAGGCTCAGGCATGGTGGGCTGCAGGTCCCGAGCCCTGCCCCGCGGGGAGGCAGCTAAGGCCCGGCGAGAAATTGAGCACAGCAGCTGCTGGCCCAGGAGCTAAGCCCCTCACTGCCCGGGGTTCGCAGGCCTGCCGGCCGCTCAGAGTGCGCAGGCACTGAGCCCATGCCCACCCAGAACTCGCGCTGGCCGGCAAGCCCCATGAGCAGCCCTGGTTCCTGCCCGCGCTTCTCCCTCCACACCTCCCGGCAAGCTGAGGGAGCTGGCTCCAGCCTTGGCCAGCCCAGAAAGGGGCTCCCACAGTGCAGCCGTGGGCCGAAGGGCTCCTCAAGGGCGGCCAGAGTAGGCAGGCACCAAGGCCGAGAGCGAGGGCTGCGAGGGCTGCCAGCACGCTGTCACCTCCCAATTTCACAAATGGAGAAATTGAGGCAGCTCATCCAAGGTCCCAAACTACTTGGTAGCAGTCTGGAGCAGGGCCCAGGTCTCCCAACAAGACATGGCATATGCGTTTGCTACTCTGCCGTGCTGTGCTGTGCAGTGGCAATGGGAGATACCAAGAGCCTCCCTGTACTGTCTGTAGAGCCTCTCCTTTCAGCCTCTCACTGCCTCACTCCATGGGTCTGGCTGCAGCCTACTCACTGCCCCCGTGGCTGTCAGTGCACGGGGTAAGCCCTGACATGTGGAGGGAAATAGGCACCCAGACTAAGGGATTCTCCCCAGGCCTGTATATGAAAAGGATCCTCAGCAAGCCATCAGTTCCCACTGCCCTCGTCCCACTCCTCACCAGAAACTTAATTAATCATGTTTGCATCTGGATCCAGACAAGACAATAGCAGGGATGTGTTTTTGGTTAGGAACTGAAGCTGTATTCGCAAAGGAATGTTGATTAGTTAGTGGTCGGTATCATTTTTCATGCCTTTTTAAGTTACAAAAATTTTAATATCAAAGCATTTCTCCCTGCACCGCACGTATCTATTTCTCGTAAGTGCATTATGCTGGCATAATTTTCTTTTCCTTCCTGCAGGCTCTGTTTATGAGATGATCCATCAGGTTGTCTCAGAGTCTCCATCCAGCCCTTCAGCAACCAGAGGCATTCCAGGTGAGCTCTGAGCCCACGGCCCCTCCCCATGTGGAGGGGGAAGGAGAAAGGCAGGCTTAGGCTGGGATATGATACATTGTTGATCAGGGAAACAACAGTCACCCACTGCAGAGATAGCAGGCTCTCCCCTCTCCCCCGCATTTCCTGGGCCCTCATTATAAATGCTGCTGCTCTTTACAACAGGAGTGGGCCCCTGAAGAGAAGAAAAGGAAACGTCCCAAACCTCCTCCAGACCCGTAGATGTTGAGGTCAATCTGAATGCCTCAATTCAGTCTTCAATTCTGCACCAGGAAAATGCCCTCAATATGGGAAAATCTTTGAATGCAGGAAGCATGTCTCAATGTGTACAACATGCCCGTGTGTGCAGAACATGTCAAGTCACAGATGATAAATCATGGCAGAGAAGCAATGTGGGATCTATGTGGCACAGTCAGAAACCTGTCTGCGTGCTCAGCCCTCCAGCTAAACTTCCCTTTAGACAAAAGTGGTGAAGACGTAACAAAAGAGAGTAAGGTGCCTCCTCCTTCTGTTCAGTGACCTTTCCGAAGACAGGCCTGCAGTAACAAACGTGGCTTAGGCACTATGTGTACAGCTTGGACGGGATTGACCAGTGGGAACAAAATAACATGTTCTAAGATGCTCAGATGCAGGCTGACCTTCCCTCCAGCTGAGAAACCATCCTGTGGTCACTGATTTCCTGAATGCACTGGCCTGAGGGGATGGGGAGGGCCTGTTACAGGACAGGATCACCAGGGGGAATTCAGGGGATTCAGTACACATTTGCATCACATTGGTCCCCAAAGCAGTTTGGGTTTGTTGAGGCAGGGTTTGACTTGCTGAGAGCCCAGCCCCAGGTCATTGTTGTTACTCCAGACACTGGGAAATGTGGATTGTGGGGTGAGATACTGAAGCTGGGATTGGCTTGGAGACAGAGAGTACTCTGCACAACTCAACAGCAAAGTCACATTCCCAGAGAGCAACCAATTGATCCAAGAGTTATTTATTCAGAAAATAAACTGCAATTTTGTGCCAGGCACTGTGCTAGAGGTACACCACACTGGGCCCACCTACCTGCAGGCCTCACCCCATGGGGGATGGCCTGACTTGGTCTCATTATTTGTTCCTCTATCCCCCAGGCCTCTTCCTTGGTGCTGGCTAAGGGCTAGGCTGGATGTTTAGTTGTAGCCCTAAGGAAAAATTTTAGTATGTCCACTTTTATACACAGAGGCACAGATGGTAAGCAGTTATGAAAGTTGTCCGAATCAAAATGGAGTAATTTATGTTAAAACCCTGGCAAATGGAGCCAGGGAAGGCCATCAAGGGAGAGTTCTTACACATGAATGCCTGATAAGAACTGTCACAATATTTATTTGGCAGGGGAGATACCATGATCACGAAGATTTTCCGAGGGCAAGGCTTATCCATTGCACTACGGTTGTACTGACCCCTGTGATTTACTATAGCTTTGCAAAAAGACCACTGCAACCTTACACAGAAAATACTTCTGTAAGGATGTCTGTCTAGCAACTGCCTGTTCAAGCTTGGACTTGTGCCACCCTTGTAGCCAAGGATAATTGATTTGAACAATTGTAATCCTCTTCGTTTTGCCTTTATAAACTTCCCCTTGCCCCAATCTCTTTGAATACGCTCATAATTTGCTATGGCACACGTATTCCCATTGCAATGCTACTCCCAAATGAATATAATTTTTTTAAAAGAGTCTCCCTCTCTGTTTGTTATTGAGTTTGGCAAAGCAGGGGTCAGAAAGCTATAGCTTGTGGGCCAAATCTGGCGTGCTGCCTATTTTTGTAAATAAAGTTTTATTGGAATGCAGCCATACTTGTTGTAGTATTGTTTATGGCTGCTTTTATGCTATGCTGAAGAGTTAAGTAGTTGGGAGAGAGACTGTATGGCCCACAATTCCTAAAATATTTGCTGTCTGGCCCGTTACTGAAAAATTTGCCCTGGTATAAAAGATTTGCCCATTTCCACTAGAGAATCAATGGTCAAATAGCAAGTATAGTCAGAGTTCTTGATTTCTTTCCAAAGACTCAAACCACGGACTGACCTTCTCATTAAAAGTTATTTGGTTTTGTCTTTAATATTTGTTATCTTCATGATTCCTGCCTTCTGGCAGAAAATATCTAAAACATTTAATGGCTGCGATAGAAAGCAAAGAAGGATAAATGTCTTGAAATCTTTAGCCCAATAACATACTTTAGAAACCAGAGGACAACTGCAGGCTCTGAATCTTCCTGGGGTCTGGACTGAACTCAGGACCGTGGCCCTCCTCAGTTACTGACTTAAGGCAAAGGTCAAACTTTGGGGTAGGTTTGTGTTGACTCTAGACAGCCATCTGCGGAACACATAAAAAATCAGGTAACTTATACTCTTGTATTATAAAATTTTAAAGTATTTATGTATCTTTTTTAACCACAGATACAGGTCTATAAAGCATGCATAAACAAACTCTTAGGATATTGTGGTAATCTAAAAATATCCTGGGGGAATATGAAGCAATATGTAAATATTCTGTTTTATTATCCTCTGAATAAAAACAGATATTTCTGTGGTACTTTCAGGACCTGGGGGTAGGTAAACAGATAAAGAATGAAGCCCAGAGATATTAAGTTCCTTGCACAGGGCCACGTCATCCTTAGTTCCGCTAATCCAAGTCAGCCTCACTTGAAAGCCTGTGTCTTAAACATTCTGCTTGCTCTATAGCCTTCCTTTCTAGGGGAGGGGAAGCTTGATGCCTCTGTAAAGTTGGGCTCATGAACTGGCTCTAGGATGCCCCTTGCAGCTGGGCTCATGAAGAGTCTTCCAGGCTGGCTTCTGCAGATGCCTGTACCCTCAAGTCAAACATGAAGCTATTTTCCTGGCTCATCTCCCGGCCCCGGGTCTTTTCTCTGGTTTTGTTGGGATGCTGCTGAGTGAGAATTGCAGGATACCCAAGAATTTGCCAGAACTGAGGGTGCCTTCACACTTCTCCTAAATCACCTTCTTTTTGGACTATACTTGGTGTGGTCCAAGAGGAATGGGTTCGACAAAGATGAGGAGGGTCGTTGTGTTCACACACTCATGAATATCAAAGAAGAGGCACCAGCTAAGTCTTCTGGGAAAATTTCCAAACTGACACTGCAGTGAAGGAACAGCTGCAATCCCTGCACCTCCCGTTCTGCTCAGACTAGCACAATAGCCTTCACCGAGAGTCTGCTCAGAGACAAGCCTGTATGGAGTGTTGGGTGCCAGGGTATCTAAGACCTTGGCCTATCCCTGCCAGGGATGGAATGGCAGATACAGCAATGAAGCCTCCAGTGGGAGGATCTGAGGCAACTCCAGGGCTGCTGTTGGGCACCTGCAGAAAATATCCTGCTGTTGGCAGGGCCTGACCACCTGCTGTCCCTTTACTCACTCTAAGGCCCAAGACAGACACAGGTATCTCTTAAAGGCCCTTCCAGCTAAAAGATTTAAAATCATCTCCTAATCCTTCATCTTGTAAAGAAGGAGTGTCATTAGCTATGTGAGTGGATGGGCCTAGAATATCCAGATGAGTGCTCATTGGAAACCACTTCACCCTCATAAAGCCATGTGAGAGAAGTAGCCCTACCTCCATTTCAGAAAAGAAAGTAACTCAGAGAGATGAACTGATGAGCCCTAATCATACAGTTTGTAAATGGCAGAGCGGGGAATCCATAGCTCTGGATGCCAGATTTCAACAATGAGCTCCGAGGGAGGCCTGGCAGGGAAAGACAAGTTACAGAAGGGCAGATGAGGGCCGGGCCTCCCATTCGGTTGTGCAGGCTGATCCCTGTACTTAAAACCTTGTAGGGACTGAAATTCAGCCTGGGTTCTGCTCCCCATGCCATGAGTCCCAGCAAGGTACTGAGCCCTCCAGGGAAGACTCTAATATGCACAGAAGAGCACTGGGGGCTAGTGCTGCCCTGCTTGTGGGTGTGCAGGTAGTGAAGTCAGGTGTGGGGAGGGATAGCAGATCCACTTCTATCTGGATGATGCTGGCAGGGTTATGGACTGACCTTATGACTACCCCCTTCATACTGTACGTTTTGCTGTTGTTGCTTTGAGTGTTCTCCTTACCTCTTCAGCCACTCCTCTTCATCACTGAACACCTTTATGAGGTCATCTAGCAGGACATTTAATCAGCAAATGTTTTTTCCAAGACCAGGTCAGGAGATGAAAAAAGAGGGAAGATGAGAGACAAGAGCATATCGATGCTTTAAATTAAATTTATCTCCTAATTTGGCTCATAATTTAATTAATCCTAATTTAATTAAATGTATCTTCTAATTTAAAAAGCCTATCAATATCCCAATTTGGAATATTTACAAAATTTTTGCATACAAAATGTAGAGTTAGCCCATTTCCAAAGATGATGACAGAATGGAGTTTTAGGACAGAGTAACAAGCACATATTTCAAATATTGCGGGCCCAAGAATAAGCTTGCACTTTAATTGAAGACAGAACAATTAGTGACAGATGAGCTCCAATTCATCAAATTGGTCAAAATCTTAAAACTCCCATTGACATGGGGTACAAATGCAGTTTATATCTCTGTTTTTCAAGCCCTTCCCCACCTACCTCGTGAACAGTAAACCCAAGGTCCTCTTCTTTGCCTCCATCCTTACTCTGAATTGTCTGTGAATTCAGGGACTTACAGTTTCAAGATATAAGACCTGGAGTCTGACCGGTAGACTAAACATCCACTCCAGGCCCCTGCTAACCCCGAGGAAGAAGCCTGGAGGTAGAGGGAGGAGAAATGAGAACAACTCAGGCCGGTGGCCAAGGTGAGGCCTGCGGGTAGGGGGCGCAGTGCCTGGCACACGAATGGCACTTAATTTTCTGAATAAATAACTGATTACTTGGTTCATCTCTGGGAACATTGAGTTTGCTATTGAGTTGCCCCATCAAACTCTTGGTCCACAGGTCAATCCCCAGCTTCAATATCTCACCCCACGATCGACCTCTTTCGCTGAAGTCAGGAGTGACAGCAATTAACTCCTCCGCTGCACCGTCCCCAGGGCCAGATGCCACGTGAGAGACCCCAGGCTGGAGCGAGAACGTGAGGGCCCGGCGCTCCGGGGCAGGGCGGAGGGATAGCGACCTGGGGCATCCGCTGTTTGCAGGCCCGGCTAGGGCGGCTGCCAGCCACGGGGGAGAGGCGCTGGCAAGAGCCAGAGAGGATCCCCTGCAAGAAATATATCGCGTGCTGACACTTTTACGACCCGGGCCGGCTTACAGTACACAGGCCGGTGCACAGCTCCGCTTTCCTCTGCCCAGCTTGACATCACATGCTCGCCCCGGGGCTGCCACTTGGAGTCAGGAAAGCCCATATATTTCCCTCCTCAGATAGGCCTAGTGGTTCTCGTCAGGTGCAGAAAGCCAATAAATCACCAGCGAAGTCTCCATGTATCTATCAGTCAGGAGCTTGTCATCCTCCAGCCTTGATCCACATGAAAGCCGGGAGCAGGAGGGGCGGGGTGCGGGGAGGGGGGCGCGGTGGGGGCGGGGCGCGGTCGGGCCTCGGACACCTGGCAGGGAGCTAGCGGGAGGGCTTGGGGAATCTGCAAATGTTCACAGTTCCAAGGGACCGCGGGGGAAATTTACACCTCCTCCCCCTACTGCTTGTGCTTCCTTTCGCTTTGAAGTTCTGTGGCTCCGCACTGGAGTTGGGGAGGCAAGTCCTCCAGCCTCGGGCTTTTAATATTCACATCACGTCCTCTTTGCAGCTACTTTGGGAGGATTGAAAGCTACAAAGGACGTTTGGGTGACCTCCCCACAACACAAGGTGGGGTGGGGGGTTTCAACCCACACTGCCCCATCTTGAATCGCCATGGATGACCAAGTAGTTGAAACACGACGGGGGACTTAGGTGCCAGTCCTTCTAGGCAGAAGGGCCCTCTTGGGTAAGTCCCTTTTCAGTCCTTAGTGTCTTCCAGATAGCAGTATAGTATCTGTGGAATCCGATGGACCTTGGTTTAAATCCCACCTCTGCCACGTTCACCTTTTGGATTTAGTACATTTACTTATAGCTTCACTTTCAATTTCCCCATGTCTAAATTGGAATACAAGTCTCTAGTTCGCAGAATTGGTGTGGGAATTAAATGCGGCATATGTAGCAAGTGCTCAGCACTGCATTTCATATAGTAAAATCATGGAAAGGAGATAGTTGCATTTTAATTATTTTCCTGATCTATGAAATGTTGATTTGGGACTAAGGCCATTCTAGCTTTCAGCTGCTTGCCCTGAGCCAATAGTGCAGCTTGGGCACTGGGCGCTACGGCTGCACGGCTCCCACTCTGCCAGGAAGGCCTGACCTCATGCTGCCATTTACCATGAGGCTCCTGAGCATCATAGGTCGGCGAGGTCTGGCTCTGCTTTTGATGAGTGCCTTTCTTTGGAGCCATTCAGGGGGCCTCTTTCTATGTCCTGGTCACATCTGCATGAGAAACACTACAGGTCATTGAATAGGAGACCCCATGTCTCACACTGAGAACCTGAGTCTTCAAAGATAACAAGGGAAGGGCTCTTGATCACATGGTCAGCCGTGCACCTGGGACTGGAACTCAGTGGCCTTTTCCCATTCCGCAGCCACACCAACATGTACAGGTGTTACTGGAAAGGGGTCCCCATCCAGACCCCAAGAGAGGGTTCTTGGATCTCACACAAGAAAGAATTCTGGGAGAGTCTACAGAGTAAAGTGAAAGCAAGTTTATTAGAGAAGAAACAAAAGAATGGCTACTCCATAGGCAGAGCAGCCCCAAGAACGGCTATATGCTAAATTAGGGATGGATTATTCATGAATTTTCCGGGAAAGGGGTGGGGAATTCCTGGAACTAAAGTTTTCTCTTCCTTTTAGACCATATAGTGCAGCTTCTGGATATTGCCATGGCCTTTATAAACTGTCTTGGCACTCTAAGGAATGTCTTTTTTGCATGCTAATGCATTATTATTGGCATATAATGTGCAGTGAGAAGGATCAGAGGTCACTTTTGCCATCTTGGATTTGGTGGGTTTGGGCTGGCTTCTTTACTGCATTCTGTTTTATTACTGGGGTCTTTGTGACCTGTATCTTGTGCCAACCTCCTACCTTACCCTGTGACTAAGAATGCCCAACCACCTGGGGATGTAGCCCAGCAGGTCTCAGCCTCATTTTATGCTGCTCCTATTCAAGGTCTGGTTCCAATGCCTCTGACATAGGTACTACATTCACCATGTAGAGGAGCAAAAGCAGAAAGTTCCCTTAATGGACTGCATTTCTCTTTTTTAATATCTCTCACTCAAGAAAGTTTTTTTATAATCTACTGTGTGAAAGCCACCTGTCACTCACCTCTCTGTCTTCAGTTTCTTCAGTTGTAAAATGAGGGGGCAGGAATACCTGTGTTTTTCAACTGGGAGCTATTAGAATCTGGGGTCAGGACTGTCATGCACATTGGAGGATCTTTAGCATTTGGAGCTTCAGACATTAAATGCCAGCAGATCCCCCAGGCATTGCGATAATCAAAATGGTCCTCATGTTTCCAAAACCCTTGAGTTGAGAACCGCTGGATGATCCTGTTTACTTTCTAGTTTTAATATTGTATCAATTGAGGAGTCCTGGTTCAGGTACTAACCAATTACCCCTGCTGTGACTTTGGCTAAGCTCTTTAACCTTCTCCTTCTTTTAAATATCTGTATCATGGGAATAATCAAACTTGTCCCATACTGTCTATGTTACAGAGCTATTGTGAAGATATGATGACAAGAAAAAAAAGTCGATGTGAAAACATTAAAGTAGTCTCTGAAGATAAGATACCATCATTATTATGCAAAATTTTTTTGCAAAATAATTTTTATTGTATGAAAATAAATAATTATCCTTAAATTTTAACAAATAATTACAATACCCTTTAAATCGATTTTCTTTATTTAGAAAAAAGAAAACAGATTAAAAGGGTAAATGATTTACCCAAGGCTATGAAGCTAGAATTTGAATTCAGACTGTCTGACTACAAAACCTGTGCGCTAAATAGTGTCCTCTATTTCTTGTTCATGTGGGTCAGAAAGGGCTTGGCCCCAGATCAGCGCATTTTCTGTCCGTAAGTGAGTTATGTAGGAAGCTAACTATTAGATTGTTGCTTATCGGGACGTTTCATCCAGGGGAGCTAGTGATCGGAAGAAGGGCTCTCATTTTTGAAGGGAGGTGAGTCTCACTCTGTTGCCTAGGCTAGAGTGCAGTGGTATGATCACAGTTTACTGCAGCCTCCAACTCCTGGCCTCAAGTGACTGTCCTGCCTCAGCCTCCTAAGTAGCTGGGACTACAGATATGCACCACCATATGCCTGGCTAATTTATTTTTTATTTTTTTAGAGAGGGAGTGTCACTATGTTGTCTAGGCTGGTCTTAAACTCCTGGCCTTAAGTGATCCTCACACCTCAGCCTCCCACGTAGCTAGACACCCAGCAGAGAAAGGCTCTAAGCCACTCTGCTCAATTGCCTCCCTTAGTGTGACTCTCACTTTTTGGTTTCTTGTGCCTTCTCCACTTCCTCTGTGAAAATGAAGCCTTCTTAAGGTCACTTAAATCTTTTGTATATCCCATTACTTGCACACAACTCTTTGTTCCTGCTGTCTACTCTAAACACACACACACACACACACACACACACACAACCTAGAACCAGGGTTGCCAGATTTACCAAATAAAAATAAAAGATTCCCAGTTAAAATTGAAGTTCATATAAACAATAAAATTTTTAGTATATCTCAAATATTGCATGGAACATACTTACGTTAAAAATTATTCATTTTTATCAGAAATTCAAATTTAATTGGGTGTCCTGTCTTTTATCTGACAACTCTAACCATAACTCATATTCCAGTGCTCCTCAGCCTCGCTCTGCCCCTCAGACAGAGAGCAAGAGAGGAGCAGGGCTCTGTATGAGACATGATCAAAGACCTCCAGAACACAGAAGTCTCTGTCCTAAGGGCATTTTCAGTCTAGCTGAGAATACAGAAGTCACAAGAGGCAGCTGCTTGACATTTGACTTGCATCTCATGTCAGCACCCTCTGGGAGTCTCACTGGACCACTTCCTCTCCTGCTACCCACATCCACTCAGTCCCTTACTCCCCTCTCCTTTTCACATCCTCTCAGATGTTTTCTCTTCTCTGCATCTCCAATTTTGGTCCACTTTCTCAACAATTTGCAATTCTCCTAATTTGGCTTCCTGTTTCTATTCCTGATATTGAATGTCCTCTACCCTCCATACGGACACCAGGCAGATTTTGCTTTCTTTTAAAATAACATGCTTCCTCTGATGAGTGTAGTCATCTACATTCATTACAGAAATATTCCCACAGGAATATTATAGAACATTCCCATAGGAATACAGAAAAAAAATTGCAAAGTTCTCATTTCCTACACCAAAAAAATCTAAGCTTCGAGACCGAGTGGTCATGGCCCCTGAGATCTGGCCTTTCCTGACTATCCTGGCTCTGCCTGACATAATATAGCTTACAGCCCAAACTCACTCTACACAACCATGTTCCAGTTCCCTAAGTAACAAGCCATGCTTTTTGTCTGGTAGGCCTTTGCAAAGCCTTTTTCTTCTCCTCCCGAGAAGCGGCTTCTTCCATTACCCACCAGTGGACTCTTAATTATACTTGAGAACCCAGTTCCAGTGTCATTTCCCTGAACTTGGCTTCCTGAAACAGTCTTAGCTATCTCTTTAGTGCTCCTAAAGTCATCTGAGCTTACACAGTCCTTGCAAATACCTTTCTTGCAGATATTTAAAAAAAAATAACGTGTTGCAATTATTTATTTCCATATATATCATCCCATCTAAACTTAAGATCCTTAAGGGTAGAGACCATGTATCTCTCAAGCCTAGCAAAATACCTCATGCAATTAGGAGCTCAATAAAATGTTTGTTAATCATTAAATTACTTAAATAATGGGGCCATTTCTTTTCCTGTGTGTTTTATGCATTTCACTGATGGCCTCACACTAATTGTCCTACCAATGAAATGCTGGTTTAAATGCTGCTGTTACTTAACACTTGTCAATCCCATTAGATTATAAATATCTGTGATCCCCCACAGTGTATCTTTCAGGGCTAGCCATAAGTAAGTGTTGAATGACTGAATTATCTTCCTGCAGACCTAGTGGATGATGCAAATGGTAAAAAGGTCCCAGATAAAGATTCAGGGACTTGGGTTCCAGTCTCTGCTTTTCCAAGCTGAGTACATTACTATGGCACTCTGGGTCTTGGTTTCCTTGCCTATAAAGTGTGAGGGTGGGTCCAGGTCATTTGTTCGGTCCTCTAAATTTTTAAAGGGCAATGAATTTATAAATAATCTTATCAGTTGTGACTTGCTAATAAGCTGCTCCTTCTGTGTTCATGGGGGATAAAAGGAACTAATGTTTGTTGCATACCTGGTATGTGCTAGTCAGTCCCTGTCCTAGGAACTTTCCATGTTTCCCCATTCAAGACAAGAGGAGAGCATTATGTGGCACAGGTGACATCTGCAAATCAGAGCATATTCCTCTGTACCCTCATCTACTCCCACGTGTTGAATATTAAATACTGTGCTAAAAACCTCATGAATTCACCCGAATGTGTTAAGTGGATTGCATTTCCTAATGTGGGTGGGCCTCATCTAATAAGCTGAAGGTTGAAAAGAACAAAAAGGCTTACCCTCATGTGAGTAAGGGGGAACTCCTCCTGCCTGAGCTGTTGAGCTGGGACACTGGCCTTTTCCTAACTTTGGACTAAATTGGGGTTTTCTTGGGTCTTAAGCCTTCAGACTGAACTATGCCGTTGGCTCTCCTGGGTCTCCAGCTTGCTGACTGCAGATCCTGGGACTCCTCAGCCTCCATAGTTGCGTGAGCCAATTACTTATAATAAATCTCTCCCTCTCTCTATCTCGCTCTCTGTGTGTCTGTGTATACTGTATACACACACACACACCCCTTTTTGGTTCTGTTTCTATGGAGAACCCTGATTAATACAACCTGTCAGGCAATGATCAGCCAGCCAGATGTCAAGGGCTCTTGCCAAGTTTAATAGCTTGGGAGAGGAATTCAAAGCCTGCCCTGTTTCTACCCTCCTCTGCCCCATCCATCTCCTTGGATGACCTCAGCAGGGCCAGCCTTTGACTTCAGTTTGAAACCCCCTCTCCCTGCCATCTACTCTCTGTAGATATTTTCCCCTGCTAACTGTTCAATGTCCTTCCATTCTGATTTAGAAACTTCTTGCAGAAAAGGGAGCTACCTCAGATTTCCACACTATTATAACTAATATATCATCATAGATTATAATAATTACACTATAATGTTAGTGCTAATGGCTAACATTCATTAAGTGCTGTAAATGAGTAATCTCATCTGCTCTCACAACAACTCTGTGTAGTAACTATTGTCAGGCATGTTATAGGTGATAAAATTCAAGCACAGAGAAGTTAAATGCTTATCTCAAGATTCAATAGCAAGTGACAGAGCTGGGTGTGAATTCAGTAAACTTGATTCCAATCTTGGGCTCTTGAACAGATAATCTTTAAAGTCTCATTTCACCCTGATATTCCCCAAGTCTCTAAAACCATTCATACCACGACATGAGTTGCCTGCCTCTACAACTCTGTATTAGGCCCCAGGTTTCTAGGGCCTGTACTGCTGCTAGAAAGTATCAGAGGTTACGTAAGCATAGGGGAGCAGAAAGAGACTGGGCCCAGGAGCCACAAAGCTTGAAAATGAGCCTCCGCTACATGGCAAGCCATCTGTGGGAACTTGCGCTCATAAACTCTGAATCTCAGTATTTTCTTCTCTTAAATGGTAATAATCGTGATCATGTCTGCTTCTCGTAACCCACAACACTATTCTAAAGATCAGGAGATCAAGGGCATGTGAGAGTGCTTTGTAAATTGTAAAGTGCCATACAAATATGAATTATTATTGTTTCCAGCTGGAGTTGTCTGGGCCTACTTCAATGAGGGCATTATAAATGATTGATAAAACTTTATGTGGTATCTGTGCTTTAAGGGGGGAACAAGTCTTAAACCAAATGGCTAAAAACTCTGGTATGGAATGTTGGTTGCAGCACCCTAGACAGAAAGATTTGGGCACATGAATAGGGATTGGGCCCAGATCCAAGATACTGGTCGGCTTAACTTAGATTCCAGGGTTAGAAAGTGCTATTAAATGTTGATTGCTAGTTAGTTATTCACTGAACAGATAAAAGAAAGTAATAATAGAAAATGTGTATTTGAGTGCTTACCCTGTATCACGCATTGTTCTAAGTAATTTATATTTACATGTTATTTAAACCTTACAACAATCCAGTGAGATGAATATGTCTATAGAGAATATGACTATTCCCATTTTCCAAATGAAGAAAATAAGGCTCAGAGAATTTAGGAAAGTTTTCTAGAGTCACACAGTTAATAAGTAGTGGTAAAGCTTGGATTTGAACCTGGTCATTCTGACCCTAGAGCCAGAAGGAACAAAGAAAGGATGAAAGGGGGGAGGAAAAAAGAAAAGAAGGGAAAGGAAAGGGAAAAGGAAAGAGTAGGGAAAGAAAAATGAAAGAAGGAAGGAAGGAAAAGGAAGGGAGGGAGGAAGGAAAGAAGGAAAAAGGAAGGAAGGATGGAAGGAAGAAAGGAAGGAAGGAAAAAGGAAGGAAAGAAGAAAGGAGGGAAGGAAGGAAGGGAGGGAGGGAGGGAGAGAGGGAGAAGGGGAAGGGAGGGGAGGGGAGGCAAGAAGACTACATACTGAGTACTCCTCAGGTAGATTATAATGAGACCTAAGGAAGGAAATGACAAAGATCTGGAACCAAATAATCTCCAAATAAAACGTGTCTTGAGGGAGTCAAAAAAGATCCTTGGCCTATTTTTGCCTGTCAAGAAGTGCATGTTCACTCTCATGTGTATGAACAACAGTGGAGCCACAACACTGTAATAAAAATTGAAATTGGGTGCTATGAAAATACAGAGGAAGGGTGAAGGTGAGGACTAGGGAAGGCCCTCTGGCAGAGATGATGTCCAGGTAAATCTTAGATAGTTGATACAGTCTAGCCAGGCACAGAGTCAGGAAAGGAGGCATGAGACTGCACAATGCAGGTGGAGCTATAAGGAATTAGGAAGTATTAATATTACAATTGCAAAAGGCAATGTGGCAGAGGTCAGACAGCAGGCCAGAGGTTCAGGTAGGGTCCAGGCCATGTGTGCTAGGATGCCTCTGTGACAAGCCAAAAAGTTCAGGCTTTATTTTGTAGGTGTCAGAGACTCACAAGTGGTTTTAAACATGGTCAGACTTGTAATTTAGACGATCTCCTCTGACTAGAGTGGGGAGGGTAGATTTGACAGGTGGAGGTCAGGGCAAGAGAGAGAAGAATGGTCAAGATTCGATTCCACCAGTCCAGGCAAGTCTTTACAGAGCCGATGAGGAAGGTGAAGAGATATTTAGGAGGTATTTTTATAAGCATTTCGTGATTCACTGGAGTGGGGTGGCAATGGAAGGTTTCTGGGCTGACTCCTCTTTCTTGGTTCAATAACTTGAGAGTCTGCTGTGCTACTAACAGAGGTATGGAATACTAGAAGAGGAGCAGTTCTGGGAAATGGACTTCTCCAGAAGCAGATGGGAACAATAAATATGAAACTCTGGGAAGCAGTGAGGGATAAAGAAGGCTATTTGTTTTGTTAATAAAAATTGTTTATTAACTACTAGATGTTGATATAAGGCTGGGTACTAGACTTGGAAGTCAGGACAAGACAGGTCATGTTGCAGTAACAGACTATCCCCACATCTCAGTGACTTAATGCAAAAAAAGTGTTTATTTTTTAACTCATACTGTCAAGTGTGTGTTATTGAGGGAATCTGTTTCCCATCATTACTTAGGGACTCAAGTTGGCAAGGTTGCATCATCTTGTAACTTCAGTATCTAGAACATGAGTGCGTCTCAGTCACTTGGGAAAGAGAAAAGAAAGACTAAATAATCACACCTATGCCTTTTACTCCTCAGCCTGGAAGTGACACAGATCATGTCTGCTCACATTTCATGGACAGAATTAGTTTTATGGCCCCACCTAACTGCAGGGGCTGAGAAATGTAGAGGTGCGAATGTAACTTGTGGTGAGCGTTACTGTCTCTGCTGCATGTCATCAGCATATGGGAGGTGATTAAATCTGAAAGAGAAAGGACAAGATCGATCAAGGTAAAGCCCACAGAACGAAAAGAGAATAGTCAAGGACAAAACCCAGGGAATCACCTTCTATAAGTGAAACAAGGAAGAGAGGAGCCCAAGGATGACACCGAAAAGTGACATGAAAAGAGTTAAGAATTATGAGCCAATAGTGTTACTCGAGCCAAGGAAGTATGTCTATACAGAGGTGCAGAGCAGCAAATACAGCCTGGAGGAGCAGTAGGATAAAGACTGAAGTCTCCACTGCATTTGACCATCAAGAGGGGGCTGGAGAATGTCTTAATAGAAGTGTCTCCTTGCAGTGAATATTTACCCAGGTTTTTGTTCTAGAAAAAAATGGTCATTTCTAGAGCTGTATGGGACAGGGCTGTGTTCCTGAGGCCATAGCCCCCAGAAGTCTTCTGAAAGTGATGGTGGCAATTCAGGTAGGTAGTCTGTCTTTAGCTGACAGTATCATTTGAAATGTTTAATAAATTTGCAATTGATGACTAGCTAACGGGGTGAGATAAGACCTGTAAAAGTACAGACCCTGAGAATTGAAAGAAACCGTAAGCTGTGTAAACTGAAATGAAAAGTGATGTTTACCTATTATTCATTAGTATTCTTATAGAGTGGCAATATCATAACTTGGGAAGTTTACCTAAAGTGCAGTTATTATTACACTTGATTTTAGCCAAAAGGCCGAGAAGCAATTAAAGGTCAGTTACTTTTAACTAATAAAATTCCTTAGATTGAATTAAGAATTGCATTTGTGGTTTCTTCATCCAGGAGAAGAAAGTGTTATTTCCTTTTTGTATTTTCACTTGAAAAAAAACTGAGAAGAGTGTGACTAGTCGATGATATTTTGACCATACAGCTGTTGAGCACTTCTGAGGAAGAGGAACATGGAAGAGACATTTGTTGAGTACCTATTACATGCCAGGCAATTCCCATACATATTTTACTTAATCTTCACAACCGCCCAGAGAAAGAGATCTCTTTTATCCTTATTTTATGGACATGACAAAACTGAATAGAAGGCCCTAGTTTACAAACTCCAGGGGCTCCGCTCCATTTGCTATCAGCTAAGCAGACTTGGAGCGTGGACCCCTATTTCTGCTTCTCCCGGGACACTGTAAATCTCTCCATTTGCCATCAGTCTGGAGCTGTGAGCATGCAGATGAAAGGCGTTGTGGATCTGTGAACTACCGTAGCTCTACCTTCGGAGGAACTGACTTTCAGCTTTCAGCCACATGCATGAGAGGGGCTGATTCCATCTGTCGACCTGTCAGGCTGCCTCTCTTTTGGGCTTCTTTCTTCCCTTCTTGGAGTTTCTTTAATAAAACATTTCACTCCCTTGAAAAGCGTCTCCCCGAGTGGCTGAGGAGGGCCCAATATGGTTCCATTTAGTTCTCTGGGGATGAAGAGGAAGCATCCTCCCGTTACGTAACTTTCCCAGCAAGTGGTATTTCTGTTTACTCTCCCTCAAAAAACTATACAAAAATAAATGCTAGTTGTCCTCCCAGCTCATGAGTTCCACTCTGCCCACAGTTTCTGCTCGGAACTTCCCCACTCCCTTGGCGTCCTCCTCATTCTCCTCCTTTCTTGGACTCCTGACTCCCGTAAATACTGATGGGAGGGCGAGTGTGGCGCGACCTTGTGGTCGTGCGGTGGAGCTTCACCTTTCTCAGCGGCTCTGCTTCAGCCGCAGAGAGACTCTGGCCTTTCTCTCCAGAGGGCTTCAGCTACTCATCCACAAGACCTCTGAGAGAAGCAGAACCCGCTCTGTCCTAGGCTCCCTTGAACAAGCCAAGACACGGGCGGCAAGCCCACACGTGGGGAAGGACAGATCAGATTTTTCAGATCCTACAGAAAGGAAGTTTATCTTCTGATCAGGCTCCCCTTCCAGAATCTTCTCTTACCCCTCCAGTGCCCAAGGCTAGGTCCTCTCCCTGTACCTGTTGTTCTCTCCCATGGAGGCTCATTAACCCCACTAGAGGACTGACCCAGATCACCTGGGAGGCTTAAGAAAACACCAAGTGCTGAGGTCCAACCCACAGTTTATGATTTGCCTTTCACTGAGAATTTGCATTTCAGGCCACTACCATTGGTTTGCAACCCTAGATGCAAATTTGAATCACTGTTTTAAAAAATACATAGTATATGTGGCCCAGACCAATTAGCACATTGATAGCTTTAAAAACACCCCCAGGTAAGCCGGGCACGGTGGCTCACGCCTGTAATCCCAGCACTTTGGGAGGCCAAGGCTGGCGGATCACGAGGTCAGGAGATCGAGACCATCCTGGCTAACACAGTGAAACTCTGTCTCTACTAAAAATACAAAAATTAGCCGGGCATAGTGGCGGGCGCTCATGTAGTCCCAGCTACTCGGGAGGCGGAGGCAGGAGAATGGCGCGAACCCGGGAGGCGACGCTTGCGGTGAGCGGAGATTACAAGATCAGGCCACTGCACTCCAGCCTGGGCGACAGAGGGAGACTCCATCTCAAAAAAGAAAAACAAAAACAAAAACAAAAAACAAACAAAAAAACAACCCAGGTGCTTCTAAAGTGCCCTGAGGCTGAGAACCTTTGTATATTCAAACCAGCTCTTCACCTCCCAGAGGTATTTAGACCTGAATAGTGGATTTGAGAAACTTTCCCTCCTAACCCTTCAGGCCCCTAAGAAATAATTTTTTTTTTTTTTTTTGAGACGGAGTCTCGCTCTGTCTCCCAGGCTGGAGTGCAGAGGCGCGATCTCGGCTCACTGCAAGCTCCGCCTCCCGGGTTCACGCCATTCTCCTGCCTCAGCCTCCGGAGTTGCTGGGACTACAGGCGCCCGCCACCACGCCCGGCTAGTTTTTTGTATTTTTTTTTTTTTTAGTAGAGACGGGGTTTCACCGTGTTAGCCAGGATGGTCTCTATCTCCTGACCTCATGATCCGCCCGCCTCGGCCTCCCAAAGTGCTGGGATTACAGGCATGAGCCACCGCGCCTGGCCAGAAATACATTTTTTAAAGTTAAAAATTTTAGGCATATGCGCATATTGAGGGACGGGGTTGATATTTTATTGAAAGAGATCAACCTTCCTGGAACTCCGTATGTTACCCTGCCAGCCTAAGTTGCCAGAATACTGCACTGGTAACTGGCATGGAGATCTGGAGACAAGAGTTAAGTTCTGGCTCCACCCCTTACTACTGTGTGACTTGGGCTACCTATTTAACTTCTCTAAGCCTTAGTGATCACATCTGTGACACGGGGACAATAAGTACACCTATTATTTATAAGGTTAGTATGAGGAATAAAAGAAATAATCCAGCCCCTCACACATAGTTAGAATTCTGTAAAACACAGTTTTATTACAAAATTGTATTACTGTTATCACTATTGTTCTTCTTGTGACTCTTTGGACCAGCCATTGGAAGAGCTAGTGCATTCTTATCCTGATTCCAAGCTTATGGGGCCTTCCTCTGTGAGTTGTGGAGAAATAAACTGGCTATCTGAGAACTTTCTCAATTCCAGTTTCAGTTCCATGGTTTATTACTGGTCTGTGATTTACCCCAACCACCATCCTTGCCCAAATATCTACCAAAATCCTTAGACCCTACTCCTCCTAACCTAACACAGGATCTTACTCCTTAACCTACCCTCACATCCTTCTAAACCCTTCTCTAGGAATGGCATCTCTGTGTACCATTGACTCAGCTGCCCTAACTAAAAACCGGAGAGCATTCTAGAGTCTCCCCTCTTGTTCTCGGCTCGCCACTACTACCAAGGAATGAGACAAACAAACAAAAAATGGACAACCAATTCTTCTAATTTTTAAATCAATTTTACATCTGTCCTCTCTTCCTCTGCCCTCATTCAGGTGCTCCCGTCTGGATTATTTTAGCTGTCTCTTACTTGTCTCTATCTCTTATTCTTAATTTCTCTGCCTTATGTACCATGTCACTACCAAGGAGATATAAATATAATTATGTTGTTCCCCTGCTCAGAACTCCTCAGTAGTTTTCAATCATCTGTCAGGTTGAACTGTCTTTGCAAACACAGACACTGGCAGGGACAGGCAGGCAACACAAACTCATGCCATGGAATGTTGCTAAAACAATATGCAGTCACACTGTGACTTGTCTAGCTAGGCATGTTGCTTTTTAAAAACTGTGCAAACCAAACGAAACATCTCTTAGCCATGAAGCCCTTGGGCTAACAGTCTGAATCACCCCCCTGGCCTAACATGTAGATTCTGATTTCTTTGATATGACCTGCAAGGCCTTTCCTGATGTGGTTCTCGTTACCTATGTAGCCCCATACCAATCCCTGTCTTCTTGCACTTTATACATGAGTAATCCTAAAGTTCTCAGAATAGATCATGTGTTCTTGTACCCTCATGTTTTTCTTTCATTTTGTTTTTCTTTTTAGCTTACATCTGTTGCAGCCAGAAACCTTCATGTTTTTGCTTATGCTGTGCCTTCAACCTAGAATGCCCTTCTTCTTTTCGGTACCCTGGCCAAACCTAGTTAATACTTGACAGTTCAGTTCAGAGGTTAGCTATACATGGTTCCACTAGCCTAATACAGCTCTCACTCTCCCACTCCTAATCCTTGAATCTAATAGTGACCATATTGCATTGAATCGCTTATTTGCATGTCTATTTCCTCCACTAGTCTCATAAGCTCCTTAAAGTCGGGGGCTGTCTTTTTACTTTAGTATCCTCAACTCTTACCATAGTGCCTGGCATCTTGTCTAATGAGTACAAGAATGGAGGAATGGTAATAGGTAACATGTTGAGTGCTTCCTTAATTTCAGACACTAACGTAAGTACTTTACATACATAATTTGCTTTAACTCCTTTATCAAGTACCAAAAAATGAGAAGGAGGAGACAAGTCTAGGATGTCTCTGTGTAATATATACATTGATTTTTCCTAAATGCTCTCAACTCAACTGAAAATGATTTAAAATGTATGCAAAGGCACTGTTCACAATAGCAAAGATATGGAATCAACCCAAATGCCCATCAATAATAGACTGGATAAAGAAAATGTGATACATATACACCATGAAATACTATGCAGACATAAAAAGGAATGAGATCATGTCCTTTTCAGGGACATGGACAGAGATGGAAGCCAATATCCTCAGCAAACTAACACAGGAGCAGAACACCAAACACCGCTTGTTCTCACTCATAAGTGGGAGCTGAGCAATGAGAACACATGCACACAGGGAGGGGAACAGCACACACTGGTGCTGTCGGGGGGGGGGCGAGGGGAAGGAGAGCATTAGGATAAATAGCCAATGCATGTGGGGCTTAATACCTAAGTGATGGATTGATAGGTGCAGCAAACCACATGACATATGTTTACTTAAGTAACAAACCTGCACATCCTGCACGTGTATCCTGGAATGTAACATAAAATTAAATTAAAGAAAGAAAAAAAATGTCTGCAAAGGTAGGGTTTGACTATCTGGGATGCTCCAGAGTGACCTATAATTACCTCTACTTTACTATACGAAAATTACTTCCTTTATTCCCTATAAGATAGTGGAGCTCTTGAGGGCAAGTTCTACAGTTTTCATCCCATAATTCTTAGCACCCAACTTCCTTCCTGGTACACAGTGAGATTTGTAAATGTTAGATAAGTAAATGAATAAAAGTTCTGGTAGATCTCTTATTACACAAGTTTCTGAGGCTCTGAAATTCTGGCTTTAGGTCTCTGGTAGGCTCAGTAACTTCTTTTGACTTTTTTTCAGAAATGTGCTGAGTATCTTGGGTGTATAGGTTATATATGTTTGTATAACCATATGTTGCACCTGAGATAAAGGAAGAAAGAGAAAGAAAGATTCGGTAGAGGAATATAATATAAAGGAAGGCAAAGAAAGTGATAGAGAATAAGGAATTTTAAAAAAAATTTGCAGCTATTACTAAATGATTTTAGCGTATAACTTCAATGCATTTTATTTGCCACTTTAAGAAAAATTCTGCCATTAAGCTACACAGTCATTAGATGTCAGTAAAGTAATGTGTCTCATCACGCTCACCAACGTCTTGAGTTCCAGACTATAGCTTTAGGCTCAGTCTCCTACAGAGATTTATAATCATGAAGTTCTATTGTTATGGTGATGAAAAACAAATCTTATTAAAGAATATAACATTAAAGAAGTATAGTAAGAATCAAAACATATAACACTTTCAAAGGAAAATATAAAAGCAGCCAAATTCTATAAATATCTAAATATATTTCTCAACTATCATATAATAATTAAAATTCCTAGTTCAAATTTCATCTGTTATAGTCCTTTCAACAATTTTTATCTAAAATTAGAAATGTTAAATTTGGTTGATTCATCTAAATATACTTTTATCAATTCCTTCCTTCCCACTTTTCCCTGCTCCCCCATCCTACCCCTTTCTACACAGAAATAGTCACTTGTCACTCAGATTTTGCTGTAGAAACTTTTGTATAGGATATAATTAATATTTACTTCTATAGCTGATTATTATGCAATTCATTGAGTGAATCTGTAAGTACCTCTAACTTTCATCTCTCTTAGACAAAAAAACAGCTAACTGAGGTTTTGCAATGTCATCCCTCAGTCCTCCGATCAGTCACATTAGGCTCCCTCTCTACCCTCCCCAAGACCGTTAAAACGTCTTTATGTTTTAATTTTTTCAAAGTTATGCAGTGCTAAATTTTACTCATCAGCCCTAGTTCAAGGATTGGCTTTAGTAACACCCTTGCAACTGGCAGGGAGGTAATGGCCAAGATTTGACCTCTGAGTCAGACGGAACTGAGTTTGAATCCTGGTTCTACCTCTTCTTTCTGCCTTTGGGAATGGCAAGTGTATCATTCAGAACAGAAAAACTTACGCTGCAGAACAAGCAGCTGCTAAAATTTCAGTGGCTTAAAACAAAAGTGTATTTCTCACTCACACTGCATGTTCAAAACAGACTGGTAGAAATCTTCTTCTCATTGTAGTCCCTCAGGGACCCAGGCTGATGAAAGCTCCTTCCTCTGCATGGAGTAAGATGGTCTTCAAGTAATCCACAGTCATTCAAGTTAGTAATGAGCAGAGACAGAGGGTCTTGAGTTGTTATTTTAGTGCTCTGGCCCATATCATTTCTGCCCACAACCCATTGGCCAGAGCTAATTAGAGGGCCATGTCTGACTTCAAGGGTGTGGGTAAGTGTAGTCTCTACATTCTTCAAAGAAGAGAACTCAGTATTGATAACAGTAGAAAGATCTGATATAGACTGACTTCAGTCTCCAAATATTTAGTTCTGTCCTCTTAATACATGTGGAACATACTCCTCCCTTTCCCGACAAGATAACATAAATATCCTGCTAAGTCAATACATTAAATTCAAAGTCTCAGATCTCTGAATGAAGCGTCATGGAATCTTCCTTACGGAATCTCACCTTGTGGTTTCTCCATCAGGTCTGTATGCGGCAACTCTTTTTTTTTTTTTTAAACAGAGTCTCGCTCTGTCGCCCAGGTTGGGGTGCAATCTGAGCTCACCGCACCCTCTGCCTCCCAGGCTCAAGCAATTCTCCTGCCTCAGCCTCCTGAGTAGCTGGGACCACAGGTATCCATCACCATGCCTGGCTAATTTTTTTTTTTTTTTTAATAGCGATAGGGTTTCACCATGTTGTCCAGGCTGGTCTTGAACTCCTGACCTCAGGTGATCCACCTGCCTCGGTCTCCCAATGTGCTGGGGTTGCAGGTGTGAGCCACCACGCCTGGCACAACTCTTGACCTTAAGGAGCTGTGAACTAAAAAAACATGTGCTCTGCGTCCTCCTTTCTGCTGCACCCAATACACAGTGATAGAAGAGGAAAGTGATCATCTTGATAACACCTATTCAGAAAGGGGGAGAATGGGAGATGTGAGTGGCCTGTGGAAGTTCTGGATCCTGCTGGGTTAACTTTTGAGGCCCTCTCCTTGGAGTGGAAATATATTTTAATTAATCTCTTATTCTTCAGGTTAGAGGAGCTTTTGGATCCATTATTCTCTGTCACTTCTGGTCTACTCCATGGGAGCTTCTTTATTTTTCTTTGTCCCTCTTGACTACATCTAAAATAGGCATTGGGGAATATGATTTCATAGGAGATGGAGCATCTATTCCAGTCTACTTCCTTCCCTGAATGATTCGAAGTCAGGGTCTCAACAGTCACTGCCCTTTTAGCCAAGCCCCATGGCTCCTTTGGCTGCATGCCTCTCTCAAAAATTCAGTGAGCCGAGACTCCCCATATGTTGTATTTCAGTCTCTTTAAGTGCCACTAACCATTCCCTCAGCCCTTTCTCAAATGTGGTTCCCTTATTTGCTGTTTGATTTCTCACTCCCAAACCTATCTCTAGACTTAAGTGCATGCCACATCTTTCTTTCCTTCCTTGAGTGCTTTTATCCGATTAAAAGGATTTACTGGCACCCTGTCCTTCATTGGATCTTACTTTAAGATGCCTTACTCCACTCAGAGCTCTTAACAACTGTATTTAATGACTACACCCTTAATTTGATCCTCCCCACAAGGCTGAGTTTTATTAGCCTTTGTTTTTCACAGTCTTCCTCATTCTTATCTTTTATAGTTTAGAATTGAGAAGCAGTTGACTTTGCAACCCCACCACTCCCTGAAGTTTTAGATGCTCTCTATTCTCTTTCATTCCTATTTCCAAGTAAGTGAATTCTTTGCTGAGACCATCTCTTGCTTATAGGACCTTGACAGGTATAGCCAACAGCAACCAGTGCACACTACGATATTCTTTCCCAACCTCTTCTCCTAGTTAGAAGCACGATATGGCTCCAAAATAGTTAGATGCATGATATGCCTGCAAAATGACTGAAGGTGGCAACTTTATAAAATGCTTTGCCATTAAATGAAGTGGATTACCAACTTTCAAGCCTCTAATATCAGTTTTCTCACAACCTATCACCTGGCACATAAGCCAATGTCATATATTTCGGGACTGTTTTTTTTCCCCCATTTGGCCATATTATTGTTGTTGCTATTGTTATACTAGCCCTTCTTTCGGCTCCAATATTTGTATCAGTAGAATAGTCTAGGTTATGCTTTGGTAAACAACCACCCTAGAATTTTAGAAATTTAAAACAACAAAGGTTTTTGGTTACTCAGACTATGTGTTCAACAAAGATTGTCAGGAAGACTTTGCTCATTGTAATCACATAGGCACCCAGGTTGATGGGGGCTCTGTCACTGCACCCAGCATGGGAGGGTCTTCGGCTGATAATTAAATGCTCCAGCCTCAAAGGAACTTGCATCGTGTCCCCGTACTACTCATTAAGTAGCACTAGACATATGGCCATGCTGCCTTCAAAGGGTCACATCCTTAATCCATTGAGTGGTTTTTCTTTTTTACTTTCCTATCCTAGATACACAAAGCAGGCCACTGATAATAACATCTACCTGCTTCAGTGGTCCAGGTGAGAGTGATAATGGACGTGAACTTACGGATTTGAACTTTTTGAAGATCAGTCAAGATCAAGACAGTGAATAAGACAGGGAAAGGTCCAACTCAAACAAATCCAACTGTGGGTTGGTGGAGAAAGATGATTTTTTTTCAGCAATGATAACTCTGAGTGACATTCAGGCTAAAACAAAACCACCAACCCACAGAAAAGCACCTCTAATACCAAAGGGTGAGTGTTTCAGAGCATGAAGGAGGAAAGCCAACAACTAAAATTCTTTGTCAACCGCGCCTCCATTTAGCCTTACTATTAATAATTGAGTCCTCACTTAAACAGCAGCTTGTAACCCCAGACCTCCAAACCTTGCAGCTGCTCATGGCTGTGATTTTTACTTTACACATACAGAAACAGATGCTGAGACCTACTTTTCTATCTCTCTGACCTTACACTGTAGTTCTTTTATTTTCCTCTCCAAGTCTCCTTTTGAGATTGATGAAAACTCTGTGTGTTAGAAAAAGAAGCCCTTTCCATTTTCCTACCCAAATTCCTCCTCTGTCAAGTTTCTTAGTTTCTATGAAGGAGTTACTGCTGCAGAATCTTCAGACTTCATTATTAGGTTTGGTTTTGGTTAATGTCTTTTAATGATGTGGAGAGAGGTGATAACTGCATATTAATAAGATTCACAAAAGGAGCCAAATGGAAATCTGTTGCAAACTCCAGTGGTGACAGCAATAAACTAGAACTCTGGAGAGAACTGACTGACAAGCAGGGAGCAACAAGATGTGCTGAAACCTGCACATGTGATACTGACACTGCAGGGGAAAGAAGCAGAAGTTTAAACATTTTTTTTTAAAGGGAAGAAGCAATGTATAAAACAGCAGTCAGAGAAGTCTTAAGGATGAAATGAAAAAACAAATGCTGAAATTGCAAAAACCTAGTCTCCACGGGAGGAAGTTGAAAGGATGTGGTAATTCTGCTGACTTCACTCAGCACCTTCCACCTTACCTTTCTCCCCCATGATGATGGTCACAGGTCCCAGGTCGAGAAAGCCAGTATATCCCAATCTCATAAACACAGTGGTTCTGGTGTAGACATGTAACCTGATGAGTCAAATAAGACTCGTTTCTTGGATTTTGTATTTTATTTTATTAGAACTAGTATAAAAATAAGAAGCTTTCTTCCTACAAGGATTGGAAGTTATACAGGTAGTATAAACCTATAGCTGTCAGAGTTCACCTAATAGAGAAGACCTGGCTGTGACTGAAATCAACATAAAGAAAAGCAGAGTTGACAAGAGAGAGAGAGAGAGAGGGATAGGGGAAAGGGGAACAGAGGGAGAAAAAACAAAAGAGAATAAGCCTTCTGGAACCAGCCACGCCTGATGTCATAACCTTTGATCGCTCAATTATGTGTATTAATAAATTTCTTTTTGTATAAGGCAGTTTCAGAGCACTAACCCAAGGTATCTTTTCAAACATACTGCCTTTTTTTTTCTATACCCTTTACTTTCTAGCCATACTGGATGACTCCAATTTCCAGAGTATTTTGGAAAAATTATTCTTCTGAGGTCTCGCTCAAGCAGCTTTCCTCCCCTTATAATGGAATAACACTGATTCTGCTATATTTGTGAAAATTCTCCTATCCTCAGGGTCCAGTTCAGACTATCTCTTTTGGACATTCCTCCTGAACATTCAGTGGGATGTGATCTTTCCCTTCTTTTTTATTATATGTGAGTAGACTAGTATAGATTTGGAAAGTTTGAATAAGAACAAAGTTGGAGGATTAAGACTACTTGATTTGAAGAATCACTATAAAGCTATAGTGATTGTGTCAGTCAGGAGTCTCTAGAGAAACAGAACCAATAGGGTGCTTTTCCTCTCTTTCTTACTCTCCGTGGTGTGTGTGTGTGTGTGTGTGTGTGTGTGTGTGTGTGTGTGTGTGTCAGTTGGCTCAATTCATATGTATATCACACGATCGTGGGGGCTGGCAAGTATGAAATTTGTAAGGCAGGGTGGCACTGGAAGCCCAGGCAGGAGTTGAGATTGCAGTTGTGAAGCAGAATTTCTTCTCCTCCTGGAAACCTCAGTTTTTGTTCTTAAAGCCTTTCAAATGATTGATGAGACTTACCCACATTACTGAGGGTAACCTCCTTTACTTAAAGTCAACTGATTTTTTGTCCTTGTGATAGTTTGCTGAGAATGATGGTTTCCAGCTTCATCCATGTCCCTACAAAGGACATGAACTCATCATTTTTTATGGCTGCATAGTATTCCATGGTGTATACATGCCACATTTTCTTAATCCAGTCTATCATTGTTGGACATGAGAACACTTGGACACAGGAAGGGGAACATCACACACCAGGGCCTGTTGTGGGGTGGGGGGAGGGGGGGAGGGATAGCATTAGGAGATATACCTAATGTAAATGACGAGTTAATGGGTGCAGCACACCAACATGGCACATATATACATATGTAACAAACCTGCACGTTGTGCACATGTACCCTAGAACTTAAAGTATAATTTAAAAAAAAGTCAACTGATTGGAGATGTTAACCACATCTACAAAACGTTTTCACAAAAAAATCTACAAAATACCTTCACAGCAACATCTAGATAGATGTCTGATTGTACAACTGGGTACTATAGCCTAGCCAAATTGGCACATAAAACTAGACTTCACAGTAATCAAGACAATGTGGTATTGGTATAAAGATAAACAGATAAACTGATGGAATAGAATAGAGAGACTAAATAGCAAAGTACACACATATGGACAAGTGATTTCCACAAACGTCCAATGGCAGAAAGTAGTGAGAAAATAGTCTTTTATACAATAGATTAATTGGATATCCATATGCAAAAATGAACTTTGATCCATACCTCTCACCATATACAAAAATTAACTCAAAATGGATCATAGACATAAATGCAAATCCTAAAACTATAAAATTTCTAGAAGAAATCATTAGAGTAAACCTTTGTTATCTTGGGTTTAGCAAAGATTTCTTAGTTATAATATCAAAAGCATGATCCAGAAGAGAACAGATTGATAAGTTGGACTTAATAAAAGTTTTAAAAAGACAGAGAATGAACAGACAAACCATAGACTGTGAGTAAATATTTGCAAAGCATATATCTAATAAGTGACTTATACTCAGAATTTAGAAAGAACTGTAAAAAACCCGACAATAACAAAACAACATAATTTTAAAATGGACGAAAGATGTTAACAGACATTTTGCCAATGTAGATATACAGATGGCAAATAAGCACATGAAAAGATGCTCAACATAATTAGTCACTAAGAAAAGCAAATTGAGGAAATGTGCATTAAGGAAATACACAAGAGGTATTACTGCTACACACCTATTAAATTGGCTAAAATTAAAAGACTGAGTATATCTAGTGTTGGCAAGGAAGGGGAGGAATTGGGACACTCATATACTGCTGGTAGGATGTAACATAGTACAACCGCTTTGGAATACAATTTGGGAGCTTTGTAAAATGCTCCACATACACCTAATATGTTATGCAAACATCCCACTTCTACATATTGACCCAGGAGAAATGAAGACATTTGTCTATATAAGACTTGTACTGGCTGGGCGTGGTGGCTCATGCCTGTAATCCCAGCACTTTGGGAGGCTGAGGTAGGTGGATCATCTAAGGTCGGGAGTTTAAGACCAGCCTGGCCTACATGGCAAAACCTCATCTCTACTAAAAATACAAAAGTTAGCTGGGCGTGGTGGTGCATGCCTGTAGTCCCAGCTACTCAGGGGGCTGAGGCAGAATTGCTTGAACCCAGGAGGTGGAGGTTGCAGCAAGCTGAGATCGTGCCACTGCACTCCAGCCTGGGTGACAGCAAGACTCTATCTCAAAAAAAAAAAAAATCAAAAAAAAAACTTGTACATAAATATTTATGGGAACTTTATTTGTAATAGCCGAAACCCAAAATCAAGCCAAATGTTAATCAACTGGTGAATGGATAAACAAACTGTGACATAGCAATAGAATACAATACAATTCCCCAATAAAAACAAATGAATTGTTGATACATGCTACAAAATTATTGAATCTTATGCTGCAAGAAAGAAGTCAATAAAAAAAGAGTACATACCATAAGATTTCATTTATGTAAAATCCTAAGAAATGCAAACTGATATATAGTGACAGGAAGCAAATCAGTGGTTGCCTGGGGACAGTTGGGGAGAGCAAGAAGGAAGGCCCAAGGAAACTTTTGGAAATGATGATATGTTCGCTATCTTAATTATGGTGCTGATTTCACGGGTATATACATATGTCAAAACTTACCAAGTTGTGCTCTTTAAATATGTGCAGTTTATGGTATGTCAATTATACTTTAATAAAGATGTTAAATAAAAAGTAAACGCAGGCTAATGACAGGAAATTTCAAACAAAGTAACTAAAGAACTCCAAGGGCTAAAGTTGCATATTTTTCAGCCTAGGAGTTCTTTTTCTTTTCTTTTTTTTTTTTTTTTTTTGAGACGGAGTCTCGCTCTGTCGCCCGGGCTGGAGTGCGGTGGCACGATCTCCGCTCACTGCAAGCTCCGCCTCCCAGATTCATGCCATTCTCCTGCCTCAGCCTCCAAGTAGCTGGGACTACAGGCGCCCGCCACGCCCGGCTAATTTTTTGTATTTTTAGTAGAGATGGGGTTTCACCGTGTTAGCCAGAATGGTCTCGATCTCCTGACCTCATGATCCGCCCGCCTCGGCCTCCCAAAGTGCTGGGATTACAGGCATGAGCCACTGCGCCAGGCCCAGCCTGGGAGTTCTTAAGTGGAATTTGTCAAGTTCTGACTCTGCCATTTTTAGCCTCTCTAAGTCCCATATTTATCACTTGTAAAATGGGAGTAATAATCTTTCTTCCTCTGCTACCTATCTCAAGGGGATTATCGTGAGGACCAAAAGTGATACGGCATGTGAAAGTGCTTTGCAAACTACAGCACATTGCACAAATGTCAGCCATTGGTTTAGTTGTTATACACCATCTGCATACTATTCTTGCCTAATATATATGCCTTATGCCAGCTCAAGTCCTAATAGCCCGTATATAAAGTGTAATTAATTGTACAAGTTACTGGAAAAGCCCTGAAACCCAGTATTCTGGGCATGACACATCCTAAATACATAACAGATTTTGAAATAAATCAGTTTCAGCCCAAAGAAGAATGCAGGAAACAGACAGATGCCTTCACACATATGCCAAGTGAGTGAGACCCACCCAATCAGGGACAGAGTCCAGGGCAAGGGAACGCAGCCAGGATACAGGCTTTTTGTTCCCTGCTGGAGGCTGTCATAGGGGACAGTGACCCCATAATATGGCTAGCCCCAATGTGCTGAGAGGCTCTCTACATTTAGAGCCAAGCTCACTTGGAAATTAACTGCTTTTTTCTTGGCTTCTGACACTAGCCAGCCAGAATAATGGGGCCACAAATCACATTGGTTTAAAGTTGAAGACTACAGAAGGAGAAATGGGTAAATGTGCTTAGTGTTGCCCACCTTCTTTTCGTGCCTTTGGCTTTGTTATTTAGCTGATTCTAAATCACAACTAACACTGTCCCTATAATTTGGATTTATTTGAACTTGTTGGAACTTTCCCCCCCAAATCTTGCCAGGTCCCTTGAACAGTTAAGACCTACTGTTTGAGCCCATGTTTCTCCTGCTGACCTAGGAAGGGGAAATCCTGTGGGGTTGGGCTATGCATGGGAAGGGCTGCATTTGATGCCGCACAAAACCAGGGCTGGCATTCCCTGGATGAGCTGTGCCTGAAAGGAGCATTTGGGAAACAAAGAAGGAAGTTTGAGAGATGGCTTGGATGGAAGGAACAAAGGTGTCATGCAGGTGTGTGTGTGTGTGTGTGTGTGTGTGTGTGTGTGTTATAGGCAAGCAGAGCAGAATTACATCAAAAAGTGGGAAGAAGTCAGGGAACACAGTGCCCTCAAAAGCTGAATGGTCAGTAATAAGTCAAGGAATAGATGTAAGAGGCATCCTACAAACAAATGTCTCAGATGAGGCTGGACCTTCTTCTTTCATGGGACTCTATGCATCTCTCTGGCTGGGGCTGGTTTTCTGAGACTGAGTGCACTGGTCACCATGACCCCTAGACGCCATGCAGCAGAGGCTTCTGTGGCTGGGCATCTCCTCATCCCACATTCAGGCTGGGAGGAGTGGACAGACAGCTTGTGGGAATTCATAGGTCTATTTAAAAGCTCTAGGCAGAGACATTGCAGCAATTACTGCATATTGAAGGAGTACAGTTTGGCTCAAGGAAATCTCCTCCGGGATTTGGAAGTACATTTTTCTAATTCTCAAAATATTAATCCCAGCTCAACTGAGCTACGCTGATAGCCTGGGATGCTTGACCATTGCCCCAAGCAGATTTTGCTCTCAGGTACTCATAAAGTCCAGTTGAGGGGTTCCTGATAGGACCTGCCTTTTCTAGAAGGGGAATGATGATTTGAGGGATGCTGAAGCTTCACTGCAAAACAACATGAAATAGAATTCCTCTGTAGATGCTTGAGAGTTTATCATTAAAGATTTATTCATCTTGTTTGCCATTTTCTTTGCTTTTTTAAAAAAATAAGTTTTATTGTGAATATTTAAGGTATGCAATATGATGTTATGGGATACATACTGATACTGCAAAGGTTGCTGTAGGGAAGCAGTTTAACATATCCATCATCTCACATAGTTAACCACTTTTGTTTGTTTGTTAAATGAGCTGCTAAAATATACTCATTTAGCATGAATTCCATGTAAAGTACAATTTTATTACCTGTAGTCCTCATGTTGTATTTTGATCTCTAGACTTATTTATCCTATATCTCTGCTACTTTGTATCTTCTGATCTACATTTCCCCATTTCCTCCTCTCCACACCACCTGCTTCTGGTAATCGCTGTTTTGTTCTCTCTCTCTGTATAATGGAATTTTTTTTAGATTCCCTATGTAAGTGAGATCATATAATATTTTTCTTTTGGCGTCTGGCTTATTTCATTTAGCATAATATCCTCTATGCTTATCCATATTGTGGCAGATGGCAAGGTCTCATTCTTTTTGAAGGCAGAATATGTATTAATATGTAGCGCATTCACTGTTTCATATAGACATCTGCTCTCCCATGTTCACTGCAGGGGGTATTTCTAAGAGGATTTAGCCACCAAGTCCTAGACACCTCAATGTACATTTCCTGATCATTTTTTTTCCACTATGGTTAGAGGGCTGACTATAAGTCTACATTGGTAGAGTCCTATGTCTCAGAGGAGAGGGAGCTCCTATGAGGGGCAAAGGACAGAAAGTGAAGGGGACAGGAAACTAGGCAGAAAGGATCAAAGACAAACCTCATTTTTGTCACCTTTTTCCTCAATGTCAAGAGTCTAGTGTCCACCTTCAATAATTTGAAGGCTATTATTGTTTGGTAAATGTGATATCTGTAAACTTCAGATAAAGGAGCACAGACAAGAACACCAGTAGTCAAATGGGAGATGCATTTTGTTATCACCGGTAAAGGGGCAGATTCCAGGCTTCAGCACTGAGCCCAAGCTCAGCCAGGCCCCAGCACATCTCTGTTGTTAATAATGCTATTCCTCATGTCTCCATGGTGCCTCTAGCAAAGCCAGCCTGGCCATGTTGGGGGATGCTCTTTCTGCCAAATGTCTGTGCACTCTTAAGGGACAGGCTGAGAAGCACAGCCCTGTAGAATTGTAATTTGAAATATGAAAGCATGAAACTCTTCCAGATACTGGATATTCCTTTGTGTCCCATGCTGTAGAGTCCTTCTCTTGAGCCAAAGCTGCTCCTGCAAGCTCCATGCTAAATGAATGAAAGTGTGCTTCTCTACCTGGGGTACACACAACCAAGGGGGCCCGTGACAGATAGCAGGGTGGGACAGGGAACCACAGGATAATAGTTTTGCGTCTTCTCATACAGTCAGTTTTATTCAACAGGAAATAGCTGGAAACATTTTTCTGCATGGAATAGAATAAAAATTGCATATGAGATTTCAAAAATGTACTTTTGAGCTTTCTTTCTGCTGCCTCAGGTGGTGCCTTGCAGACTCCCAAAAGGAGGCTTGAGTCACCCCTTACAGAGGGACAGCCTTGCCCTTAAGCCCACCGTGGATTTAAAAGCCTTCTCAGAAATACTTTGGGTTCTTCTTCATTTCTGAAATTAATTCTACTAGTAGAATATAATTCTTTAACTCTAAGGCTTCGAATTTCAGTAACATAAGGATACCAACCCCTGTCTCCAAACACTTTTTGACCATTGTCAGTTATAGCTGATGGATTCAGTGTGAACAGAATCCATCGGGCTTTTAAACCCAAGCAAAATCTGGTGAAAAGGAGAGAGGAACACTATGTGGGTAGCGTTAGAGTGTATTTCCCTGATTTCGTGACTGTGCCAAAGATCAGTCTTTATCACGTCATGTTGTAGCTTTGCCTGCAAACACCTAGCCCTGAATTTGTCCACAGCCTTATACAGTGATGTGCCCTGGCAGTTTGAACCTAACTTCATTACATTTGGTCTGAAGGAACTATTCCAACAGAGTTTCCTGGGCTAGGAAGAGAGGTTCTCATTTAGCAGGGGCACCATCAACATTGTTGTTGATTTGCTACTGAACATTTCAGCCTGCCCTGGGGGTAGATCCAGGTTTTGTGTCCTATGAAGCTTATGCAATTTGGGGGAGCCCTATTTAAGAAAAATAAATGTTAAAATAGCATATCTTTGCAAATTTACAAAAATATATGAAGAACACATTGTTAGGCTCTCCCAAGCACTTGGAAGGGGCCGACACAATTGAGACAATTGAGGGGTCTGAAGTCTCAGCCTTGTTAGCTTGACCGTAATCTACCTCTGTTCCTACGCTTAAATGTATTTTTATATCTGGTGATGGTGCTTGCAGGGGTTGCTAGTGACATATTATTTTCTCTCCCAGATGTAGCAATCTGTATTTTTCCAAGTTGCATCTCATTTCATAGCTTCCTGCCCAAATTTTCCAGTCACATTGGGTCCGTATCTATTTCTTCTTTCTGGCCAGGCTTTAGAGCAGCTCCCTGGGAGATGTGCAGGGGCATTCAAACAATGGGGTTGGCCCAGGAGCATGGAATTTCCTGAAAGACAGCAGGCGTCTCTGGTGGGTTGTTGGGATAGATGATCAACAATGTTTAACACTGGAGATGGAGTTGTACCTGTCCATGCCAAGAGCCTTTCAGAGGCAGCTCATGTGGAAACCATCAGTCCCAGTCCCACTCATTAGCTAACTCAAAGGCAGCCAAGCCTAGGGACCAGAGCTCCCATAGCCAAGAACAAAAGTACCATATGCCCCAAACCAGCTAAGAGTGCTGATGAGGAATCTCCCAAAAAGAGTCCCCATTTTCCCATCTATCTATCTAAAAATAGGTATAATAAAAATTTACTGGATTTGTTAGTACTCACACATATACCTCAGTCAAGATGAAACATCACAAAATCAGTTACTTTATTTCTAGGCTTACAGTGCTTCAAAGGCCCCCCACTGCATTTATGATATTTATGACATTCTAAATAATACTTCCCTCTCTCATCTTATTCCTCTTCCTCACACTTCAGGATCAGGCGGCACTAAAGTTACGTCAGCTCCTTAGAAAAGCTCTGCACTCTTTCTTTCTTGCCCTCACACAAGCCCATGACTTTGGAACCCACATCTCTTTTATAAATGGTTAACTCCTACACTAACATCTCAACTTGGAGACATATTCTATACTCTCATAGTACCTTGGACACTCATCACATTTTACCACTGTACTTAATGCCGTTCTTCTCTGCTACACTAGAAGCATTATGTTTTCATTATCTACTCCATCATAAAAAATGACCAAATAGTGGCTTAAAACAATATTGATTTTATTAACTCTCATGATTCTGCAGGGTGACTGGGCTAGGCTGGGTGATTCTTCTCCTCTAAATGATGTTTGGAGCTTCAGTCATCTGGGGACTGGACCAGCTGGTGTGTCTAAGACAGCTTATCCATAAAGCTGTTAGTTGATGCAGGCTGTTGCCTGGAAATTCAGTGAGGGCTGTTGACTGGAGGGCCTCAGTATTCCTTCCATGTAGCCTCTCCATTTGACTTGGCTTCTTACAGCATAGTTGCTGGATTCCAACAGGAAGAAAGTGGAAATGGCAAGTCTTTGTAAAACCTGGGGTCAAAAGTCCCAGGATTTCACTTCTACTGCATTTTATTGGTTTAAGTAGTCATAAATCCAAGGGGAGGAGAAATAAACCCCACTAGTTATGCACATATAGGGAGGAAAAAAATTGATGGCAGTCATTTAAAAAAATTATATAGCACACTATGAGACCAGTGAATAGGTCTGTCTTGTTCTCCAGCACCTGGCTTAGTGCCTAACCACTAAGGGTTGGCACTTTGCCTATTCAACCAAAGCATCTCTTTCTTCTAATTCTTTGCTAATGCTTAGGTTTGGTCTTTGTGTTTGATGTATGTTCTACTCTCCAAACCATGTAGGTTGACTTTTCCTCTTTATGGTTTGCCAAAAGTAAAAGTAACAACTCTGATAATATATTACTTAAATAAGAGATGTATTACTCAAAACCAAAAGGGTACTGGATGCAACCAGAATGTTATATGCATTAGCTGAAAGTCTGCTTCCAGCTGCTGCTTAGCAGATTATTAGGGCCTCCAGGAACAGCACCTGCCTCCACCACCCCCATTTCTGTTGCTGTTACATCTGACCACCAGAGTATAGGCAAGGATGAGGGATCAGAAATTGGGGTTCTCCAGGAGGTGGAGGTTGCAGTGAGCTGAGATTGCACACCACTGCACTCTAGCCTGGGCAGCAGAGTGAGACTCTGTCTCAAAAAAAAAAAAAAAAAAAAAAGAAAAGAAAAAGAAAAAAAAGAAATTGGTCTGTTATCTGGTGATATACACTTGGAATCTGGCTACTCTAGCTGGTTTCTTTGGGCCAGCTTTACAGTTTCTATAGAGCATGGTAAGTGTGATTAAAAATGTTTCCTAATCACTCGCTTTTAGGTTAGAAACGCCTAGGGTTCCATTTAACTTCAATCATTAGGAAAGAAGGAGAGCGTGATGAAGTCAGTTATCGGTGGAACTTTAGGCAGCACATTAAATATGGGGTTGACTGCCACTATCACCACCCTAACTGGTGCCACAGGCTGGCACCAGAGGAACGGGCATTAAGATCACATATATTATCCTGGGAACAGAGTGTCTCGAGGACCAAGACTTCTGTCTTTTTTGGTCTTCAGCTGTGATACCTACCCAGGCTTATGCTTTCCATGCTCTCACTTACCCTCAAGGTACAGAAATGAGATGACTATACTTCTCAACTCATGGCACCCTCCTCAGGCCATGGCAAATTAGAAAATTTAGATTCAAAGTTCCTTTCTTCCTTGTACATTTTTGAAGATATTAACTACCCTTTTGTTCTTCTTGTTTTCAGTGTTAAGTCTGATATGAATCAGATTCTTATTCTTTTGTAGTCAGTCTTCCTTTCCTCTCTAGAAGCTGTTTTTGATACTCTTACTTTTCATTATAATGTGTCCTAAAGAGTTTTGTTGTTGTCGTTATTAATCCTGTTTGGCATTCGGAGCTGAGAATTACAGAATTTACCAATTTATGAAGGCCCACTAACTAGTACATTATGCAGATGGACATAAACATCATTTTTATTCAAAATTATAAGTGTTGAACTTTTCTGGATGCATAGAGACACACATATGGTAAGCGTTTAAAATAGGCTTTACGGACTACCACAGGTACTCAATAAACATTTGTGGGTCAGTGAATGAATAAATGAATGAGTAGCACATTGCCTAGCACATAGTAAATTCAAGGTAGCTATTATTATTAACAGAAGTGCCACATAAATTTAGAAAACTGCAAAAGACTTGATCTCTGCTCTGTAGTGATCTTAGTCTAGTTGAAATAAGTAGACAAACTTGCAGTACTTATCACATCATAATGTTCATTTGAAATACTACAGCATCACTGGAGAGGGAGTTAACTAACTCTCTGAGAAGCTTTCCCAGAGAAAATAGAGCTGAGTTTTGAGGATAGCGTAGGACATTACAGGATAGAATAAAATAGGACAGGACAGGGTAGGATAAGATAGGACAAGATAGGTCAAGATAGGCTAGGCTAGGCTAGGCTGGGCTGGGCTGGGCTGGGCTGGGCTGGGCTGGGCTAGGCTAGGACAGGACAAGACAGGATAGGATAAGAAAGGATGGGATGGGATGGGATGGGATGGGATGGGATAGGATAGCACAAGACAGAACAAGAAAGGATAGGACAGGACAGGATAGGATCGGATCGGACAAGACAGGACAAGAAAGGATAGGCCAAGACAGGACAAGACAGAACAGTATAGGACAGGACAGAATAGGATAGGATAGCATAGCAGAGAAGTGAAAAAAGGGCATTTTAGCCAGAGAAAGGCTCATGCAAAGGCCCGCATGGGACATGCCATCTTCAGTTTGTTGTGGCTAGAATGAAGACTAGAGGGAGAGAGAGGAAGAGGAGTGAGAAATTATCTCAGATAAGTGAGAGAGCTGCCTTCTGAATCCTTACTTGATCCTCAGTTACTCTTCACACAGTGCCCTAAGTAAGTTTTACAGATGAGGAGACTGGGTTGAGAATGGTTAGGGGAGTCACCAAGGCCACCTGGTTTTGAGAGGCAGAGCCAGGACATGAGCCTAGATCTGCACCATCTGCTAAGAACTTCAAGAACAAGGACTGCCTGCAGCAAATTCCCTGCACTTGGTTTTATCCATCTCCAAAAAATTATCAGGGAAAAAAACTCAACAAAGGAAAGGGCTCTGTAATTGTTTTTAGGGACAGTGACAAAGCAAGGGCATCTGCCTTGCTCTGCACAAATAGGAGCAAGACTTAAGAGGACCAAAGGGCCAGAAACAGCTGAAGGAAGGAAGGTAAATGGCTCAGCTGTGAGACTCACAGAGACAAAAAAGGGAGGCTTGGGGTAAGGGTCAAGAGGCCTATTCCTATTTGGGGCTAATGAAGACTATTAGACGCCCTAAGCACTGAAAAGAGGATACTCTCATCAAGTTATAGAAAATTAAAAAATAGGGGCCAGGCTTGGTGGCTCATGCCTGTAATCCCAGCATTTTGGGAGGCTGAGGCGAGAGGATCACAAGGTCAGGAGATAGAGACCATCCTGGCTAATATGGTGAAACCACATCTCTACTAAAAAAATACAAAAAAATTAGCTAGGTGTGGTGGCGGGCACCTGTAGTCCCAGCTACTCGGGAGGCTGAGGCGGGAGAATGGTGTGAACCCGGGAGGCAGAGTTTGCAGTGAGCCGAGATCGTGCCACTGCACTCCAGCCTGGGTGACAGAGCCAGACTCCGTCTCAAAAAAAAAGAAAAAAATTAAAAAATATACATGAAAACATAAAGTAATGATAAGGAAGTCCAACAGAATTCTCTCTCTATTTTTCTTTTTGGATGACAGCTCTAATTTATTAATTTTTTTTGAGGGTGCTAAGGTTGTATTTGGGGAACCTGATGCCCACTGAGTGGTGTTAAGAACTACTCCCCCATTTTGCAGACAAGGTGACTTCAGTCACAGGAGAGATGGGTCCAGGGCTTTGCCTGAGCCTTCAATCTGCCCTGGGAAATGAACAGCCTTAACTCAGATGAAAGTCTCGGTTTTTCCATTAAAAGCACTTTCCCATAGCAAATTCTGAATGCAGCCTGAAATCAAGATGTGCTATGAAATTTATTCCTCTGGGGCATACGTGCAGCTTAAACCGCTTGTTTTACAAACAGGAGAAAATTTATGGTTAAAAATTTACTCTGGGGAGAGGTTAATTAGAGTTTCTACTCTGGTTCTTGAAATACCACTAGCAAATCTCATGCTATTACCCAGAGCTCATCTTACTTGGCCAGAGGATAACCCAGGGCTTGAAATCAGCTGAGGTTCAGTTTTAGAGAAAGCAGGAGCTCTCTCCAAAACTTGCCCTCTTCATACCTGCTTGAAGCTCCAAAATTTGACATGAGGAAGGAATATGATTTCAGAATGCAGAATATGGACTGTTCTGGCAGAAAAGTAAGCTTGAAGAGAGGCCTCATAATACAAAGCAGTAAAGATCAAGAAAAGACACTCCAACTTCTTTACCTGTATAATTTCCTAGTGGGTCTGAAGGGGTGCTGAGACCTCTGATATTTTCAGCAAAGTGAGCCTTCTTATAGCCTGGTTCTTAAAGCAGCATGGTCGTCCTGACCTCTAGGAAGCTTAATATCAGGTCTAATGAAATACAACACGTGGCTGACATCAGAGCCTGTCTCAGACCACACATCAAAGGGAAGGAAGTAGATGCTTTGATCCTCTCAGTCATTGCTCTCTACAGAAAGCTTTAACAAAAGAAGGAGGGAACTGGATGGGGGTGGGGGTGGGAATCAGGGACTGGTTTTTCCTTCTGCTGGTAATGTTATTCTTCAAGTTTTGGAGAACAGGCAGGAGGGTGGGTGTAGGGAGTGATTTTCCTGTTGTAATTTCCATGGGCTGAGGTGTCTATCTTCCCCCAAATCCCTGCCCTGCCTGTACAATGATTCCTGAATTCTAGGGTTTAGTTTGCTTAGCTTGAGTTTTTACTTTTATTAGAATATAAACCCCTCCTAGGACAGGCAATAACAAATGCCATATTATCCCACTCTTCAGTAAAAGTATCATGTTAGAATGCATTTCAGATTTTGTCATTATACCAGCTAAAAGTATCTTGGCTCCTGGTGAGCACAGGGTGCAGTCTGCATGTGTTCCTGGGAGGGCTCGCCTTCCCACTAGGACCTCGACCCTGCCTAGCCTCTGGTCCCCATGTCTGCCCCTCCCTGCATGAACATTAATCTCCAGCAATTGCCCTGAGCTGTCCTGTGGCTTTTCATCCCTATTCATGCAGTTGCTTGCTCCTGCCTTAAGATATGCTGTCCTCTGGGGTGGAACACCAGCCAAAGGTCAAATGTTATCCTGGTTCCTTACAAAGATTAGGCCATGAAAACATTTATCATATAAATAAAAAAAGATAAATTGCACCATGGCGTATCTGTTTTTTGTTTGTTTGTTTTTCTATTCTGCAGGTTTTCAATGAAAGGAAGAGTGTGAGGCATTAAGAAGCCTGAGGAAGAGAGGAGAGAGGGGCTAGGGGCTCCCGCCTGGGAACAGGGAACTGCAAGAGGGCCTGTTCAGTGCTTTGGCCTAACTCGAAGTGGTGCCGCTAAGGTAGGGGTAGGAATCTGACTCAGAGCTGATGAGCACAGGGACAAGCCTGGCACACTTGGTTGGGGTGGGGAGGAGGGACAGAGGAAGCAAGAGCCAGAGGAGGGGGTTAGGCAGAGGAGGCAGAGCAAAGCTTAGGAAACCCTGGCTAGCAAGGCAGAAAGGAACAGGAAGGTTGCTGCCCCAGGTGCAGTGGAGTCAAAGGCCAAAGAACCCCAAAATAGTTGCCTATGAACTTTTTAGCGTCCATCATGTTGAGTCTGTTTTCCCTCGGCAGTTAAAACAAGTCTTAGTAAAATGTGAGGGAGTAATTGCTAAAGCCCAGATGAACCTGAGGAGGTGGTAGGTTAAATTGTGGTTGGAGGTGTGTGATGGGAGACTGAAGTGAGATACAGGGGTACAGAGAAAAATGGCCGGTGCCCAAATGGCCTTCCCCTTCTCTCCCCTGGGGCTGCGGAGGTCCACGGAAGGAAGAGCTCTCTCCCCCAGCGCCCCTCCTTTCCACCTGATAGGGCTGAGGCCAAGGTTTTCTCTAGGACCTTGACTTTGACATCTGCCCTGGGGGAAGATGACAGGGTGGTGACTGGCCAGGAGTGAAAGCACTGAGATAGGGACATGGGGACAACGTGGCATCATTCTCTGCTTCTTTTCCTGCAGCATGTGCTATTTTCACTATTCTCCTCATGCTGGTGGCACCTATGCTCCCTACCTACAAACTGAGAGTGGTAGCCACCTGTCACCCTGAATGGAAGTCATGGGTAAGAATGTGGCAGAGAGCAAGCACTTTGTAATCCATTAGCTTTGCTTCTTTGATATGCCTTGTGACGGCGGACATTACCTGTGTTAGTCAGAGTAATGTCCTAGAGGGACCCTGACTAGAGGGACAGAACTAATAGGATATATATATATATATATATACACACACACACACATATGCATATATGAGTGTATATATATACACATATATGAGTTTATTAAGTATTAACTCACACGGTCACAAGTTCACACAATAGGCCATCTGCAAGCTAAGGAGCAAATAGAGCCAGTCTGAATTCCAAAACTGAGAACTTGGAGTTCAAGAGCAGGAAGTATCCAGCACGAGAGAAAGATGTAGGCTAGGAAGCTAGGCCAGTCTCTTTTTCACATTTTTCTGCCTACTTATATTCTAGCCTCACTGGCAACTGATTAGATTGTGCCCACCCAGATTAAGGGTGGGTCTGCCTTCCCCAGCCCACTGACTCAAATATTAATCTCCTTTGGCAACACCCTCCCAGACACACCCAGGATCAATACTTTGTATTCTTCAATCTGATCAAGTTGACACTCAGTATTAACCACCACATTACCTAAGCAATCTGAGCATCAGTTTCTCCCCTGGAAAATGGAAGTAACAATAACATCCACTTCTTGGATCATTGTAAAAAGTAACTAAAGGAAGGTATATAAAGCATATAAAACAGCACCTGGCACAAGGATATGCTTAACATACTGTACAAGAGGAAGCTGGAACATCTTCCAAGGCATTGAGGAGCTTGGTGTGGGCGCCTTGGATTTTGGCTTCTCTTTATTACCTATAGTAATAAAGATAACGCGTGTTTTTACAATAAAAAAGTATGCAGAGAAATTTCAAATGCACTAAAGGCCTATCTCTGAAAAAGTAAAGGCATTATACACATCTGTCTTCTTGCTTTTCTTAGTTCAGCAATGCAGCATTCATCAAAGAAGAGGATAAAAATGGTGATTTTGTCCCACTGAAGTCCTAATTATGCTCATTGAAATTTACATATTTAAGTATTCTTCAGAGGTACTATTCTCCATTCTTAGATAAGGGGGTGTATGAATACCACTTAAATGTGTATATGTTTACTCTTTAAAGTCAAGTCTCTACAGACAGAAACAATCCCCCAGCAGAAAGAAGTTGGGGAGAGAAAAGGGAAATAATGAAAGAAAGAAAGAAAGAAGAGAGAGGAAGAGAGAGAGAGATAAAAAGAGAAAAAGAGAGAGAGACAAAGGGAGGCAGAAAGAGAGAAAGAGAAAGGAAGAACAAAGGAAGGAAGGAAGGAAGGAAGGGAGACAATTTATCCAATACTCCTCTCTCACTCTTTGCCTCCAATTGGTTAATGTTCTGCCCTAGAAAAGTAACTCCCTGGCACTTCTGGGTTGTATGACCAGTCCTTTGGTTATGCCCCGGGGAAGCCAGATTCCATGCCCTGGGGAAGCTAGATTCCATGCCTTGGGGAAGCCAGATTCCATGCCTTGTGGTGTGGAGCTTCATCCAAATTTGGACTTGGTGGTAGGAGCTAGAGACTCTAGCTGGTGCAAAGCTGGTCACCCTGACAGCAAAGCAAGCAATTGAGGGCCTGAGAGACAGTGCGGCTGAGAAAATCTGTGGAGACCCTTAAGATGAGTCTGATACAGAAAGTTAATTTCTTAAGATGGAAATTGGCTCATTCCAAGTAATCATTTCCTTAATATTGAATGTATTTCTCTTGCTTCTGGAGACTTTGACATTAAAAAAACTTCGAGTCATTTATAAATAACCAAATCTAAGCTTCTCATCTATCAGCTTCTTAAATTTTATTTGGAGGAACGAATAAAATAATATTTGAAATCAAATTTTTATTTGGAACCCTGGCATTCAAATCACCAGTGCTTTTATTTTAAATTTAGATTTTTAGGCATTACCTTACATATTTTAAAATTCATATTTATTATTGTTCTACTTCGAAATGGGAGGTCTTTTATGTGGATGGCTTTAGTAGTAGATACGTGATAGAGAACTGGGTCCTAATCGTGTTTGGTGTCATGTCACCTGGTCTTTCCCTATGGACTAGAAGAGTAGTTTTAATTTTTTGGGATTTGAGGTACACTAGGAGTTCTGGTAGTACTCCCTGAAGGGATGAAAAGCCTCTGAACCACATGAATTCACCCCATAATCATCATATCAGTACAGCAAAGTCTCACGGTGCCTGTTAACAGTGTCCTCTTAGGGCTCTAAGCACAGTCACCCTTTAGTTCTGGGCGGCTGTTTCAGTAGAATCTGCTCTGACCTTGGCTTCTCTTGCCTGCTCCCAATATTCTCGTGTGTGTTTTGGTAAAGGTCATACCCCTTAGCTCTTGGTCCCAGTGATCTCTTCTTACCAGATCACATGACCTGCTCAATTCTGTATTCTGTTGGACAGTATTGCCATAATGGCAATTCACATATAACAGAAATGGACATATCAGTGAACATTTGGCAGCACGCTTTTTTTTTTTTTTTGAGATGGAGTCTCACTCTGTTGCCCAGGCTGGAGTGCAGTGGTGTAATCTCAGCTCACTGCAACCTCTCTGTCTGCTGAGTTCAAGTGGTTCTTGTGCCTCAGCCTTCCCAGTAGCTGGGATTACAAGTTAGCACCACCACACCCAGCTAATTTTTGTACTTTTAGTAGAAACGGGGTTTCACGTGTTGGCCAGTTTGGTCTCCAACTCCCTAACTCAGGTGATTCACCCACCTCAGCCTTCCAAAGTGCTGAGATTACAGGCGTGAGCCACCATGCCCAGCCAGCAGCACCCTTCTGGAGGGACTGTACTTCCCTGTTGTGCTGTGACACACAGTTGCAAAACTCTGGACTAAACGTTAGACCAAATCCCTTCTAGATCTAACCTCTTTTTTTAAACAGCTTTATTGAGGTATAATTGATATACAAAAGGCTGTACACATTTAATGTATACAACTTGATGAGTTTGAGATGAGTAAGTTCTAGAGATCTGCTGTGCAATTTAATTGTGACTGTAGTTAACAAGACTGTATTGTGCACTTAAAAATTTGTTAAGAGGTAGATCTTGTATTTTCTTATTACAAAAGCAAACAAAACCCCCAAGAAACAAAGAGTCACGAGGAAACTTTTGGAGGTGGTCTATATATGTCTCTTACCTTAATTGTGGCAACCATTTCCTGAGTATATGCAGAGATCTAACATCCATTTTTATAATCACAACAGAGAATAGGGAAAATGACAAAGCAAGTTAATGACAAGCAACCTTAAAACCCAGAGATCTCCTATTCAATGCTAAGTTGTGGAAACTCTGGTTCCTGTTTAAGAAGCACATGTTTCAGTCTCCTTACACCCCTACCCCCACCCTGCCATTTTCTTGTCTGAGAAACACTGTTGTTAGACATTATTATTATTATTATTTTGACACAGAGTCTCACTCTGTCGCCCAGGCTGGAGTGCAGTGGTGCAATCTTGGCTCACTGCAACCTCCGCCTCCCGGGTTCAAGCGATTCTCCTGCCTCAGCCTCCTGAGTAGCTGGGATTACAGGCATGCACCACCATGCCCAGATAATTTTTGTATTTTTAGTAGAGACGGGGTTTCACCATGTTGGCCAGGCTGGTCTTGAACTCCTGACATCATGATCTGCCCACCACAGCCTCCCAAAGTGCTGGGATTACAGGCGTGAGCCACCGTGCCCAGCTGTTGTTAGACATTATTATCCATTCTTGATACTCCCAAGATCTCTTTTCCAGGAAAAAAGAAAGTGGGATGACTAGGTACGTTAGTCCATTCTCATGCTGCTAATAAAGACATACCTAAGACTGTGTAATTTATAAAGGAAAGAGGCTTAATTGACTCACAGTTCAGCATGGCTGGGGAGGCCTCAGGAAACTTACAGTCATGGCAGAAGGGGAAGCAAACTTGTCCTTCTTCACAAGGTGGCAGAAAGGAGAAGTGCCCAGCAAAAGGTGGAAAAGCTCCTTATAAAACCATCAGATCGTGTTAGAACTCACTATCACGAGAACAGCAGCATGAGGGTAACTGCCCAACGATTCAATTACCTCCCACCAGGTCCCTCCCACTACATGAGGGGATAATGGGAACTACAATTCAAGATGAGATTTTGTTGGGGACACAGCCAAACCATATCACTAGTGGACTGTTATTTAGTTTGGGTCTGGGTTCCCACACTTCTTCTGCTACACCAACCAGCTATGTGACCTTGAGCAAGTCATTTAAATTCTTTCTCTTTCCGGCCTTCAGTCCTATGAGATAAATATAGTAGCTGCTCCAGCTTCCATACTGGTACATTCTGAAGTGATGACTCCCCACCGTCACCTTCTTCATTCAGTCCTCCTCTTCTCACACGTGGTTCATTCTACTCCCTGACCCCCAGCAGTCAGCCCTGTGCCAAGTGTGTCCTTGGTCCAACCTCCTACACCTATGGCCACAGCATTTTTCTAAGCATACATCTAGTCATGTTTCTTACTACAAAAACCTTATGAAAATACTTTATTTATTTATTTTTTTAAGAGACAGGGTCTATCTCTGTCACCCAGGCTAGAGTGCCATGGCATGATTATAGCTCACTGTAACCTCAAACTCCTGGAATCAAGGGATTCTCCTGCCTCAGCTTCCCAAATAGCTGGGACTAGAGGTGCACACCACTGCACCTGGCTAATTTTTAAATTTTTTGTAGAGACAGGGTCTCATTATGTTGCCAGTCTGGTCTTGAACTTTTGGACTCAAGGGATCTTCCTGCCTCAGCCTCCCAAAGTGCTGTGATTACAGGTGTGAGTCACTGTGCCTGGGCTTTTAAAAAATATATTTCTTTTGAAAAATGTTTATTTTTGTAGAGATAGAGTCTATGTTGCTCAGGCTGGACTCAAACTCTTGGCCTCAAGTGATCTTCCCACCTCTGTCTCACAAAGTGCTGGGATTACAGGGTAAGCCACCATCTCTGGACATGATAATACTCCCTTAATGGCTTCTAGCTGTTCATGAAATAAAGATTAAACTGCTTAGCTTGACCTTCAATGTCCCCTAACCGTGCCCCTGTCTAACTTCATTTCTCACCACTTCTACCCTCATCTTCATCCTCAGGGTATCTTGGCACTGCTTTAGTTTCTCTACCTTAGGATCTTTGTACATGCTGTTCCGTCTGGAATGCTTTCCTCCATCTGACCCTGTCCACCTCCTCTTTGCCTAATAACTAACTTCTTTTCCTTTACATCTCAGCTGAAATGGTCCTTCCTCCAGGAAGGCCTTCCCTGAACATTCCATGCCCAACTTGATCAGCCCCCCATTACATTCCTTCATAGATGCCTACACTTTTACTTCCTAGAACTTGCTGCCATTTATAAATATATACTCATATGATTTTATTGATTAATGTCTATTTTTTCTCTACTAGAATGCATGTTGCCTAAAGTCAAGAACTATGTCTGTTTTGCTCACTATTTTCTTCCCAGGGCTTATTATGGTGCCAATTGCTCAATATATATTTGTTGGTAGAATAAAAGGAAAGATGGGTGGATGACAGATAAATGCAAAGGAGAAATATGTGACCTTTCCTATCCTGGCCTGATTTGCCTTTCCCAGCTCCATTTCCCATACTCTCTGCCTTGATTTTTCAAGGTTCCTCTATGTCTCTTGCATTCCAGTCACCTAAAGCTACTAAACTATTATTAAGATGACACTGTGTTTACTGCCTCTGCTGCTGTTTAGCAAGACAAAAATGCCTTGATATGTTATATCAGTTGTTGCTATGAAGATGATTCTAGTGTCACAATAAAAACAGAATTATAGTCTGTTTAAGGGAACAACCAATAAATAAGGAAGAGATTTTGGTTTAGAAAACCGAAGACACCCAGGAGCAATGGTGGCTGTTTGAATGCTTGAAGGACTGTTATTAAGATGACTAGACTAATTCCCTACAATATAGAGATTAGACCCAGAAACAAAAAGTGGAAGATACAGGGAAACAAATTTTGGCTTGATAGAAAGCAAGAATTGTGTGATAAACATATGTGGCAGAAAAGGAAATGGGTTGCTTCGAGTGCTGGTGACTCCATATACCTAGAGGTGCTTCAGCTGAGGTTAGATGGTCACTTTGAGATAGTTGGATTTGCTCATCTCCAGGTCTGCTTACACACATTCTGCCTGTGGAGTGATGTTTCTATTAAACCAGCATCTGAACCGGACACTACAAGAAATCTAGAGATGGCGGTAGGACCCAATCAGTAACTTAAATACTGAGGCCTTTTACTTCAAAATTTTACAAAGGGCTTAGATAAAATTGAGAAGTAATCTCTGGGCAGGCGGAAACCAATATAGACTCATGACATTACAGAATGCTCTCTCCTTTTTTTTTCCTTTTTAACCTATCAAGGAACCCAGTTCTCATGCGAAGGTTACACATGCTTCCAGACAACTCAGCACGCATCTTTTTCAAAGATTTTGGCTCCACCTAGTGGTTTGACTAGGTGTTTTGCACACCGTGGGTTCAGGGGTGGGGCTGTAGTGGAGGGTCGGGGGACCTCCTGTTGCTGGAATAGGTTTCCATACTCCTTGACTGGATCCTTCTCCCCAGTCTTGCTCTGTTGATTAAGAACTAGTTGACTGGAGTTGGTGATAGTACCACTCCACTTTGCACCTCTAAGAGGTTTGTCCTCCAGGTCCGTATTAACCCACATGGTATTAGCAAGGAAAAAACTTTAGAGGTCATTTTTTCTACTTACTGCTCCTCAAACTATGCCTTATGGAGACCAAAGTGTTCCAGAGAGGTGTTTTGGGAGTCATTGCAGGGTGTGAAGTAAGAAAGGCTGAGCTGTAGGCCAGGCGCGGTGTCTCAGGCCTGCAATCCAAGTGCTTTGGGAGGCCGAGGCGGGTGGATCACTTGAGGTCAGGAGTTCAAGACCAGCCTGGCCAACATGGTGAAACCTCCATCTCTACTAAAAATACAAAAAATAGCCAGGTGCAGTGGCATGCACCTGTAGTCCCAGCTACTCAGGAGGCTGAGGCAGAAGAATCGCTTGAATCTGGGAGACAGAGATTGCTTTGAGCCAAGATCACACTGCACTGCAGCCTGGGAGACAGAGCCAGACTCCATCTTAAAAAAAAAAAAAGCTGAGCTGTCAGGGATGGTAACATGGTTACCATGTTTTTCTGCTCCACTTCAGAATAAATTGAACTAAAATCTTTTCCATCTTGATAACATTTTTATTAGAGTAAACAGTTTAAGAAATGTTGAGCCAGGTGTGTCCAATATGCCTGTGTATGGTTTTATTCCTCAATAATAGAGGGTATTCTTAGAATATAATCATGTAAGATATAAAGGGATAATAGGAAAAAGGAAGTAAGTGTTCTAGGTCAGTACTCTATAGTTGCTTTACTGTTGATGTTATAGGACCAACAGTTTCATATGCCCCCTGTGCAGTAACAGATTAAATACGCTGAGACAGCAGGATTTGCAGTAGAAAAAGAGTTTAACGATCTCAGGGCACTGCACAAGGAGGTGGAAGGAGACTCTGAAATCCATCTCCATGAGGAGTCCTTGGCTAGGGTTTTAAGGGGATTATGGAGGGTGAGGGGCTGGAAACTTGAGGCTGTTGATTGGTTGGGGCAAGCAGGGATGAAAACATTAGGATGTGGAAACTGCCTTGTTTGGTGAGTCAGCTCCTCTTGGGATCCTTCAGACCAGCTGAGTCAGTAGTTTCATCAGTACACAGAAACTGAAGGAATATCTCAACTGGAAAATGTAATGTTTCATAATATTCAAGTCATTATCTATAGAACAGTTCAGGAGAACTATAATCTAGGGTCTACCTGATTCTAGCACAGTAGGCACCAAACAACTGTAAGGAAGCAGGTCCGAGAGCAGGCTTCCCTCATGAGTAATGCGGAATGTGCTGCAAGCTTGTTTATTTTTGTTTATCTCCCTCCCTTCTTCCCTGATTAATTTTATAAAGTTTATAGGGAAGATTTCAGTGATTGAACACCAATAATGTAATGCTTTTATATTTAATAATAAACTATTAACAATTATCTTTGGGTTTTGGTCTCACTACTCAGGAGGCTCCTAATCCAAGTACATTTAGCCAAATGTCACCCAGATTTCCTATGCTAGTGTCCAAATCAGCACCTCAACTTGTCATTAATCACAGGCAAAGAAGTCTATAGAAGGTGATGACAATTATTACAATGAATGGTGTAGTGAAAATGTGTATTTCAGTTATTTATTTATTTATTTATTGTATGTTAACTGTGAATTGTAACTGAAAGAAGGTATGGAGCACAAAATTCCTGCCCAGTGAGGAGAATTTCATGATAATTCTTTGACTACATAAGAAATAAGCAGATTTCATGGTTCTCTGGGGAGACTAAGAACACATAGTTTGAGGAGAACACACAGAAGCACTTTCTCATAATCAACATAACTCCTTGGAAGATTTTATTTCTGCACTATGATCATATGAGATTAGATATTAGATACATCTTAAAAGTCATTCCTAGGTTTTGAAGAATTTCAGACACGTAGATTCTCAAGTCCAATTTTCACCATTGCTAAAGTGCAGCCCTTAAGTTATCTACAAAAGACTGTGAAAACTTGAATCATATAGATTATATACAGGTCAAAAATCACTGGGCTGTGGCTCAGCTTGACCTATGTAGATCCAGTGTACTTCACAATTTAAGATCTGAATCAAAAGCACATGTATTTTTAGCATATATTTTTATTAGGGTGACAATGGTTTTGACAACTGTATTCTCCTAAATTTTTACTTGGTGGTTGAATACCATGGAAACTTTAGAAAACCTGTACTGATAAGCTGTGGAGGTACCCCATTTCAAATACCAGGGCAAGAAAATTGATGGTATCTTAAGGGTTGATGCCTTTTGAAAATTAGTTAGGCTAGAGGGAGAGAAAGAGAGAGAATCCTCTAATGCTCATATCAATTATTGGAATGATATGCTTCAAAGTAATACCTGCACCGCTGTTAACCCCTTCTCAGCAACTTGCTTTATGTAGTCCTTCTTGAATACTATGTACTATGGAATCCAAGCTTGTTACATCATATCTTATTGTGCAGCACACATAGAAGGGTCTTTTGTGAACTAATGCTGGGATAGATCACTAAATGCCAAATTGCTCCTGTAATTAGAGATGAGGTTTTTTGGCTAATTTCAAGTGGTCATTCTACCTGATCTTCTTTGGGAACCAGAAGACAAATTGGACCAATTATTTGCATTGTATCAGAATTCTTCTGATCAAAGATTCCAGAGACACAGATCTTTATTGGATATGGACTGTCAGCTTGAGTGGCTTTAACCAGAGTGAGGACTCAACTGTCTTCCTGAGATAGCTGAGTGCTGGTGGCTTGGGCTGGGCATGGGCTCTACCTCTTCACTTGAGAAGTCTTTTTTATTTTATTTTTTGAGATGGAGTCTTGTGCTATAATCTGTAGAGCTACAGAGCACACTTCAGTGGGAAAAGAGGAAGAAGAAAGAGGAATAATGGTTAAGCACAAAGAGAGAGATTGATTCTAAAAACCAGAGTAAAATTGGGAACAGAGTGAGGGGTAAGATGTATTTAAGAAATTCTGCTGTATAAATCCTGGTATAACCTGACAATTTGGAGTTGTCACATATAATCAAGTCTCTATTGGCTCTGAGACCAGATAACTAACTTGCAGTAAAATATCCATCTTTCTTTAATATCATCCTTCAAATCTCAGTGTCCTTATCTGTAAAATAGGAATTTTAATATCTTTCATTCAGGGATATTAGGTGGATTAAATTGAATACTGCAGGTGAGCTGTTAAGCACTCTACAAGTACTCTTTGATGTGACCTGAAATATATCTTCAGAAACATTTTGTTTTTGTGAAGATCTACATTATGGATGGAAAATAAGTTTCAACTTGAATGTTAAGTTCAGTAGTTGGGAGTGGCAGTCTGAGCACAGTGCTGAAAAATCTTTGTTTCTTAAGTTTTCTTTGAGCATTCATTCATAGACTTATGCTATCTGTGAAGCTCTCAAATTAATAAACTTTTGTAATATTTGTAAAGCAACGCAGCTTTTATGGCTGTTTGTAAACATTTGCCCCATCCACCATGGGTGCCATAATGATATCATTGACCACATGAAAACCAGAAGAAAAATATGCTGAGATTCTCTCCCATCTACTGTAAACATAGAAGTATTCAAGCATGTTATTCAACAAGTGGAGCCCTTTCCAAAATTTCAGATCTGAAGATCTTAGCAAATTAAAATTATTAAAAAACCCAGCTTGCCAGCAGGAATATATTGAAAGTATCATCACGTTCAAATTAACCATACAATGCAAATTTAAAGCATATGAAGCCAATATAATCTGAAAAGTCTTTGAGGGACAACTCTTAGTACCATAGGAAAAAGCTCTGTGATCAATTAGCAATGTCTGTAATGGGTATGGGAGGGTTGAGTCACAATATAGATGTTAAGTGTTTCCTATCCAGAATTTAGATGACTAAATATCTAATGTGAAAACTCAAGCCTCTTTGGAGCTGAGGTTTTCATTTTATAGTTAGCATATCTATACCATTATTATATGTATATAATTTATAATTTCAGATTTTTTAAGAGGTCTAAGATTGTATTGATAATGACTATTGCAGATATCTTTCTATAGGGCTCCTGGAATGAGCATTTTGCCATGAACTGTGTATACTAATTTCTACTGAACTAATAATACTGAACTTTCAAATACTTGCCCTTTAGTGGTATTTTACTAATGACACCCATCATGATTTGATCATAGTTTAAGCATATATTTAATGACACTCTATCAATGGTAACATAATTCAAGTGCTATGTAGTTTGTGTAAAAGAAAACATGTTAGGCATAGATTTATTTTCTTTGAAATATTCCTGGTTAAGTACCTTCCCCTCCCTGTAACACTCCTGACCATAGTTTTCCTGCCTCTCTGGAGCAAGGCCCAATGAACAAAGGTGACGTGAGATTATTCCCATCTGAATGGCAAATGATGGTTACAGTGAACAGGCTTTTAGAAAAGGGAATTCCAAGTACTGAACTGAGAGCGCAAGAGGACTTCTTTGATTCACAAGGATTGGGTGAACTCTGCTACCTAACATAGCTTAGGTGTTAGGTGCCACTGTAGGTGGCAATAGGTCCAGAAAAGCACCCCATGGAGTGCTTAGGTGACAGTGCACATCTCTTTCATTGAAGCTCATGAAAACAGGATGATTTTACTGCTTTGCATTTCACATTTGGTACATTTAATGTTTTCGCCTTCTGCCCAAGCTATTTCATTATCATCATTATCAAGACTTTTGATAATCCTCCCCATTATCATGGGAAGTATTTATTATGCATCTATTTCTATTCTGCTAGGCTTACCACAATGTGGGCTGGAGCTCATGGCTTTCCATAGTATCTGGCCTCCACCACACAGCAACAAAGCCATTTAACAACTATTAGAAATTAATATAATTCAGTCACTGGCAGACTGAGAGAGATAAAAATTGGAGATAAAAAATGGGCCCTGTAATGCACAGGTGAGATAAAGTATGTGGTTAAAAAAAAGTAAGTGAATACCATGCCAAATCCTACCCATCCTATAAAGCCTACTCAAATGCATCCTTCTCTAAGAAGCTCACCCATAGAACTTGCTTTACAAAAGCACATTTTTTGGTACTTCTTGAATTCTGTGCCTTTTATGCACATCTTATTTTCTGCTCTCTGAACTCACTGAGGAACATGTCACATATCATGAACATGTTTCATGATACCTAGCACAATGCATGAAATATTCAACAAAGTTTGATGAATGAGAAAGCAAATCAACAAACTCTGTCAAAAAACGTGTTGAATGCCTAAGCACTATGCAAAGCATTGGGGGTATAATGATGAACAAGACAGCCAAGGCCCCTGCCTTCAGCAAGCTCACAATCTAATAGGGAAGGAAGCCCAAGAACTCAACAGGCAATTACTTTAACATGGTATGTACATTGATGTGATTGAATGATATAGAAAAGAGGAAAAGTCATACTTTCTAGCCTGCCAAGTATCTTATGATTCAATATTAAATTTCCCTTTCTCTATTTAGAGCACAAGCGGCAAATTCAAATGTTTTCATGAGCCAGGTAGGTAATATCAAGTAAGACAATAGTGGGGAGTGGGGACTTTAGTGACCTGGAGAGTTTATGCTCCACTTCTAGGATGGAGGAGCTACTCAGCTTCAGCCAATTGTATCATGGAAGCCTGAACGTTGATTCAGTGTTGCCAGATCTAATTTTCTTCTAGGAAGCAAGCAATTTGGATTTTTATGTGAAATCTTCTGATTTTTAAATGTTGGCAACCAATTTTCTATTTTGTGGCTTAGATGTGACCTGAGAACTACCATTGACTGCCTCCAATTCAGGGCTTCCATAGAGTGGTGCCCCTTATGAGGAGCCCACACGCCATGCCTCCCCTGTATGGGTCCCAGAGCCCAGGCTATCAACTCTCCACCTCTCAGCCCTCTCTCTTCTCCTCGTCTTCCTTTCACACCCTATTCCAGTAAGTGTGAAGGGCTCTCAAGCTAAATCAGTTAGGGAAGGGCTGACATCTACAGTTTGTGGGAAAATAGTTTAACCTTTATGAAAAGTCAGAGGTACAGGGCCCCTGGGAGTTGGGGATGTGAGTGGGATGGAAGAGCCTAGTGGGGAACTCTCCCAAGCTTCTTGCATTATGGGCAATGCTCTCCTTTAAAAAGCATTAACAAAGGTCAGATTAACAAGTCAACACTGAAACTGTATCCAAACAAGTCTCCCTAATTGTAGGGAGAAAGCAGAGAAGGGGCTAGTGGAAAAAGTCCAGAGGACAAGACTGACTCCAAAGCCTTTCCCTCTCCATCCACTGGCAGGCTTGGGGCATATTCGATAAGGTGAAGGGAAATTGCAAAATTAGAACTGGCAACTTATACAGAGAGGCCTAGTGCAAGGCCATGGGCCTGAGGCAGGCTCAGAAAGTTGAGGAATTGTGGGGGAAAGAGGATTTGGCAGCCTGACTTCCTGTGGCTGTATCCAAGGCTAATTAGCTTGCAGTGTTCTGTGTGTGCCTGAATGGAAATGATCCCAGTCTTGAGAGGCAGGGGGGTAAGGAAATCAAAAACACATGCAGAAAGAAAGAAGGGGAAGGGATTGGTGGGAGAGGAAGGCCAGGGGTTGTGGGGGGCCGGGGGGAACCTGTCCTTTGGCTACATTTTCTTTTTTCAGGAGAGGGCTCTCATCATTCTGTTTCATGACCAGTAAATCACCACCACAGCCCTGTCCATCACATCTCACATCTGCTGCAGAACTCGTTAAACATCAAAAGACAGGCCTATCAGTTCTGCTTAGTTAGAAGTCTGACTTACTAGAGGTCTAACCAAGGAGGAGTTTGCATGTTTTTAATAATAGCTTAAGGAACTTCGTAGCACCCCATAAATTACTTAATGCAACAAACTCTTCCTGTAGTCCAGCTGGCATTTGAAAGTTGCTGAACCAACCCAGACCTGCCCCTATGGCAATGACTTTTTGGTGGTCACATTCCAGGACACCACAGGGTGTTAGTTAATGCTTTAATTCATAATTCTGAGCCCGTTATTAAAAATGAGTTACGTTGCTGTGTATGTCCTCCCTGGAATGCATGACTCACAATTCCTTTGCCTTTGTCTTTCTGACTCACTGTCTAAAGAGGTAACCTGGCCAGGCTATTCCATATGTGTGCTGTGTTATCACGTTGCCGGGCACCTCAGAGCAAAAAGAAATGGTCTAGTAGAGAAATGGATCAATAACTAGGGGCAATAAAATCAGAACCTTGTCCCAAACTTGAAGGTACATGCTCGACAGATATATTAATATAAATCAGTAAATATTTACCGAGTGCTTACTCTGTGCTAGAAACGAGACATACAAAAACAAATTCTGACATTCTGACTCCTTTTAAAGAGTCCACAATATTGTGGACACATATGAACACTCTGAGGTTTAAAAAACAAACTAACACAAATGGAAGGATAATATTATTCCACCAGTAACCCTTTAGAAGTTCCTTGGGTGTTGGTGCATTTTGCTGTCGCTGTTTGAAGCTAACCTCCTAGGTCTCCAGCCCCTGTGAGGGACACAGTCTGAGTAAAACCCACAACATCTGCTCAAGAGAAGCTTCAAAGAAGCACAATGCTTGGAATCATATCTTCTCTAAGAAAATGTAGGGTCAAAAACTCAACCCAGACCTCCTGACTTCATTTTTTCTACCCATTTGACAAGGCCACAAAAGAAATCTTTAAGCACCTATCTAAGTAATATTTCCTCTACACAACAGTCTATATGGCATGAGGCTAATATTCAGACAAAAATCAAGGGAATACACATCATACTACTAATTTATTATTTATGGCATTCTTGCATTGTGCCAGGAATTGAGCCATGCTGATAAATATTATTAGAACATAATCCCTCATTTCATAGACCTTCCCTTCATGTCAAGAGACAAAGTCCACCACAGTAAGAGAAATGACCAAAGTGTGCAGAGGATTCTATGGTAGCAGGAGAAGGTACTCAACTCAGACATGAGTACTGGTACTAAGGTACTGAGGACAGAAGGCTTTCTTAGCAAAGATGGTGTGTTAAACTGAGTCTCAAAGAAGCAATTAGCCAGAGGTAGGAGATGGGACATTCTAGGAATTCTAGTATCAGTGGTGTAGCTGTTTGCAATGATCTGTCTCCCAAACCCTCAGATGGTCTCATTATCATTGTCTTCACTAGAAAATTAATGAACAATTGCTTTGTGCAGAAGCTGTAGAAACTGTACTAGGTATTATAGATTCAACAATGTTTTCTATCCTTCTGTGACACACAGCTTAGGAGTGATTAGACAGCATGGATGGATGGATAGATATAGAGACAGACAGATGATGGCAATACCCAACCTGTACTTTACTTTTGTGTGGCAGTACCAGTTCTAAGGAGCTTCACAGTGGGCTTCATTTACCCTCACTGTCCTGAGATGGAGGTAGGGAAGACATTGCTTAATCCATTTTGAAAAAGAATAGATTCCTAGGCTAACGAATAGTGCAGATGACCAGTGCACATGCCTGATTACTTGAAAGGAAGTCAAGGGAGGAAAAACATCAAGGGAGGAAAAACATGGGTAAAGGGGGTAGATGTTCTGAAGGGAAGCAGATGAACTGGCCAAGCTGAGATGGGAAGAGAAAGCCATTGCTCTGAGCACCTGGAGCAGGTGCAGGTTCTCAGTTTTGGCAGCAAACTCACCTCTGGCTGAAGCAGCACCTCCATGAAGACCTAGAGGCTAGGCTGAAGGTGCTGTGGACATACCATTAACAGGAAGGCTGAAAAACACATAAAGTAGGAGTGACCTAGGAGAGTCTTCCCTGAGTTGGCCCTTTACAATATGTTTGACCACTTGAGCACCAGCTCTGTGGGGGTCAGCATGGTCTGGGGCTGGGATTATCACTATGATGACTCTTCTTCCACCCCTTCTCTCCATCTCTAAATGCTGCATCCCCCTGGGCTTAAGTCTAGATTCTGTTTAAGTGCCTCTTCCTTAATTTCACAACTAGGTTTAGAGGCTCAACTGAACTACCATTTGTCACAAGGTATTGGAACTCAGAGTGTCTCTGTCTCTCCTACTAGTCTGTGGGCCTTCGAGGGTAAGGATCATGTTCCTATAGTGTCAGCACTTACTACAGAGACTAGCAAATAGTAAGTATGCAATGAAATTTGTTGAATAACTAAATAAATGAATGGGTTTATGTACATAAGAATATCACCAGATCCCCCAGACCATGACATCTGTGGTTTCTATATAAAGAATCCAGTTCCTAGGGCATACGGGATTTTTTTTTTTTTTTTAATCTAGAAGCGCTTCTACTCAGAAACAGTCTTATTTCCAAACACTATTTATGATGGTCTTAATTTTCTTCTTTTTTTTTTTTTTTTAGAAAGAGTGTCTTACTCTGTTACCTAGGCAGCTGGAGTGCAGTGATCACAGCTCACGGCAGCCTTGAACTCCAGGGCTCAAGCAATCCTACTGCCTCAGCTTCCCAAGTAGCTGCAACTACAGGCACATGCCACCATACTCAGCTAAGTTTTTTTTTTTTTAATTTTTTGTAGAAATGGGGTCTCATTTTGTTGCCCAGGCTGGTCTTGAATGCCTGGCCTCAAGCCATCCTCCTGCCTCTGCTTCCCAAACTGTAGGATTACAGGTATGAGCCACCGCATCTAGCCTGTGATTGTCTTTTTGTTGTGTCAACTTGGATAGACTACAGTCTCTGGTTACAGAATCAAATACAAATCTAGGTGTTATTGTGAATGGAATTTTTAAATGTAATTTAAGACTATAATTAGTAGACTTTAACAAAGGGAGCGTATCCTAGATAATCCAGGTGAGCCCAATTTAATCAGCTGAAAGGCCTTAATAGCAGAGCTGAGGCTTCCCTGAAGAGGAAGAAATTCCACCTGCAGATGGCAGCTTCCACCTGTGCCTGACAGTTCCAGTCTGCCCTCCTGAGTGCCTGCCCTACAGACTTCAGACTTGCCTAGCCATCCCCCACAATCACATAAGCCAATTCTTTGTAATAAATCTCTTAATATTTATGTCCTATTCATTCTACTTCTCTAATTGGATCCTGACTGATACACTATAAATTCAAAGTGTCTTAGAGAGGCTGAGCTTGCAGTTTCCCAGTGTACTTTCAGTAAATAACAGAATGTCAAACTTTCAGAGCTTTAAATCAGACATACTCTTATTCCTGCTGATACATTCTACCAAGCATCTTTTCCTAACATGGACCAGTTAAATGTCTTATTTTTCTTTTTTTTTCTCCAAGAAATAGCGTCACTTGCCAAAGATGTTTTAAGTTCATTAATTTAACCCTTCTCCCCAGCCATTTCTGCAGGTGTGGTAGAGAATAGACCTCCTTAGAAGTTATGGTTAGTGTCAGACTGGGCTGCCTTGCCACCTTGAAGTAGCGTAGATTTGAGAGTATAGATTGTCTTTCAGATTACAGAACTAGTCCCTGACTTACTCCAGAAGTTAAGTAGCAGAGCTTTTACCATGCTTAGTTCCAAATTCTAGAACAACCCCCAGCCTTCTCCAAAGTTAAAAACAGTCTAATTGACAGTGGTTGATTTTGGCTGGCTGGGTGATGATGAAAGAAAGGAGAGCACTTGCATAGTTTATGGTGAAGATAAAGCACATATCAGGCATTGTAATTATCTAGCCGCACACTATAAACTTTTCCATTTCATTCATTTCCGTATCTCTTGCTCTTTATTGTCAGTTGCAGAGGCACAACACTTTTCTCAGGATTCATGATCAACTCTGCCCTTTGGAATTGTTCCTACTGTCTAAAAATTAATTCCACATGCATGTACAAACTTACATTTTATTTTCTCACTGCCTTCTGATTTTAAAAATGGTTCTACTTTCATTTTGTCATAATTATGCTCCTTTTTTAAGTAACACTTTTAATATTATTGCTACTTTTGCACTTCTCAGATATGTGGAGTCAAAAATGTTTCTAGAACATTTCAAAATCATGCACAAATGCAGCAAATTACCAAGTATTAAGGAGTAAGTGGTTGGCAGAGACCTAAATGGCAGGGCATTGGACAATAGCGCCATCTGTTGGTTGTGGATAGAGCTGGCTTCTCTCTATTCGGTCTTTATTCTTAGGTATAAAGGGTAATTTCCTGTGATAGTTCCTAGGAGGAGGAGCTTCTGTCATGATTTCACACACCCTTGACGTACTTTCTTTCTGTGAATGTTAGAAGCCTTTAATAGTAAGGGTCACTTTGGTCCCAAGTGGTCAGGCTGGGCCTTTGGAAGGCCAGGTGAGCCCACACAGGGAGTTCTGCGTGAGCCCCTCATTGCTCCTATACCAGTGCCACAGCTGTTTTCCAGTGAGAGCCATTACCTAGATTACAGGTTCTATACTCTGGCTGCACCTCAGAACCTCTGGGTTGTGGCATAGGCTTTGTGATTTTTTCAAAGTTTGCCAGTTGATTCCAATGTATAGCTAGGGCTGAAAAACACCTAAAGGAAGAGAAAGACATGGAAGAATTAACATTCTACACATTTGTTAAGATCTCCATTTTCCTCATGCCAGCATCCACTCTTTTCAGCCAAAGCACTGTTTACCAAATGTATCCCAAGGAGATATTAGAAACAAACAGGTTTCATGATTTTTCCAAGATCAGCCGATACTTCTGTGGCAGGTCCAGGTCTGGAACCTGGCACCCAGAGACCTAAGCCACAAGAGCTGTGAGCTGAAAGCCATCAAGTGTCCCAGTTTATAATTGTGTCCTCATCTGTAAATGGATGGCTTTAGACCTGAGTTTCCTTTTCCTGGAAAGATAAAGCCACCAGAGGTGAACTTCATTCTTCTTTTAGAGAAAGGAGGAAACAGGACGACTTTTGCAGCCTAATGTGACAAGGCAGCTTTCTACCATCTCAAGAGAGACCATAGCTCTTGGCTACGGTTGCCTGCAAGCCCAAGAATGGGACACAGGAAGCTGAATGAAAAATCCTCCTATCTTAGAAGCTTCCCAGGAATTTCATTAGGGCTGTTTATCATGAAAAGTTGTTTAAGATTTAGGGATACCTCAATATGTGTTCTAACGTGGAAAACAGACCTTTCTTTACTCAGTGGAAGAAAATATTGAATTGACAAATGTATTTACAAGACATTTCTGTGCCAACAGGTCACTCTCTACATTTCCTGATATATCATCTCCTGACACATTCTTTCAGAATTTTATGACTATTAGGATCTAAGATTGGATGGAACTAGGATTGGATCCAGTTCAGCAGTTCCTTAGACCAGGAAAATAGCCCCAGCTGTCAAGTAGCTCTAAGCAAATGACTTTAATCTTCCTAAACTTGAGTCTGTATCAGCAATAAATGGAGTTATTGTTATAATCAAATAACAGAGAGCACAAGAAAGGTTTGTAAACTATAATGTGCCATATAAAGCTCAAGCAATATGATGAGGACTGTTTTTCACTCTCCAAAGGGAATCTTTCCTCCAACCAAGTCCCCTCTTTGTCAATCACAGTGAGTGGAATATGCTTGGCCCCACCCTCTCCAAGACTGTCCCTGTGTCCCCATCTTACCCTCTCATCCTGTCCAAATCCTGCCATTATTCCACACCCAAATCAATTTTACCAAGTTCAAGAAAACACTTTCTGACCAATATAGTTCAGTGATTTCTCCCTTCTCTAAATTTCTGTAGCATTTTACAATTGATGCCAAAGAATGTATAAATTCAGATGATTTGCCTTGCCTCCTGTTCTTTCATCTATGTCCTTTCTGTCTCCATAACCTTTTTTAATACACCTTTTATAGAATCAAAACACACATACAGAAAATATGCATGTAGCACAAAATAACCCATGCAAGCACCACCCAGATCACTCACCTACAGAACCCTGTCAGCATCTGAGAAGCCCTTCTTGGGCACCTTTCCAACCACTGTCTCCACTCTCCTTCCAAAAGATGCCCACTCTGCTGACTGCTAATACCATACATTAGTTTCACCTGCTTTTGAGTTTTCTATAAAGTGTGTATTATTTGATGTCTAGCTTCTTTTGCTCAACTTTACACTTGTGATAATCATCCATGTTGTTGTACGTGGCAGCAGTGTCTTCATTTTAATTAATTTGCCATTTCATGGATATATCACAGTTTATCTCTCCATTCTATTGTCTGAGGACATTTGAATTGTTTTTAATTTGGCTATTTTAAATAATGCTGTTATGGACATTCTTATGTTTGGCTTTTAGTAAACACTTGTATGCATTTCTTCTGGGCATATATCTAGGAATAGAACTAGTGGGTCATAGGGTGGGCATATGTTCAACTTCAGTATATACTAACAGTTTCTCAACGTGGTGATTGCACCAATTTACACTCCCAATAGTAACGTATGTGTGTTCCATTACTCTATAGCTTCACAAATACCTGGTATTTTCAGTCTTTTAAATGTTAGCCACGTTGTTGATATACCATATATTTCACTGTAATTTTAATTTGCTTTTTCCTGATAGCTAATGAGGTTGAGCACTTTAAAAAAATGCTTATTGGCAATGTGGATATTCTGTTTTGTGAAGAAAATAGCATCCAATTTTTACTAGGTTTTCTGACTTTTTAAATTGTGAAAAATTTATATGAAATGTCATTTTATATATAATATTTTTATACATACATTTTCTTCCATTCTATAACTTTCTTTTCCTTCTCATAATGGTGTCTTTTATAAACAGAAAATGCCAATATTTTAATTTTTTTTAGGAATGTTATTTCTTATTTAAGAAATCCTTGCCTGCTCCAGGCATACAAAATATCATTCTATGTTATTTTTTAGAAACTTTACTATTTTACATATCATTTTTTGATCTAAAATCACCTGGAAATGATTTTTTTTCTTTTTCTTTTATTTTTTTTAAGAGACGGAATCTCACCCTGTCGCCCAGGCTGGAGTGCATGGAGTGCAGTGACACAATTTTGACTCACTGCAACCTCTGCCTCCTGGGTTCAAGCAGTTCTCCTGCCTCAGTCTCCCAAGTAGCTGGGAATACAGGTGCACACTGCCATGCCTGGCTAGTTTTTTTTTGTATTTTTTAGTAGAGACGGGGTTTCACCATCTTGCCCAGGCTGGTCTTGAACTCCTGAGCTCAGGTGATCTGCCCACCTTGGCCTCCCAAAGTGCTAGGATTACAGGGGCGAGCCACTGCGCCTGGCCCTGGAATTGGTTCTTTACATAACGTATGGACAGGAGTCAAGATTGTTTTTTCTCATATGGATATCCAATTGACCATTAATTAAAATAGTGTCTTTTTCCCACTGCTCTGCATGGACCAATGGTGTCCATATACGTGTGGGTCTGATTCTAGACTTTCTATTGTGTTCCATTGGTCTATTTGTCTATTTTTGTGCCTCTATTTGCATTGTATTAATTATTTGATAATAATTATTGTATATAATAGGATAAGTGTTCAAACTCTAATCTTCTTAAAGATTCTCTTACCTATTGCTATCATTGTACATTTCTATATGTAATTCCACACAAATTTATCTACTTTTAAAAAGAACATCTGTTGGAATTTTAATTGAGATTGCATTGAATGTATAGATCAATTTGAGGAGACTTAATATTTTTGCACTATTGAGTCTTCCAATCTATGGATCTCCATTTTAGCTCTTCTTTAATTTCTCTAATATTGTTTTATAGTTTTCTGTGTAAGGTAATACATATTTTTCATTATATTTATGCCTAGATATTTGATGTTCTTTTATTCCACTGTATTTTCTTTAAATTTCATTTTCTACTTGTTCGTTGCTACTATACCCTTACTTGATTTTTATTAATTGTCCTTGAATCCAGTGAGTTTACTAAATTGACTTATTAACTTTGGAAGTTTATCTATAAATTCCTTTGGATTTTCTAGGTACAAAATTGTGTTCTGTGTAAATAATACATTTTACTTCTTTCTTCCCAATCCTTATATGCTTTATTTCTTTTCTTTTCCTTATTGTACCATTACAATTTTAACCTCTAGTATCATGTTAATTAGAAGTAATGAAACCAGAGATTCTTGTCTTATTTTTAATTTTGGGAGGAAAATTATATTTCACCATTTAGTATAATATTTATAGTAGATTTTTGGTAGATGCCTTTTATCTTTTCAGCTCCAGAATTTCTATTTGGCACTTTTTAATAACTTCTATTTCTTTGCTGAAATTCCACATCTCTTCATTAATTATAATCATGTTTTTAAAAAAATCTTTGAAAACATTTATATAGCTGCTTTAAAGTCTTTGTTAACCCCAGAATCTGGGTCATGTCAGAGTATGTTTCTATTGACTGCTATTTCTTTTGATTGTATTTTCTTGTCACTGTGTGTGTGTGTAATACTCTTTTATAGTATGCCAGACATTTTGGAGGGAACATTGTAGTGATTGGATACTGTTATCACCCTCTGAAAAATGTTGATTATTTTTTCTCTCAGGCAATTAACTTGGGTGGACTCAAACCCCAAACTCCCTCCCATATGAGAGGAAGTAGCTGAAATCTCTAGTAAGTTCTTTCAGACTTTCACCTGTTGCTTTTCACTGGGCTCCTCAGAGTCTTCCTCATACATACATAGTTTAGGGATCATCCAGATGTTTGGGCAGAGTTTATGTGCACATTTTGGGGTTCTCTCTTAGGCTCCCGCCTTCCTGACACCTCACTCTCTGTTCTGTTAACCCTAACTCCATTTAATGATTCCTTGAACTGCTAAGAATAATGTTCTCTTCTTGAATTCTTGTAGCCCTATATTGTACAGACTGCAGAGTGCCTTCAGACAAAAGGCATATCAAGGCAAATCTCCATAAAAAATGCTATATTGAAGGGATGAATTCCTCTCCAATTTCTGTCTGCTTTTGGCCACTATCCAGTGCCTTCAAGTATTTTTTTATTTCCCTCAAGAATAATTGTTTTCTACAGAAAGGTTTATCTAATACAAGCTACTACAAAATTAATGGAAGTGGAATGTAGTGAAAGGCTTTGAATTATGGATTACACTTCTTTATTAGGTATAAGACTATTCAGATGTCTTATATTTTTCCCCAGCTTTAGTAAATTGTGTTGTTTGAGAAATTTGACTCATCTAAAAGTTCAAATTTTTTGGCATAAAGCTGTTTATAATATCTCACATTATATACTTTTGTAGATTAAGTATTTTGAATTTATATAAAACTGAGGAAGAAACTAGAGAAAATTGCAGGGCATGGTCCAAATTTAAATCCAACAATACTCTTAAAAATATTCTGTATGACATATATATATACTATTTAAATAGTACCTGTGTGACATTTTCTTATATTTTCTTATATTATTCATTTGATTTCAACTTTATAAAACTTAAATGACAAGAATTTTTTAAATTAAAATAGTTTTCAAAATATAAAATGTTTACATACTTAAGAATTTCTATTTTTTCCAAATATTATCATCTATAAGTTAAAATATATTTGAATTACCTCTCTTCATAAGTTATATATCCTAAAAATTGCCTCAGCCTTTTGCTTATTTTTTTTTTTTTTACTAATAAAATATGCTTTTGAAAGTGGCACTCTAATTCAATTATAAATGAACTAGCGTATACTGCCTAAAAAGTAGCCTTCTTATGACATCTAGATTCAGGTTCTGTAGCCAAAAGAAAAAATTTCAAAAAGATGTTGATTTAAAATCAAATAAAAAATTTAAAAGGCTAGTTCTGTGAATTTTAATTCTTAATGTGATCCATGGTAACCTCATCTGGGAAGTAAATTTCACTTGATACTCAACAAGAGAAAGTTTTTGTATGCTTCTCATGTATCCTTTGTTCATTTTCCTTGTCACAGCCTATAATTCAGTTATCACAATGCATCCTTAATTCATTATTTGAAATTTATACTTACTTTTCTACACTTAATATAACCCCATGTTTTCTCTTCCATTCAACAAATATCAATTTCACCATTTCTGTTTTCCATCAAAGGGTGAGGTAAAAATAGGAAAAGTGAGGTTAGATCTGTGTCTTCTTCATTCTAATGAAAAAAACTACTTTACTTTGACATTCTTTTCTTTGTTTTAAAGTCAGGTTTGTTGAGAAACAGTTTGTGTACAGCAAAATCTACCCTTTGTAAATGCAATGAATTTTGAAAAACATACACAGTTCAGTGTCCACCGCCACCATCAAGATAAAGAACATGTATCTTAACCCAAAAATTTCCTCATGCACTTTTGTTGTCAAATTCTTTCCTAAATTCCCAGCCCACAAACAACCACTTAGTTTTTTCTGCCCCATGTTTGCCTTTTCCAGAATGTCTTATAAATGTAATTGTGCAGTATGTAGCTTATTGAGTCTGTTTTTTTTCCATTTATTATAGTGCATTTGAGATTTATTCATGTTGTTGCCAATAGTTTGATTCTATTTTATTGGTGAGTAATATTCCATTGTATGGATGTACCACCACATTTTGTTAATACAATTACTACTTGACGGACACTTGAAATATTTCCAGTTTGTAGTAATATGAATAAGGCCACTATAAACATCTGTGGATGTGTCTTTGTGTGAACATATATTTTCACTTATCAGGCATATATCCAGGAGTGGAATTGCTGAGTCATATAGTAATTGCATTTTAATTTTATAAAAAACAGCCAAACTGTTTTTCAAAGTGGCTGTGCTATTCACATTCCCATCAGCAATGTATGAGAGTTCCAGTTGCTCTTCATTCTTCTCAGCAGCTTTTCTAACAGCTGGTGTCTTGTTTTAATCTGCAATTCTCTATCATTAGTGTTGCTGGACACCATTTCATGTGCATTTTTGCTGTCTGTGTATTGTCTTTGATGAGGCATTTGTTCAAATGCTTTGCCCAGTTTTTAAATTGGATTGTTGTTTTCTCCTTTCGAAAAACAAAAGAAAAAGAAAAAGAAATTGGATTGTTGTTTTCTTATTATTGAGTTGTGAGGGTTCTTCATGTATTCTGGGTATCAGTCCTTTTCCAGATATGTGTTTTAAAAATATTTTCCCCAAACTTATGTCTATATTTGAATGACATTTTCCTAAAACTGTTATTTAAATATGGGTGGCTTTTAAATTTTAATAAAGTCTCATTTATCTATTTTTTTTCATTTATGGAATGTGCCTTTTGTATTCTACCTAATAAATCTCACCTAGCCCAGAGTCACAAAGATTTTCTCCTATATTTTCTTCCAGAATTTTTACACTTGAGTTTTACATTTAGGCCTCTAATCAATTTTCAGTTAATTTTTGCATATAGTTTAATGCATGGGTCAAGATACATTTTTTGCATATAAATGTCCAACTGTTCCAGTATTATTTGATGAAAAGACTATCCTTTCAGCATTGAATTGCCTATGGTGGATTACCTATGTCTGGATTCTCTATGTGTGGATTCTGTACTGATCTTTATCTCTTTCTCAACTCTTGTGTGTGTGTGTGTGTGTGGCAGAGTCTCACTCTGTAGCCCAGGCTGGAGTGCAGTGATGTGATCTAGGCTCACTGCAACCTTTGTCTCCCAGGCTCAAGCGATTCTCCTGCCTCACCCTCCCGAGTAACTGGGATTACAGGCATGCACCACCATGCTGGGCTAATTTTTGTATTTTTAGTAGAGACAGGGTTTCACTATGTTGGCCAGGCTGGTCTCGAACTCCTGACCACAAGTGGTCCGCCCGCCTCAGCCTCCCAAAGTGCTGGGATTACAGGCATGAGCCACTGCACCTGGCCCTCAACTCATTTTTTGAGGCCAGCATTAACCTCACACCAAAATCAGACATTATAAGAAAATAGAACTACAAACAAATATCCTCATGAATATAGATACAAAACACCAACAAAATATTAGCAAACCAAATTGTGTAAGATATTAAAATAATGATCTATCATGACCAAGTGGAAATTTTCCTTGAAATGCAATATTGTTCAACTTTTGAAAGTAAATCTATAGGGCTGGGCATGTTGGCTCACACCTGTAATCCCAGCACTTTGGGAGGCCAAGGCTGGCAGATCACTTGAGGTCAGGAGTTCAAGACCAGCCTGAACAAAATGGTGAAACCCTGTCTCTACTAAAACACAAAAAGTAGCTGGGCATGATGGTATGTGCCTGTGGTCGCAGCTACTCAGGAGGCTGAGACACAAATCTCTTGAACCCAGGAGACAGAGGTTTCAGTGAGCTGAGATCACGCCACGGCACTCCAGCCTGGGCAACAGAGCAAGACACTGTCTCAAAACAAAAACAAAAACAAAACAAAACAAAAAGAAAGTAAATCAATAGGATTTACCATATCAGCCAAACTAAACGAGAAAAGCCATACCATCCTCTCACAAGATGCAGAAGGATGGTTTGACAAAATTCAACAACTATTCATGAAAACTCTAAGCAAACTAGGATTACAGGTTGAGACTTCCTTAACCTCATAAAGGGCATCTTTGAAAAACCTATAGTTAATATCATAACTAATGATGAAAGACTGGGTACTTTCCCCCTAATATCAGAAAAAAAGGTAAATATGTTCACTCCTATTACTTCAGTTCAACATCGTACTGAAAGTCCTTGTCAGTGCAGTAAGGCAAGAAAAAGTAATAAAAGGCATACAGATTGCAAAGGGATAAACAAAACTGCCTCTATTCACAGATGACATCACCTATGTAGAATCTACATAGAAACTTAGGTTTTAGTTGCTTTTCTTCCCGTTCTGTCTTTTTTTTTTTCTCTTTTGTAGAATTGGTGTAATATTTTCCTTAAATGTATGCTAGCGTTCACCAGTGAAGCATCTGGAGTTGTTTTGAGGGATGGTTTTAAACTATAAATTCAAATTTTAAAGTAAATGTAAGACTGTGTAGCTTATCTTGAGTAAGTTTTGCTAATTTGCATCTTTCAAAGACTTTATCCATTTCATATAAGTTGTCAAATTTTTGGTGTAAAATTGTTTATAATTTTTTTGTTATCCTTTTAATATCTCCTTTGTTCAGAGCAGCAGTTCAAATCACAGTCAAACTCTAAACTTCACTCGATGGCTTGGCATCTGTCCCATATGAGAGCAGCTCAAAGGTCAGTAAGAGATGTGGGCAGATGGGGATCCCCCTTTAGTCTCTATTCTTTTGGGGATTTCCTCTTAATTTTCTTTGTGCTGTGGTTGCCCCATACTCTGGTTCTTCTAGCCAGTAATATGTGGGGTTTATATGGAGCTTTAGCCATTCTACATAGTGCAGGCTAGAACCTGCCTTGGCCTAAAAGCTGTAAAATCTAAAAACTCATCAATGCCATTTTCTTCTTTCATATATTGGCTTCTTCCAGCATCTTCCTGCTTTTAATCACTCTCCAGTGTCTTCAGATACTGTTTTTAAAAATATATTTTGTCCTCTGTGTGTGTATATAATTTTTTATGTAGATTGATCTGATAAAAGATGCTCAGATCTTACTGGAGATGAAATCTCCATTGCTTTTTATTTTTAAACCACTACCACTAAGACTCCAAAATTATCAACTCTTTTCCATATGAAGTATAATCCATTTATAAAGAACAAGATTGTGAGGAAAATCTTTCACAGATCCTATAAGTCTGAGATAAATCACCCCAATAATTTCAGATCCTGTAGCATTTTCTTGAGTCTGCTTGAAATTGTAGGTATCAAACAATAAACCAGGAATCCCATACCCTTCCTGGCTTTTAACAGGGCAAAAGTTTGAGTCCTCACTTTATTACACTTTGTACATCATGCTTTCATATGTGACAGTGCAGGGAATACTTACGTCAGATAAAAATTTATTTTACATAAAGATTTTTGCCCTGAATCCTCCTTCCTTTCCTATCCTACTGAGCTAAGCTGGAAAACCTAAAAAGATATATGAGGGTCTCTTTAATACTTTTTCCTTAAGCCCAGTGGAAATGCTACACTATCAGCAACTTGCTTTTCTCTTCCAGGATGTCCTGGTTCCTTTTATCTTCCAGGCCATCAAAAAGTCCCAGAACTTTGATCATGCTTAGATTTTAAAAAAATCTCCTAGATAAAAGAGCTAGCTAAGTGAGGGACAAGTGGAGTAAAATCCTTTCTCTTGGGAGGTTGAAGCAGGAGGATCACTTGAGCTTAGGAGTTCAAGTCCAGTCCAGCCTGGGAAACATAGAAAAACCCTGTCTTTTTTTTTTTTTTTTTTGAGACAGAGTCTCACTATGTTGCCCAGGCTGGAGTGCAGTGGCATGATCTTGTCTCATCGCAACTTCTGCCTCCTGGGCTCAAGAGATCCTCCCACCTCAGCCTCCCTAGACTACAGGTGCACGTCAGCACTCCCAGCTAATTGTATTTTTTGTAGAGACAGGGTTTTGCCATGTTCCCCCAGCTGATCTTGAACTCATGAGCTCAAGCGATCTGCCCGCCTTGGCCTCCCAAATTGCTGGGATTCCAGGTGTGAGCCACCACGCCCAGCCAACTGTATATATATAGCCAGCTGCAGTGGCTCACGCCTGTAATCCCAGCACTTTGGGAGGTCGAGGCAGGTGGCTCACCCGAGGTCAGAAGTTCAAGACGAGCCTGGTCAACATGGTGAAACCCCGTCACTACAAAAATTACAAAAATTAGCCGGGCGTGGTGGTAGGGGCCTGTAATCCCAGCTACTCAGGAGGCTAAGGCACAAGAATCGCTTGAATCTGGGAGGTGAAGGTTGCAGTGAGCCAAGATCACACCACTGCACTCCAGCCTGGGCAACAGAGCAAGACTCTGTCAAAAAAAAAAAAAAAATATATATATATACACACACACACACACACACACACACACACACATACTTTTATGTAGATTGATCTGATAAAAGATGCTCAGATACGTATATATATATGTGTATATATACACATATACATATACATATATACGTATATATACACACATATATACATTTACATATACACATATATACACATATACACATAAACACATATATACACATATGTGTATATATATACACACACATATGTGTATATATATACACACACATATGTGTATATATATACACACACATATGTGTATATATATACACACACATATGTGTATATATATACCTCATACCCTACACACCAAACATACAAATGTCCCTGTAGTTTCCTGAAAACACCAGGTGGTTCAGGCCTGCCATCTCCATACCTGAGCTGCCAGTTCTTTCACCCTCATCTCTGTGCACCTTGCCAACACATACTCACATACAGAATCTCACCTGGACCCCCCACCCTCAGCCAAAACTGATCGTTCCTTCTTTTGTGAATCCTGACACACACGTGTATATATATACATACACATATGTGTGTGTGTGTGTGTATATATATATATATATATATATATATATATATATAACCCTTTCTCTATGGTAGGGCATCACTCTACGTCTTTATCTATTCTTCCTTTCGATTATCAGTAAATAAAATGCTTATTTATGCACAGACATCTTGATAGGCAAAGGAGAGTTGATAACTCAGGAATAGTCCTTGCCCCCAGGTCCCTTTCATTTAACTCTGTAAATAAAAAATGCAGCAGCATGTTACAGGCTTTATGCTAAAGATGTGGACAGTGTCAGGATTCACAAAAGAAGGAACGATCAGTTTTGGCTGAGGGTGGGGGGTCCAGGTGAGATTCTGTATGTGAGTATGTGTTGGCAAGGTGCACAGAAATGAGGGTGAAAGAACTGGCAGCTCAGGTATGGAGATGGCAGGCCTGAACCACCTGGTGTTTTCAGGAAACTACAGGGACATTTGTATGTTTGGTGTGTAGGGTATGAGGTATGATAGAAGGGGAGGCTGGGGAGGGAGGAAACATGAAGGGCTTTGTTACATGGTTAAAGAGTTTGGACTTCATTTTGTAGAGTATACTGAACTGTGAAAAATGTCTTAATCAGGATAATAGCAGGATTATCTCTATGTTTTAGGACATGTATTTATTTCTGTATGTTCTTGATGCTTGTCAGGGTCCCTCCCTAAGGAGTTGGTCTGAGAGGTAAGAGATAGGATCACAGGGAGGAGACATGGTCAACCATCCGGTCTAAAATTAGACTACAGTCATCTATTGTGTGCTACACTGAGCCTCTTTTCATGCCAGATATGGTCTGGGGACCAGACCTGTTTGGACATGGCTTGGGTGAGAAACTGGTTGCCTTTTCCAAAGATGATTTGGATTTCAAGAGGAAAATCACAGCATCAGAGTTCCAAGCAAAGGGGCACTGTAGGCCAGCAAGACTGTGCAAAACTTAAAGCTGCAAAACAACCAGAATTAAGTCTACCTGAGAACATCGCTGGGAAGAAAATTGAGGCCATAGGTATAGCTGGAAATAAAATTGAGAAGTGTTACCATACTGCTACTGCTTAAAAAGCAGAAAGAAAAGAATAAAGATGAATTCAATCTCTTCCTGAAAGCAGGACTTAAGGGGTCCAGGCATGATGCTTGGAGCTCTAAAATGAGCATAATAATGGAAAGTTGGGAGCTGCATGCAAATGGCACAGGAGAAATGTGTTTTTCCACAAGTCTACCTTTTCTTCTCAGGATCTGAAGGTCCCCACCAAAATCAGGGCAGCTTCTACAATAATGGGCTTAGGAAAGAGTTAGGCAGATATTCTCAAACTGTCTGTGGCTCACTGAGCCTCAGGCCAGTCTTAGCTAGTAATGACATTTATAATGTGACAGTGCCTAAACCACTTGCCTGAAATAAACTATAACATGGCAGTTGATTAAAACTATGACTTACCTCACCGGGGTCTTTTCAGAAGCAACCCCATCAGAAGCTGAATCTGTAAGGAGAGAGAGATTAGGAGGCCAAGGTCATAGGTTTATTCCCTGTATGGGTCACTTCATTCTGCTCTGCAATCCCATATCTCCTGTGACTTCCCCCAAGATAGGTTAAATGCCCTTTCCAAATGCTCTCCTAGAACCCTCTACCTATCCTATTACAGCACATGTTATAATTTACTGGACCTGCTATTTAATTTTCTTTCTTTCCCGTCAGAAGGGAGTGAGGGAAGCCACCGAGTGGAGGTTTCTTTCTGCAATGGCAGCATGTGTGTGGCATGGTGGGAAGCTCTGAACCCAGAACACCTGCTTCCAAGTCCTTGCTCTACCACTGAATAGTTTGAAATTGAACCTGTTTCTTCAACAATAAAGAGGAAATAATGGCACTTATTACATGCCATTATTAATGAGCCAATGAAAGTAAGGATTCTTTACTAAGGGCTATTTGGATGTTAATTAATCATAATATTAACCAGTCTTGAGACTGTCCTAGCAGATGTATCTGATCCCACCTAGCAGGGTGGGTGCGATTGAGGTGGCAGAGGTATGGGGAGGGCATTTCTGAATGAAACTGATAGTACAGAAGAGGGAAGAGGAGGGGAGCAAGTAGGGGCACAGGGCGTAAGCAGTGGAAAGACAAATGAAAAGGAAGAGAGAAAGGAAAATGAAGAGGGTTCCAGAGCTGTGCTGTTGAATACAGTAGCAGTAAGCCCCATGTGGCTATTAAGCTAGTTCAAATTGAGATGGGCTGCTAGAGTTGTTATAAAAAAAATGAAAAATGGCTCATTGATAATGTTTATGTGACATGCATGTGAAATTACAATATTTTTGATATATTGGGTTAAATAAAATATAGTATGAAAATTAATTTTATCTATTTAATTTTACTTATTTTAATGTGGCTACTAAAAAATGTAAAAGTATGTATGTGGCTTGTATTTGAGGCTTGTGCTACATTTCTATTGGGCAGTATTACCCTAGGGTATTTGCTGTCCGTGAAATAAGTGATAAGGAATATAAAAATTTTTTAGAATTTGGCTTTTCAAAGTAAAGTCAGGGTACATGTAAAAATTGAATTTATCTCACAAATTTATCCATTTTTAAAGTTAATTTCACTGACATGCTTTAAACATCTGTTCTGTGCCAAGGACTGAGTACAACACAGGCCAAGCCCTTCAGGAGCTTACACTGTAACCATAGATGAGGATGGGAGAGTCTCTTGTAGCTCACAGTATTCCATGGTCATCAAGAAAGTGTTTGACTGACTCTAATTCAGTGTCACCAGACTAGGGGTCCCCAAATGTATCTTCAGGTTAAGAACAAACAACATGATGCCAGGAAATCTAACTTGGTTTGAATGTTTTTCTTCTTGCTGCTGCCAGGCTGCCTTTGAGTGTTTCAATGTCGCATGTGGACTTAGATGAAGGGCAGGCTTTCGGGAGCTGTATTAGCTGAATCTGTAAGGAGATAGTGCTTAGGAGGCCAAGGTCATAAGTTTGTTCCCTGTATGGGTCACTTCACTCTGCTCTGATCCATGCCTCAGACTTGCTCCCTGTAAACCCAAGCCAGCTGTCTTGTAAATATGCTTTGAATCACTTGGGGAACAGGGCGAGAACATATGCAGGGAGCTGGGCAAATCTATCACCACCGATGGATTGGAGCAACAACTGAAAACACATTCTCAGTCAAAAGCAAGGAATCCCGGGAGGAGAGCCCATAAAACTTACATATCACCTCATACAGTGGACCCAACTGAAACCAACTTTTCCCTGCACATTTCTGCCTGAAGTCATTAACTAGGATGGAGCTTGTAGGGCAACGCTTCTGGAGGCCATAGTTCCTCGATAGAGCAGAACACAGGCAGCATTCACTGGGAATTCAGACTTCTGCTAAAGGTGGTGTTGCCAACAAGCACACGGGGCCTCCCTGTTTGACCTACAGAGATTGTTTAGACTTGGAAATATGGGCACCTATCTCTTGAGTGACCTGTCTGCTGGTAATATTTACATCCACATTCACACAGAAAGGTGGTATGTTTTAATTCCAAGCTGAGATTCAGCCCCATGCTCCTCACTGAAGCATCGCTGACAGAAAGGCTGGTCTGGGATCTCCAGCTACACAAATAAATACTGAAGTAAGGCCTAACAGGAAGACCCTCACTACCCAATTTCTTCCAGATGGCAGTGATGGATGGCTGTATGTTTATGTTTACTTGGTTTCCCAGGTGACTGGTGTCCTGGTTTCCACCGGTCATGGTTTGATGAGCATTTCTTCGAAGATGTGAACTGCCTACCCCAACGGCCCAGCTCTTGGCCCAACAGTCTACACCACGCTCAAGATTGTCAAGAGGTCATTGTGCTTGTTGGATGGCTAGTTAACTCTTTACTCACCACTTCTTCCCTGACCCTCTTCTTGTAAATTTCTAAAACTAGCAATACAAGATTCAAATCTAAATCATCATACAGAACTGCATGTTGGGCAGAATAATGGCCTCCAAAGTATCCATGTCCTAATCTCCAGAACCTGTAAACATGTTACCTTTCTTGGCAAAAGGGAATTAAATTTGCAGATAAAATTAAGGTTGCTAATCGCCTGACCTTAAAGTAGAGAAACCAGCCTGGATTATCTAGGTGGGCCCAATGTAATTACAAGTCTCCTTTAAAGGGGAAGAGGGAAGCAGTAAAGATGGTCAGAGGATGAGATGTAAGAGGGACTCGACCTGCCCTTGCTGAAGGAAGGGGGCCATGAGCCACAGTAGTGTCCTCTAGAAGCTCTAAAAGTCAAGAAGAGAATTCTCCCCTAAAGCCTTCTGAAAGGAACTCTGCCCTGCTGATGCGTCAGTCTTAGCCCGGTGAGATGCATGGTAGACTACTAATGGAACTGTAAGGTAATACATGTGTATCAATTTATGATAACTGCTTATAATAATTTGTTATAGCCACAGTAGAAAACAAATATACACCTAGATAGGTTGAACACTCCTTGGCCTCAACACTCTGCTTAATGTAAGAAGTACTCCTTCCCTTAGCACAATGTAACCTAGTGGAATGCATTCTTCCTCAGGGCTGCTAGAGGCTGGAGCACACACATGGCTTTCTACAAAATTTAGGAAAGTGAGCAACGATGGAACCCTAATTGGAGAAAATATGTAATCACTCATCAAGTCCTCTTGGTACTATCTGAGTAGAGAGAAAGCACATGGGCTTTGGCATCTAGCAGACATTGGTTCAAATCCTGGCTCTGACATTTAATGCCTGTGTGATCTTGAGTGAGTTAGCCTCCCAGATGTTCAATTTCTTAAGGGACACATCACACCTACCTCATGGGGTTGTTGTTGTAAAGAGTAAAAGAGTAAATAAAATAAGGTGTATAAAGTACCTATCTCAGAGCCTGGGGGGCAAGATAGAAATCCAATAAATCATGTTATCTTCTACCTTCTTTGTAATCATTTCTCAGATCTCTCCTGTTGTCTCCAATCTCATGACCCTGGATTGAGTTAGTTTCATCATATCTCTTGCCAGGACTGTTTTAACAGCTCCTAAAGGGCCGGCTCCAGACTCCAATCCTTCTTCACAGCCTCTACAGCTATCTTCCTAAAACATAGATTTTCTCATAACACCTCTTCTGCTGTAAAACCGTCAGCAGCTCCCTGTGGCTTGTGGATGAAAAAGTCTGAAGTTCTTTTCAAGGTTCGCGTGTATATTAGTCTGTTTGCGTTACTCTAAAGGAATATCTGAGACTGGATAATTATTTTTTTGTTTAGGTAAGGCAGATAATGTGCTGATGTAACAAGGTTCAAGGGTGGCATATCTCATACATGCTCATGAACAGCCAATCATCACACTCTTGAACTACAAAAGAATTGGGTAACATAAAGAAAAGAGGTTTATGGCCGGGCGTGGTGGCTCACGCCTGGAATCCCAGCACTTTGGGAGGCTGAGGGGGGCAGGTCAGAAGGTCAGGAGATCGAGACCATCCTGGCTAACATAGTGAAACCCTGTCTCTACTAAAAATACAACAAATTAGCTGGGTGTAGTGGCAGGCGCCTGTAGTCCCAGCTACTGGGGAGGCTGAGACAGGAGAATGGCGTGAACCCGGGAGGCGGAGCTTGCAGTGAGCCAAGATTGTGCCACTGCACTCCAGCCTGGGCGACAGAGCAAGACTCCATCTCAAAAAAAAAAAAAAAAAAAAAAGAGGTTTATTTTGGCTCACAGTTCTGTAGGCTATACAGGAAGCTTGCTGCCAGCATCTGCTTCAGGTGAGGACCTCCAGAAGCTTCCACTTAAGGTGGAAGGCCAAGGGGGACCTGGCATGTCACAAGCCAGAGAGGGACCAAGAGTGAAAATGGGGAGGTCTCAGACTCTTTTAAACAACTAGATCTTGAATGAACTGAGTGAGAACTCACTCATCACCAAGGGGATGGTGTTAAGCCATTCATGAGGGATCCATCTCCATGATCCAATACCTCTCACCAGGCCCCACCTCCAACATTGGGGATTACATTTCTTTTTTTTTTTTTTTTGAGACAGAGGCTCACTCTGTCACCCAGGCTGGAGTGCAGTGGCGTAATATCGGCTCACTGCAAGCTCCACCTCCGGGGTTCACGCCATTCTCCTGCCTCAGCCTCCTGAGTAGCTAGAACTACAGGTGCCTGCCACCACGCCTGGCTAATGTTTTATATTTTTCGTAGAGACAGTGTTTCACCGTGTTAGCCAGGATGGTCTCGATCTCCCGACCTTGTGATTCACCCACCTTGGCCTCCCAAAGTGCTGGGATTACAGGCGTGAGCCACTGTGCCTGGCCGGGGGATTACACTTCAACATGAGGTATGGAAGGGACACACACCCAAACTGCATCAGTATGAATCCTTCACAACTTCACCTTTGTCCCTTGCCTCCTTTACCTGTCTAGCCTAAGTTCCTTTCTTGTCATGCGTTTTTCTCATTTCTGTGCCAATGTTTTTTTTTTTTTTCTTTTCAGCTTAGTTGCTATTTTCTATCTCTGTAATTCCTGCTGCCTCCCTTTTTACCTAGAGAGCTCCTTTTAACTCTTAAGGCCCATTTTAAATGTCACCACTTTTGCAAAGTCTTTTCTAATTCCTCCAAGAAGTTAAGCACTCCCTCTGCTGTTTCCACCATATTATGTACACTGTAGAACTTATCAGACTGCACTTTGATTATCATTCTAAATTTTCTGATGACAGAGACAATGCATTTTGCACCTTTGCTCTCAAAGCTTAGAATATTTGCTTTCCTTATAACATATACTCAATATAAAAATATACTTAATATTTGTTTTTATTAGTATGAATAAATGAATGAACAAATATTATGTGAAGAACTCACATCTTTAAAGCTGTTTCCAAGGAATGGAGTTATACTTTTTGCATCCCAGGTTAGCTGACCCAGGATGGCCCTTCTGCGATGTTGTGCATACAGCGAGACTTCTAACATACTTGGATTATTGAGCAACTTCGCATTTATTCAGTAAGGTTTTAAGGATTTTAGTCAGGTCACTTTTTCATTTAAAATTATTTAGTTGTTTCTCCTTGCTTTAGGAGAAAGTCCAAAGTCCTTAGGAGGCTATTTAAGGCCTTAGGTGATTTGACACCTACATATCCCACTTTTTAATTTGCTGACTACTCTGCACTCCAACAAAACATTTGTAAAACAATTTCTTAAACATGTCTGGCCTTCACTCTCATCTCCATGCCTTTGCAAATACCATTCCTTTACCCATACCTCAATCTTCATCTAACAACTTCTTACCCTTAGAAATGAAGCCCAGGCATCCTTTGATCCAGGCATCCTTTGATACAGGAAGTCTTCTCTGACATTACCCTTGTCTATCCTGGTTCAGATGCCTGTCCTTTGTATCCCATGAACCCACCACCTCTATCATACAACATATGGCAGTGTGCTTTTAACTTTTTAATTTATTTTATTTAAATAATAGGAATGTAGCCACATAGAAAAAGAGAGAGAGAGGTAGAAAAAGAAAAGTAAAACATGTCATACCACCACCAACAGATCTTTGTGCCCAACTATTAACACTTTCTGGTTAACTTTCAGAAAAATTATTTATGTATCTATCACTCTACGTTACCCATAATCTTTTTTATTTATAAATAAGATAATATTAAATATGCTACTCTGCATCTTGCTTTCTTCACTTATATGAGAAAACATTTTTATCCCAACACATAGACATCTACTTTAAGATTGTAATGGCTGGCCAGGCTCACTGGCCTACACCTGTAATCTCAGCAGTTTGGGAGGCTGAAGAGGGCGGATCACCTGAGGTCAGGAGTTTGAGACCAGCCTAACCAACATGGTGAAACCCCATCTCTACTAAAAATAAAAATTAGCCGGGCATGGTGGCAGGCGCCTGTAATCTCAGCCACTTGGGAGGCTAAGGCAGGAGAATCACTTGAACCTGGGAGATGGAGGTTGCAGTGAGCCGAGATCAGAGCATTGCACCCCAGCCTGGGCAACAAGAGCAAAACTCCATAAAAAAGGAAGAAAAAGAAAGAAAGAGAGAAAGGCAGGGCAGGGCAGGGCAGGGCAGGGCAGGGCAGGGCAGGGCAAGGCAAGGCAAGGCAAGGCAAGGCAAGGTGGAAGGAAAGAAGGAAGGAAGAAAGAAAGAAAGAAGGAAAGAAAGAAAGAAAGAAAAAGAAAGAAAAAGAAAGAAAGAAAGAAAAGAGAAGAAAAGAAAAGAAAAGAAAAGAAAAGAAAAGAAAAGAAAAGAAAAGATTGTAATGGCCAAGGAGTTCAATACCAGCCTGGCCAACATAGTGAAACCCTGTCTCTACTGAAAATACAAAAATTAGCCAGGCGTGCTGGCAAGTACCTGTAATCTTGGCTACTCCATAGGCTGAAGCATGAGAATGGCTTGAACCCAGGAGGCTAAGATTGCAGTGAGCCGAGATCACGCCACTGCACACCAGCCTGGTTGACAGAGCTAGCTAGACTCTGTCTCAAAAAAATGTATATATATAGTAATGGCCAAATAGTATTCCTGTAGCAATAAAGCAGTAACTTTAATGAATAATTAAATAAAAGCAATAAAAGATAACTGTAGCAATAAATAACTTTATTTAATGATAAAATTGATGAATACTCAGGTTATTTTCAATTTTTACAATACTGTCCATCTTAGGTTACATTTGTAAGTATATATTTAGGATAAATTCCTAGTAGTGCATCAAAGGACATTTAAAATTTTAAAATATGTTGCCAAGTTGTACTCCAAAAATTTTGCACCAATTTAAATTCCCACCAACAGTATACAAATGTGTTTATTTTAATCTTTTCTTTCCAACCCCACATATAGCAGAACTTTCTAGTGTTTCCCTTTTTGATGAAATGTCTCTTTGCTGTTTTGATTGCATTTAAGTATTTTCAGTCAGGTTGAGAATCTTTTCATATATTTCAGGTCATTTGTTGTATTAGTCAGGGTTCCCTAGACAGACAGAACTAATGGGACAGACGTATATAAAAAGGGGACTTTATTAAGGACTATTGGCTCATATGATCACATTGTGAAGTCCCACAATGGGCTGTGTGCAAGCTGAGGGGCAAGGAAGCCAGTCGGAGTCCCAAAACCTCAAAAGCAGGGAAGCCAACAGTGTAACCTTCAGTCTGTGGCCTGAGGCCTGAGAGCTCCAAGCAAGTCACTGATGTAAGTCCAAGAGTCCAAAAGCTGAAGAACTTGGAGTCTGATGTTTGAGGACAGGAAGCATCCAGCATGGAAGAAAAATGAAGGCCAGAAGACTCAGCAAGTCTGCTCATTCCACATTCCTCTGCCTGCTTTATCCTAGCCGCGCTGGCAGCTGATTAGATGATGCCCACCCAGATTGAAGGTGGGTCTGCCTCTCCCAATCCACTGATTCAAATATTAATCTCCTTTGGCAACACCCTCACAGACACATCCAGGAACAATACTTTGTCTCCTTCAATCAAGTTAACACTCAATATTAATCATCACATTTGTATTTTATCTTTTTCTGAGAACTACCTGTTTATATTACTTGCATGTAGTTATTGTTTTCTTTTCTTTTCTTTTTTTTAATTTGGTAAAACTTTTTGAAAATTAAGTAGCCATTTATCTGTCACATTTATTTTGAACAACCAATGTAGTATTTGTCCTTAGACTTTGGCTATGGATTTTTTTATTTTTTATTTTTTTGCCATATAAATGTTTTAAATTTTAAGTTCTTAAAATTTCCTTTTTGGCTTCTGGGTGTGCTGTGTATTGAATGTATTTTCTTGGCTGCTTTTGTTTACCTATTAACAGGAGGACCTTTCAGTCACCTTTGTATTCCCAGTGCTTAGCAGAGGGACCTGCCCATAGACCACTGGATACCAATGGAATGAGGAGATGAGTAAGTGTGAGCACACATGCTCCTACTGGCATAGATTGACATGTTGCCAAAATAAAACAAAAACCAGGCTGACAACAGTTTGAAAACGTCTCTGGGATTTTCATGGGCACATGACGAGCAGTTACTTGATTTTAATTCCCACAAGCAGGCCAGAGTACATGATTCTGTGTGGCTCCCACTTACCTACAAACTTTACCAGTTTTACCACCACCTCTATATCCTTTAGTCCATGTTCAAGGATCCAGGTTCAATAACCTAAAGTGTGTGGGCCAGGTAACAGGGTAATTGAGCAAGAAATTAGAGCTGGGCTCTCACAGAATAGAATTCAGGTCACGTTTTTGTCCACTTGCCCAGCCAAAATTGCCTTTGACAAAAGCAGAAAATTTCCATCTTTTTTTTCTTTTCAGTAAGGCCCTTTTTCCCTTAATAGATAGTTACATATGTAGATAGATAGACAGATAATCTGTCTAGAGCTACATATTTATCTACATATCCACAAACATAAATACATATAATAATGAATTATTATCACTATGTAGAGATATCCAACGATTTCTATTAGGGAAATAAATCTTTTATTGAAGTTCAGAGAGAAAAGCAATCTTTCCTTTCAGAGTTTCAAGGCAACCAATGAACAATTTGTGATTCTAATGCGAAAATGAATATACATTTTATAGATTCTCCTGGAAATTTAAACTGGTTATATACTAGACTGTGACTATTTATATTATTTTTTCTTACTTACAAAATCATATCTTAAAATGCAGAAAACACATTAGTATTATTTCACTCATGCCATGTAATAATAACAACAAAAATAATATTTGTACAATATATTACAGTGTTCATTTGTAGGCACTTTCTTGTTTACCAATCTCAACAAAATGGTAAGACAGGAATTATTACTATTGTCTCTTTCATTTTTGTGTGACTCATGCAAACATATACTCTTGGTAAGATGAAATACGAACCTTGGCTGACTCCAAATGTAATGTTTTTCCTGATAAAACACTAGGGTAAAAAAAAGCAGTGTGTTTTCTTTATGTAGTCCTTTTACCTCTCCTCCCTAGCATTAGTTAGGTAGGAAATTCAGAATTGGGATTCAAAGGGAGAATGTCCATTCATGCCAAAAGATTACTTTAAGAGGCATGAAGAAATGAAAAATATATAAGGAATTTTATTACAATATGCTACAGCCACCATATACCTCAGTCCATGTTCAAGGATCAAGATTCAATAATCTAAGCCATGTGGGCCAGGTAATGGGGTGGTAGAGCAAGAAATCAGAGATGGGCTCTAAGAGATTAGGATTCAGGTCAGATTTTTGCCCACTCACCAGTCTAAAATTGCCTCCAATAAAAGCAGAAAATTCCAACCACGCCCCCCCGCCCCCCACCCCCCACCCCCACCTCAGGTGTTTGCTTTACTGAAGGCAAGAAGTCCTGGGTCCTAAGGAGATCCTGTGTCTGCTCTTAAAAGCTGGCAGGGCTAAGAGGGCCAGACAGTCTTAATTGAGAATTTCTTAACTTAATTGAGGTTGGGTTTCAATTCCAGTCTTGGAAGAAGCCGTATCTCTCTAACCATCTCCCTTGTCAATGCACAAATCTCACCCCGGCCTGCTTGTTGAGAAGCATGAGAAGAAAGGTCCTTAACTATGCAAAGCCATGGTTCTGATCCACACTGTATGGTTTAAAAGAAATTTAAGTTTACTCCTGGACTCTTTCCACATGTTCTTGATATATCATGAATTACAAAATAAATAAAAATCCTCATTTGGAGAGGTCAGTGTCCAAGCAAACTAAGAGAGACAGATTGGCTCAAGCTGGTGGCCCTCCATTTTCCTGCATATAGTTATAACTTAAGAAATACATACCACTTTAGACAGGTTGCTTCCAAAGTATAGAGGCTGTTAGAAACCACAGCACTGTGACTCCGGCATGACATTCTCACTGATTTCTCAGTCATCTCACCAGGATTCTCACGTGAAATTGAGAACAACTTCTTCCCCAACGGCAAGTGCCCCGTACGTGGGGAACTTCTGTTTTTTGGTATCCCTTCTCCCCAGCCCATCCTGGCCTCTTGACTGGCCATGTCAATGTTAAGACAGGATAATAGCAGCTTTGGAAGAGGATTGGGCAATGAAAGAAAGTGTAAGGAAAATGTCCAAATAGAGTCCCAGAAAAAAATCTGAGTCATAGAATTGGCCAGAATCTGACAGTAGGTAAACTCAAGAGAAGACACTCAAGTGGAACAGAGGCAGAAACAGAATCTATGGGCAAATCTAAGGTCTAAGTCATAAGGAGTTAATAAGGAAGCAAAGCACAGAAGTCAAGGTACAGAGATAGTAGTCACAATAGTCCAGTTAAATTCTAAAAAACAGCAGGGACGTCCTCTTTTAGAAGCCCTAGCTCCTTGACCTGTGGACATGACTCTTCACTTTGAGACCAAGGGTTGCAACCCTGAATTTCAGGAATAGAACAACAGCTGCCTGTACTGCAGCAGGAGCAACAATGATGCAAACATTGATTGGCTCTGCTGCCAGAGCATCACAAGTCCGGGAAACAGGTTGGTTCTGAAATGCCAGTGGTCAGGCCTGTGGGAAGAACTAGTAAGGAAACTCCAGTCATGGGAATCTCCAGGCTCTGTGTCCATGCTTGTATTCCTTGGCCTTACTACTACTGTCAGCTTTAGCTCTTTATTTTTCTTGTTCCTGGTTAAAATACTAGTTTAACGTTTTTCTTTTTGATTTTGTTTTGTTTTGTTTTTGAGACAGAATCTTGCTCTGTTGCCCAGGCTGGAGTGCAGTGGCATGACCTTGGTTCACTGCAACCTCCTTCTCCTGGGTTCAAGTGATTCTCCTCTTTCAGCCTCCCGAGTAGCTGGGACTACAGGCACACACCATCACGCCAAGCTAATTTTTGTATTTTTAGTTGAGATGGGGTTTCACCATGTTGGCCAGGCTAGTCTTGAACTCCTGACCTTAGGTGATCCACCTGCCTCGGCCTCCCTGCCTCGGCTGGGATTACAGGCGTGAGCCACTGTGTCCGGCCTCTTTTTGATTTTTAATTGTATTTTTTTAAAAAATTAAAAAAGTACTGCATGATCATTGTAAAACTTCAAGTAACTTAAGAGTATACAAAATACAAAGCAAGAGTGCCATTCTCACACTCTACTCTCACTCCCCAGTGGAAACCAATGGTAAAAATTAGACCTGTATACCTTTAGAATTTTTCAAGGTTATTATATTTTTGAGTATGGTCACTATATATATATATATATGTGTGTGTGTGTGTATATATATATGTGTATATATATATGTGTATATATGTGTGTATATATATGTGTGTGTGTATATATATATGTATTTATATATGTGTGTGTGTGTATATATATATATATATATATATATATATATATTTTTTTTTTTTTTTTTTTTTTTTTTTTGAGACAGAGTCTGGCTCTGTCGCCCAGGCTGGAGTGCAGTGGCGTGATCTCAGCTCACTGCAAGCTCCGTCTTTTGGGTTCACGCCATTCTCCCGCCTGAGCCTCCCGAGTAGCTGGGACTACAAGTGCCCGCCACTGCACCCAGCTAATTTTTTTTTTTGTATTTTTAGTAGAGACGGGGTTTCACCATGGTCTCGATCTCCTGACCTCATGATCCGCCTGCCTCGGCCTCCCAAAGTGCTGGGATTACAGGTGTGAGCCACCGCGCCTGG